>NC_000002.12:237186587-237489618 GCF_000001405.40 Homo sapiens | reverse complement strand
CTGATAAAGGGGAGGTGGCAGAGATGACAACTGTAGTGCCCTCTGCCTTAATCCTTTGTGGCTGTTTCCCGAATGCTGCCGTCCAGGTCAGCCTGTATGGTTATTTCTATAGGTGGGGCCCATCAGTAGGCACTGACCCCCAGCTCTCATCAGTGGCTAAATGAGCACATTTCCACCTAGAAGGGCCACTCCCTTCCCTACAAGTGAACCAGGCACATCTGTGCTGTAGCCACAAGGGTCTGGAATGGCCCCAGCAGCAACAGCACTGGGAGGGTGTTCTGCCCCTCAGCCACCTGCCCACCAACTTGCCATCCCCTCTGCTCTCCCAGTTCTCTGGGGAGTTGGTGGTAAACCTCATTTATAAATGGACATGAGTTCTGCATTTACACCTAAAGCCTCAGTGCTAGTCTCTACCGCAAGGATGGGTCCCAGGTGAGGCTGTAGGAGGATGGTGCTGAGAGGTGGGAGCTGGGTTCCCATCCCAGTTCAGGCACAGCCAGCCCAGCCACCTGGGAAAGATGCCCCTCCTCTCAGGGTCTTAGTTTCCCCATCTGTACCATGGACAATGGCTGAGCTCCAAGACCTCTCTGGCCCTCTCCAGCCCTGGATGATGCCAGGATGTTGAAATTAAGAGGGGGAGTGATGGTGTGGGGGTAGTGGGGAGGAGTAGGGGCAAAGACTGTTCCTCCAGAGGTTGCTTCTGAAAAGAACAAGACAGTTGGCCCTAGAAGGCTGCCCCAACCACTGAGACTGGGGCTTATTTGAGCCGTTATTGCATTGTGGTTGAAAGGCACCAATTTCACTTTTCCCATTAGCCCACAGGGCTCTGGGACACTTCCACCACCTCCAGCCCCTCACTGGGCACACATTCAGCTGGTTTGTTTTAATTTTTTTCTGAGTCACTCATGTCGTACTCAGTAAGACCCACTGACTCCCCATGTGTGTGCCGGGCACCATCCCATGTTCTCTAAATGTGTCCTCAGTCAATCCTCTGAGGCACCTGCTACTGTTCTTAGAGCCTGAGTGAGGGCCAGGAGCACAGTGACCCATGCCTGGTACTTAGATACTAAGGAGCACGGTCCTGGGCAGGGAGGGGGCTGGGCCCAGGAAGGCTGAGGCCTTACTGAGGTCAGCTGAATCCCGCCAATGAGCAGGTGGAGGGATGTGTTTCCTAGGACAGATGCAGGCCAGCTGGAGGGATGGGTTTCCTAGGACAGATGCAGGCCAGCTGGAGGGATGGGTTTCCTAGGACAGATGCAGGACAGCTGAACCCGGGGTGTCAATGTCACTGCTCAGCAACGCGGTCTGCAAGTCCAGAAGCCTTTTCCTGAGACTTCACAGCCCCCAGCAATGCTGGCCTTTGCACCTATTGGGAGCCTTGCTCTCCCCCGACTGTCATTTCACTCCCTCAGAAAGAAATAAGTGAAGAAGATACCAGTCACACCATCTAAAAAAGGACCTGTCCCAAGTTCCGTGTGGAAGTGAGGTGGAGTTTCCAGTGCCAGTTAATGTCAGTGGGACGCGGTGTCTAAGCCCGGGGAAGGGATTTACAAGTGAGATTCCGTTCCTGTAGGGACTTGGGGCTAGTAGGGACGAAGCCCACAGGTGCTCACAGCTCACAGACCCTTCCCACATCTCTACTTCCCACACCTCCCTGGTGGGCCCAGGGAGTCTGTCTGCAAACAAAAGGTGATTCCAATAAAACAGACTTTTAGACGCCCAGAGGAAGCCAGGTGCCTCCTCCCAGGCCAAGATCATCTGGCCTCTTCCTCACCCCAAGACCAGCTCCTGGGCTGGGAGGAAACCTTTCCCCTGGGGCCAGCCTACTTGGCATCAGCAGCCTTGGCCCAGTCTGCATGGCAGACTCGCAATGGAGGCAATGGAGCTTCTGATTAAAACCAACCGTTTTGCCCAAAATGGGGATCCCCCGCCATCCCACTCCCACCCGTGCCTGCACCCAGAGCAGTCTGCTCAAAGAATCCAGGTGAAGCCTGGGGGACTAAGGCTGGGTGGCTGGGAACGCGCTGTCCTCACCAGCCTGGACCGAGGCCGGGAGGCTGGCGGCTGGGGGCGTTTTCACACCAGTGGGTCTGCACGCGACACCGCGCACCCCCCAAAGCCTAAGCCCCGAGTCCTGGGCGCCACCCTGGCCCCGCTGTTCCCTCTTCTCAGTGCACTCACCGGACCCTCTCCGGGGGACGCTCAGTCCCTGGTCCAGCACCTGGGAGAGAAAGGAGGCGACGAAGCAGGGCGTCAGGCCAGGGCGTCAGGTCAGGGCGCCGGGGCAAGGCTGGATAATGGGGGCAAGCAGGGCGCGGGGCGCAGAGCGGCTGGTTAGCGCCTGGCTCTCCGGGGCAGGCGGGCAACTGGCCACGTCCCGGCGCCTCCCGCCCGAACCACGTGGGCTGCGCCCCGCTCCGCCCAGCTCCGGGAGCGCGGACACCTCTGGATGCCCTGCCAGGCAGAGGGCGGAACGGAACGGACACCTGGGGCGCCCGCGCGGGAAGCGCCAGTGCGGGGGAGAGCCCCGGATACTCGACCCCCAAGCCAGTTTGGGGAGAAAGACGGCGGCGGGGAGGGGAAAGTTGAGCACACAGCTGCGATTCCCGTGAGTTGCGGCGACTTTGCATAGGTGACATCGCGCCGCGGTCCTGCCTTGGGCACGGTGGGACCCGCTTGCTGAGCGCGCTCTAGAGCGCGCGGCACATCGTCGAAATTTCTAACTCTGCAGGGAAAGCGCTATGTACTTCGGCTTTACAAATGGGGAAACTGAGGCTCAGAAACGCGCCCTACCAAAGCCACCGACCAGTAAGTGGCAACGCCAAATAATAAATAGGACTTTAAGCCCAGGGCTTTCTGCTGCAGAGAGCGTACCCTCACCCCTTCGATTCTGCCAGGCATCAGGACCAGGAGGGTCCCGCAGCCGCGGGCAGCCCTGCTGCGGGGAGGAGACCGAGGCCTTGCCCGCCAAGAAAAAGTCAAGATCCGCGGGCAAATGGGGCAGATGTGGAAGCCAGGACGCGCGGCGCGGTGGTTCCAGGACCGAGGACGCGCTGCGGGGAACGCCTGGGAGCTCCGCGCCGCTGCGCTCTTCTCCTGGACTCTAGGGCCGGCCTTTGGGTGCTCAGCGGGGCCCGCAAGCTCAGAGGGTCCCAAGGCGAGCCGCCGTCTCCAGTCCGCCCGGCCTGCCTGTCCTTCCGAATTCCAATGGACATTAGGGAATTGCCCTCCTCCCTCATCCTCCAAGACTGGGCGCTTCAGAATTTTCTCTCCCTCCCCCTCCCTCTCCCTTGTCACTTAAAAACTCACATTCTGTTCTCCAGGAACCGCTTTTGCAATTCAGTTTTCCTATCTGCAAAATGATAGGAATAAAGCCATTAGGTGAATGAATAGATACTAGTATCTCCATTTAACAGAAGAGGAATCAAAACCTTATAGGATTGTTGTGATATCACATTAGATTATTTGTAAACAGCTTTCAAAAGGCTGCAAAAGAACAAAAAAGAATGTTGTTGCCTGCTGAGCCCAGGGGAACACTGTAGGTGAATCAGGGTATTTCAGGCCCCTGGGCTGCTTTGAGACAGGTGCTCTTACCAAACACCATCAATTGTTGAGTGTGAACCCTGGAATAGAGTGAAGCTTACACTGAAGCCAGTATTTCCACATCCCATATGATCTGGTGCTTATGTTTTTCATTTCCTTACCTCCTTGCCATATACTTTACTGTTACTTGTTAAGATTAATAAATCCCTTAAGAGTTGATGTAGGGACTTAAGTTCCTTAAGGGCAGAAGTTTTTAAAAATGTTTTTAATACTTTAGTGCTTATTTATTTGAAGTAGTGGTTTTAAAAAATATACAACTGACACACGCTGATATATAAGGTATATAGTAAAGAATATAAGGAGTATAAAATGAAAAGCCAAATTCTCTCTTATTCCATTACTAACCTCCATGACCAGAAAGCAATCATTATTAATGGTGTCTTCTATATTCTTTCTGAATGGTGTGTGTGTGTGTGAGGTTAAGCATGTGGGCTCAAACCAACTGCAAGAGTCGGAATTCCAACTAGGAGTGTGGCCCACAAGCTGTGTCATCTTGGACCTGTTACTGAATCTTCTACTGACTTTTTTCTCTCTTCTCCATGATGAGAATAGTAATGGGAGTTACACATAAGGGTGTTGTGAATCAATATCCCTGCAGCTTGGGTGAGACACCATGTGGTGAGTGCTTGGTAAATATTAATTACTATTCCTGTTGATCTACTTCATCCTTTTTTGGTTGCAGAGTATCCAATGTGTGAGTTACCATAATTACTTACCAGTCTTCTATTGATGGACAGTTAATTTTTGATTTTTTGCTATTTAAATGATTCTGCCATAAATATCATCCTAGATAATTCTTATTGACACCTATCATACATAGGATGACACATGAATATCATTGTACATACATACTGATATATCTGTAGACTAAAAGCCTATAGATTTGGATTTTCTGAGTCAAAGGATGTATACAATTTTAAGAGAAAATTCTAGAATTATAAACTTTTTTTTTTTTTTTTAATGGAGATGGAATCTTGCTCTGTTGCCAGGCTGGAGTGCAGTGGCTTGATCTCGGCTTACTGCAACGTCTGCCTCCCGGGTTCAAGCAATTCTCCTGCCTCAGCCTCCCCAGTAGCTGGAACTACAGACGCACACCACCACTAATTTTTGTATTTTTAGTAGAGACGGGGTTTCACCATGTTGGCCGGGATGGTCTTGATCTCTTGACCTCGTGATCCACCCTCCTCGGCCTCCCAAAGTGCTGGGATTATAGGTGTGAGCCACTGCACCCGGCCCTGGAATTATAAACATTTAAAATGATTAAACAATCCCCAAATTACAGAAAGTTTCAAGTATAACACAAAGAACCCTACCTTCCCCTAGCCATTTGTGATGGAGTTTCTGACATGAGGGTTTAGTGTATTTTATACAAACAAGGACAACCTTCTATTAAACTGCAATCCAACCATCAACATCTGTACATGATATGTTGCTATCATCTAATCATCGGAGTCCTTTCAAATGTTGCCAGTTGTCTCCGTAATTTTTTGTTGCCAAACGATCCAGTTTAGAATCTCATGTTCTGTTTAGTTGTCATTTCTAAGTCTCCTTCAAATCAGATCAGTTCCTCTGTCTTTGACTTTCATGGCTTTGCTATTTAAATATTAAGCCACTTATTTTTTAGGCTGTCCCTAAATTTGGGTTGGTCTGCTGTTTCCCATGATTATACTCAGGTTTTGCATGGTTGGGAGAATCATCTTGCAGAAGTGAGGCCGGGTCCTCTCCCTGTGTCCTGTCAGCTGGTGCATGGCTGCAGTATGTCTCCTTACTGCTGCTGGGATCCCCAGACTAAGGTGCTGTCTTCCAGCCTTCTCCATGGGCAAGTTACTCCCTTCCCCCCTGTAATTAATATGTATTTTTGGAGGAGGGGTGTACACATTTAAAATTTCATAAGGCCAGGCGCGGTGGCTCACGCCTGTAATCCCAGCATTTTGGGCCAGGGCGGGCGGATCACTTGAGGTCAGGAGTTCGAGACCAGCCTGGCCAACATGGCGAAATCCTGTCTCTACTAAAAATACAAAAATTAGTTGGGTGTGGTGGTGCGCGCCAGTAGTCCCAGCTACTCCGGGGGCTGAGGCAGGAGAATCGCTTGAGCCAGGGAGGCAGAGGTTGCAGTGAGCCGAGATTGTGCCACTGCACTCCAGCCTGGGTGACAGAGCAAGACTCTGTCTCAAAAAAAAAAAACTAAATAAATAAAGAATAAAATTTAATAAACAATGTCAAATGGTAGCAGAGAATAGATTTTATCTTTGTATTCCTGCCTCCCCAGCTTCTTCTCAGGGCTCCCCAGTGTGCCCGTCGCTGGTACCCTCTACCTCCCTGACGTTTTACCCTGCCCTGAGACCTACCCTTCCTTGTTCACTTTCTAAAGGAGGAAACTGATGCCCAGAGAGTCAGATGGTGTTTACCCAAGATCACACAATGAGTCAGAGGCAGCCGATCTCTTCAGCCCTGAGCCTCACAAGCCACACTGTTAAAGTCTGGGTTGGTGGGTGGACACCAGAGGACAGCAGAGTCCCCTCCCTACTTCCTTGTCGTAATAGTGGCCGTCTGGAGACTCAGCCTTTGCTGGGACTTAGTGGCTGGCATGAGAGGGAGGAAAGGATGGTTCACTTGGCCATGCCAGCAGGAAGCTCACCACCAAAGATGGGCTTCAGAGAAGCACCCTTTAATTTCACTGCCTGGGCATACCCCAGTTCCAAGGATAACTGGTCAGGCAAGTCCCACTGAGGGGTGGCCTTGGGCTTAGCCTCCTCTCTGCACGTGGATAGGGAACCTTAGGGGAGAGAAGGTTTCTGGCTCACCAAGGAGCCTCACAGAGTCTGGACGTGCCTGCTTCCTTTGCAATGGCAGAGTCCAGGATTAGTGCTGAAAAGGCCTGCAGTTCCCATCCACTGACCCTCTCAGGTGCTCCAGCTCTCTGGCAGGCAGTAGTTAAAACCCGTCCCCCTCAGTCTCTCTGTCTAAACCCTCTGGGCCAATATGGCATTAGGCTAACAAGGGTTCTGGATTTTTGAGATAACCATCCAGGAAACAGAACACATGCAAAATATTGCCCCAAATCTTAGCCATATCCAGGAAACTACTTGTAAATTACAAGAAAATATGTTTTCATCAGACACTGAATCCTTTTTTTTTTCTTCCAATAAACCTGGAAAATGGAGGGGGGACCCCATTTTTGGAAGCATTCTGGCTTTGCCGTTGTTCAGCTGGGTGGGGGATCGTGGGTTATGCAAGAGTGCCCTAGGCCTTTAAAGAGCTGTCACCTGACTCTGCTCCTGCCAGTTCGTCAGCACACAGCCTCATGTGACTGCCCTCCAAGCAGCTGAACACACACGCAGCTCCCTGGGCTCACATTGGTCTACTTGCACAGCCCCACCCTGGCTGCCTCCGCTTGCTCTCTGGGCTCCAGCTCTTTTCTGAATGACCCTGCAACCCAACCTCCCTTCATCTGTCCAAGTCCTGCTCCCTGTTCGGATCACCACTCAACTGTCCTTCCCTCAGAAATCAGGTCCTGGCCAAGCAGCCCTGCCCACTGTCGGCTTCCCTGGGGTTCCTGCATGTTCTTGCAGATCAGGCCCATCATTTATCTCCCGTGCTCGTGTGATTATCGGGTTAGTGTCTGTTGCTCCCCTGCTCTGAGCTCTGGGAGGACAGGGACTGCGATGCTCACTCTGATGTCCTGCTGCCTTCCACGGTGCTTGGTGCATAGTAGGCTCTCAACAAATATGTGTTGAATAAATATTGTTCAATAACCATAATATCATATTTTGATGCTGGCCTTCATCTTAACTTTGACTGAAGGGCATTTTCCAAACAGAGCTAGCTCTGCCCTCCACCATCCAGGTGGCCTGAGCTCACAGCACTTCCCTGGAAGAGCAGGGTCTCTTGGGAAATGACTTGATGGGATGACAGAATGCGGAGCTGGGAGAGGGAGGGTTGAATTGTCCTCACAGGGATCTCTGCTGGCTTGTGGGCCAACATTCTCCTCTTGCTGTTGCCGTTCATTGGCTCTTACTATGTTTTCAGATGGTGGCCCCCAACTCAGCCTCTTTCTCTTTCTTGTGTTGGTCCAAGATCACCCTTTGTTTTCTCTCCTAGGATGCGTGTGCTACAGAGCAAGAAGTAATCCCCTTTTGCTCAAAGCTTAGCAGAATTCCATTTAGGATTCCTAAATTTCTACCCCACATGTGTGACTGCTTGAAAGTGTAGGACTCTCACACTTATGTTGGCAATGTGCTTTCCCTCATCTGCACACATAGAGAACTACATCTTGATGAGTGCTTGAAGGGAGCTGTAATGAACCAGAGAGGCCAGCCAAGAGGAGTGAAAAATCTGAACAATGAAGTTCTTGAATCTAAAACCATCAGAAATCTCAGCCTTCTGGGGGTTCTGGAAGCTTCAGCTCATGTTGGGGCATGGGCCAATGAGCAGTTCTCTTTACCTAAATTACCTTAATTAGGAGCTTTAACCATCAGGGATTCAGGAATTAGGCAGAAATGGTCCAAATTGAAGGGAATGAGTTCAGGCAATAAAATTTCCAGACCCACTTCTGGAAATCTTGGTCATGTGGTTATGAAGGAAGACAGCAGGAAGGGAACCAGTCCTCACTGAAGGCTACGGTATGCCCAGCAAGTGTGGTCTGGGAGCCTGGCATGCACATTAGCAATTGGGTTGGGCATCTGAACTCCCCAGTGTCAACTGGGTTGTGCAGATAAGGAAGCTGAGGCACTGGTGCAAGGTCACACAGTCAGAGAGGGGAGACCAGAGGCAAACCCAGGTCTAAGGGGCTCTGAGCCTGGATTTCCACAGCGCCTGGGGCAGGCAACAGCCACAGCAGGGGTGACTGGTTCATGGGGCCTGGCACAGCCAGAAGCAGGAAAGCTGTGAAGAGCAGATGTAGAAATTCAAAACCAGAGCCCCCCTCATGGGCCCATGCTGGGGAAAACAGTGGCAAGCAGCCCTGTTAGGCCCTGAGTGCATCGTGCCCTACAGCAGGTGGTGGGCATCCCTACATCAGGTGGTGGGCATCCCTACAGCAGGTGGTGGGCATCCCTACAGCAGGTGGTGGGCATCCCTACAGCAGGTGGTGGGCATCCCTATACCAGGTGGTGGGCATCCCTACAGCAGGTGTTGGGCATCACCCCATTCCCAAGTCACAATGGTCGAATTAGGCATTACAGGAACAATTCCTTTTGCTTCTTCTCCACTTCCATAATTCATAGCGATGGCCTAATTTCAGTTTCAACACACAAGCCACACTTCATATCTCACGTTAAACTCTTGTATGAATGTTGCAGAATATTTGCAGTAACGCTAATGTCCTCCCCACAGTGAAAGCTGTTACAAGATCTCTCGCTCGAGCTGCTACCGCCTGCACCTCTCAGGTTGGTCTGATGTCAGCACAGGGCTTGGCTGAAACCACCCCAGAGCCAGCAGCAGGAATCCAGCAGTATCACCGCCCCTAGGCCTCCCCCTCACTCATGGCCAGATTCAAAGCCCATTACCAACTAGTAATATACCTAGAGCCAATTCCTAACCCGTGAATCCTCACCTTCACCTTCCCATTCCCCATACTCACCTCAGTCTTGCCCTTCTGTGAACTACAGTTTTCCAAGCTTGCCTCCACCTGAACTCCAAACCCAATTAATTTCCAGCCCTATCTTCCATGGCTTTCTGACCCCACAAATCCAAATGAGTCCACCTATTCCTGGGAGCACGTGTGCCTTCAGTTCTGGGTGGAAATGCAATGTCAGGCTGTGTTTTGTGCCTTCTCATTTTCTCCTACAGTTATCCAAGGTTAACCCTCAAGACAGGCTCAAATCCTACCTGCTCAGGTTGCTGGGCTAGGTCACTGGTTTTGAAGCAGGGTTTGTAAACATATTTCAGGTTCTGAAAATACTTGGTTAGAATTTTCAGGTATTTAAAATTATTTAAAAACTGTCATAACAACTAAACACATACTTGGGAAACGGAATGACAGGCTCAGGTCTATCTCCCCAGGGCATACTGTGAGAGCCAGAAGGCATCTGTGGCGGTGTTTAAAGAAATCCGCATCTCCTGCCAACTTAGTGCAGACTGTGCTGAAAATCAGAGCCAGGATTTGATTGTAAGGGTGCCAAGAGGAAGGTTTCCAGATGAAATGTAGGCTTTCCAGTTAAATTTGAATTTCAGATAAACACGGAATAACTTTTAGTATAAGTATGTTCTAAATATTGCATGGGGCATACTTGCTTACACTAAAATATTATTTGTTGCTTATCTCAAATTCAAATTTAACTAAGCGTTTTGTATTGACATCCTGCAAATCTATACCAGAAATACAAAGGGAACACCCTGAATATGTTTTCTGTGCTTAAGTCAGGGCACTGATAGGGTGGTAGAATCATGTAACCTGGGAGGAGGACATTTGGATAGATGAGTCTAAGCTTGAACACCTAGATTCCCAAGAACCCTCTTGGGAATAGCCCTTTCCCTTTTCCCAAGGATGCTGATACCTGGATACTGTGCAGAGTCTTCACCTGAGATGGTTGACTTCCAATGTGATGCTTGTCCTTCTCAAGATCTGTCTCCATCTCTTCTTATTTCCTCTACACAAATAACTAGGGCCAGGTCCCAGTATAGCCCAAGTGGGAAAATAAAGTTTCTTTTCTAGGAATAAACAGCATCTAGTGAACATAACTGCAAGTCTTGGCTAATATATGTCACCAAGCGACAGAGAGAAATGTGTCTGAATAAGCCACGGAGATATTGAATTCAGTTTGTTGATTTGGAGGAACTTGTCTATGTCTTAGAATTTGACTTCTTGGCAAGGATACTTGGAAATCATTCAAATACACTGCTGAGATGGCACTGCGAAGCTTGGGCATGATGTAAATGAGGTGTAGATGTTATGCTTGCCTTGGCAGAGTATTGAGTAGGAACTTAGAAGGCTTAGGGAGGTAGAAATGTGAGAATGGATTTATTATGTAAGATCAAAGACTCTATCATTTGACTGTGTTTCCTGGGAGGGCCCAGAGGACACTTTCTTCACCAAAGCAATAAGAAATATACCAGTGTGGGGAGTGTCTGCATCTTTTGGCAACTCAATACTGGCTGTTCTCTGAAGCTGGTATTAACAGTAGGAAGTTACTCCATGGAACTACACTCTGTAGTGTCATGGGGGTTGCTGGGATTCTGAAATAGAAGAGTTCAGATAGAGATCCTCAACTATCAGAGGTAGGGTGGACAGAATTTCTGTAATGGTAAAAAATCCAGAAAAGCAACCAAACATAAGTGTCTATGGGATGGCTAGTAGACTATGGTATTCCTTGGGGCTCAAGAAATTAGCAGACAATTAGGGTACTGGTTGATTGTGCACACAGATAATTCAAGGACTGGTGAACGGAAGGCTGATATCAGATGCTGCAATGAAAAATCACAATCCCTCATTCAGTTTCCATATCTAAACCAGTTTTTATAGACCTAGACCCCATCGACTAAAGGAGAAGCAAGGTCCCTTCGAGGAAGGACTTTACAGTGTCACTACAATATATACCATAAATATTATACATTGTTTTCCCCAAAGGGCCCATGGTTATTTACCAGGATAACTGTACATAGGGGAAAGGGAAACAGTCATACTTTGGAGGGTGATTGGATACAGATTCTGAGCTGACATTAGTCAGGGGAGCCATCACGCTGTCATCAGAAAAGATCTGAAACAGCTTTTACGTGGGAAGGACAACAGTACACCTTCTCTCTATTGTCTGTCCCAGGGCTATATCAAATCTCTGATTACTGTCACAATATAATCCTCAGGAACCTTAAGCACATTGGTGCAACATATGGTGATATTTTCCAGATTAGAACTGGTGAAAAGGAGAGTAGAAAGATGCTGAATACTCTGGTAAGACATATGTGCATTGGGAGGCCAATCTTATGATGTTCCAGGGATATAAAACTTAGGCTAGGTTCTTAGGGGACTAAAGATGTAGAGTCTGCTGGGACATACCTTCAAAAGTATAGGGCAAATTATTCTCTTTGCAGGCGCTATGACAAGGACAGAGACATAGCACTAGGTGGAACTTTGGATGTTGGAGGCAGCACATGGCTCACTTGGGAATACTGCTGCAATCCATTTGGGAAGTGATTTGGAAGGCTGGCAGGTTTGAGTGACGCTTAGAGCGTGAGAAAATTCTGTAGCAGGTCCAGGTATTAATGCAAGCTTCTCTAGTTGTTCAGGGAACTGGAAGAGAATAAGGTTGAAAGACTGGAGACAGAGAGGTATGTGCAGGGATCTTGGGAATAGGCGCCATATGTGAATCTTCTATCTCATGTCAATGCTTACCAGAGGCCACCTAGTACAAAAAGGACACTGAATGAATGGGTATACTGGGTCATTTACCCTATGGAGTCAGACTGTGTCCTTGGTCACCTCAATGTTCATGCCAGGGGACCAGGAGGGAGGCCATATGGTCCGACTACGTGGGCTCTATCTCACCAAGCCTGATCTAGCTACTTCTGTTGCTGGATATCTGACTGATGCTGAGCTCTTTACATGGCACCATCCCCTGAGAAGACCAAACAATCCCTTGGAGCTGGCGTAGATTTGGGGTATTTAGTGGGAGTTCGTGAGAGGTAGGTTGGAATGTGCTATTGAAAAGGGTTTAGGATTTTGGTTCTGAAACAAAATGAGTAGACTCACTTTTCCCTACTCCTCCCTTCTAAAAACTAAATACCATGGAAATTCTTTAACAGACAATGATAAAAGGACTCTGAAAGTTGGGTAGAAGAAGGTAGACTGGCCAGAGACCTCAGGACTGGAGGAAAGATAATATGGTGGGTTCCTTAGACTTTTCTTTTTATCTCCCATGTAGCCTAGACTGGGTGTCAGAGATGTCTGCAACCAGTATCTACAACAGGAGATATTCTTTAATGTTTTGTAATAATCTTTTATTATGTTTGAACATAATAACCAAATGACCAGAATATAATACAAACCCACTTGTCATACCAAGAACCAGAAAAAAACCACCCGAGTGAGAAAAGACAATAAATAGATGTTGATACTTTGATGCATCAGATGGTAGAATTATCTGGTAAGAATTTTAAAGCAGTTATTATAAATACGCTTCATAAATTAACATCAGTGCTTCAAAACCAATGCCATAAAAATGCCTCAACAATCAATGTCAAGTCATTGATTTACAGAACATTAATACTTAGAATCAGGAGACTGGGATGTCACACCCACTAGCTGTGTGACCTTGGGCAAGATTTCCAGCGTTACTGGGCACTGATTTCTCTGTCTCCAGAGTGGAGGTTAGGTAGACCATGCAACAGCACACTGGCAGGTCCCGTTAGTTGTCTACTCAATAACCATGTCCCTCGTATGCTAACAGAACCCTAACTCCAGGTAGAGGAGCAAGGACTTCAACTAAAAATAGGCATTTTCCAGCCTCCCTTGCAGTGAAGATAACCTGCATGGACACTTCTGGACAATCGAAGTGCAAGAGGTTCCTGTCCCTTCCAGAATAAACAGGAAACCCTTACTAGGAGAAAGCCCTTTACCTCCTGTCCTTTCTCCCTTCTTCCTGCCTGGATCTTGAATCTGAGATCTGCAGCTACAGCAAGTATCTGGCAACCAGGAGGAGACCAGCAATAGGATGGTGAGGATTGGGGATGGAAAGAAAGCCCAGTGTCCTGACGCATCGCTGAGCTGTGCTCCCAGGCTGACAGGCGACTTCTGAACTCCTTGTTATGGGAGAAAAACACACCTGCACATCTAGGCAACTGTCGGTTGCGTTTCCTGAGCTTGCAGCTGAATGCATTCCTAACTGATTGAATGAGGAAGATGAGGAGGAGGGTGCCAGCTACAATCCTTTCAATGCCAGGTGCTGTTCAAGCGAGTTTACGGGTTCAACCACATTTAATCCTCACAGCTACTAAATGAGGCAGATGCCAGTACGGTCCCCACTTCAGAGAGGACTGAAGGGAGGCATGGGTCCTTGTCTGAGAGGCAGGCGCAGTGAGTCAGGGGTGGAGTAGGAGTGTGTCCACAGCACTTCCGAGTGCCGGCGTATTCACAAATGGCTCATAGGTTCTGTTGTTGTGGTTACCTTAGAGGATTTGTGTGCACGCGCGTGTTTGTGTGTCAACACCTCTAGGATGGTGCTCATGGCATGGGAATTCCTTTCCTCGCTTCCTGCATCCTTCCCCTGGGTCTACTACCTTTTGCCAGGGACTGGGGACATAGGAAAGGATAAAGATCGAGGGCATCCTCCAAGGCTGATCCCGACATCCCCGGGACTGACGTACGGCCTCCAGACCGATGTCAGTATCCTCTCTGCCAAGAAAAGGGGTCCCCGGGCAGGCAGCGCGGACCCCCTCGGGGCCCCGCCGGCTTCGGGCTGTTTCCCGCCGTGACTCCTCCGCTCCGGGAGGGGGCGACAGAGGCCGACGGCTGCAGCCGGGCGCGCCGCCAAAGCTCCTGCTTGTAGGGCGGGCCGGGGTCCGGGGTCTCGGGGTCCTGGGAGGCGGGGCGGTCGGTCCGCTGGGGGCGGTGAAACCGAGCTCGGCTCCTGCCCGGCGTGGCCTCCGTTTCCCAGGCTTCTGAGCTCAGGGCCCCGGCTGGGCTTCGGGAGGGTCCTCCCCGCGCCGCCCCGGCCCTTCCGTCCGCCCCCCGCGGCCCGGCCCCGCCTCGGAGCCATTCTGGGCGCGGCCTGGGCGGCCCTGGGGTGATTACTGCCCCGGCCGCAGTTCCGCGCGCCCCCGCGTCTGCCGTCCCCGGACCCCGAGACCCGAGATGTGCGCCCCCGGCCCTCCAGCCCTTCCCGGGGACCCCGGGGCCTCGGAGCCCCGCGCCCACGCATTGTTTCCTTGGAAATGGAGCCCCCCAGCCCCACGTCATGTTGCCGGGAGCCCCTCGTTACAGCAAGCGGCTGCCGGGAATCAGTGGCCACTAGGACCTTTACCCCGAACGCTACGCAGCCGTGGGGCCGCTCTCCTCCCCGCCCTTTTGTGGGATTCAAAGTCAAACCACACTAAGCCATAAATAAGTGGTTGTGGGAATCCAGCGCTGGGCCCCTCCATCCAACAGACTTTATCCACAAATTACTTGAATGCCTTTTTGTGTGTTTAGTATCAAATTAAAAAAATTCTCCACTCTTAATGCCCCTGCCTGGCGTATCGGCGGCCCAAGCCTCTGCGTGGTCAGCCCCTGGGGAATGACTTTGCAGGGGGGCCTGCATCGCATTGCACCATTGGGCTTTCTGCTCCCTGAGTTCTGCTAGGGGAGTCCCTGGGGTCGGGGAGCCGGAAGTGCTGGGATTTCCCACCATCCTCAAATACAAGGTCAAGATCCCTGGACCGTTGCCCATCCAAGCCCCAGGAACTCCAGGCCTGCAGAGGCCTCCAGGGACCCACCCACAGCCGCCTGGGGCTCTCCAGCCAGGGTTGCGCCCCATCCCCAACCCCAACCCTAACCTTAGCAAGCACTACTGCTTGGGAAGGCCAAGCTCCCAGTTCGTCCCTTTCTGGCCTGAGCTACCCCTGGAAGCCTGGCCCCTGCCCCGCTCTGGGGCCAAGCTGAAGGGGCATCATTTTTGGCCACAGTTGCAGGGCAGAGGCTGGGGTCAGCCAGTGGGTGGACCAGGTGGGCCGGGAGTGCCAGGGGAAGCTGCCAGGCTTTGTTTCTAGCTGAGAGTAGGGGGGTGGATGAGCTGGATCTGGGCCTGCCGTTTCCAAGGAAACAGTGGGAAACTGGGTGTCTCTGTCTGTGGCTTCCTCATGTCATGGGGTGTGTGGTTTCTGGAGCCGCCTGACAGCCTGACCAACTTGGGGCCACTGTGGCTGTGGGAACATATATCCTGAGTTCCAAGCCATTTAGTGAGGAAGCTGCAGAGAGGTTGGGAGGCGCTTCTTCTCACCAACCGTTCTCACCCAGCACCTCCTACCCGAGGGCACCTCCTACCCTAGGGCTTCCCTGGTGCTGCTGCCTTACCTGGGTCTAAGGTCTGAGGTCTAGACGCTCAGCCGTCAGCCCCGGTGGCCTGGGTTTTGCCCCATCTGGTCTGCCTGGTGCCCTGCCTCCACCAACGGGACCCTGAAGCGAGGGCATTGGGCTGTGAGACTTGGTAGTTGAAGGGCTCCAGCCTGGGAGCTAAGCCTAAACTCTCTCCTCCTGGCTTCCAGTGGTTCCCCTGCATGTCCTCCTCCTGCCAGCCAGGGTCTGGGCAGGAGAGAGGTGGCAGAGTTGCTGCCGCGGGGACATCTGACAAAGGTGTGGGCAGAGTTAGGAAACAGTAAGGCAGGTGACGTCCCCGGGGAGGGGCCGCAGTAAGAGCTGTTGCCGCCTCGGGCCGGAGAGAGGCACATGAGGGCTCGGTGTCTGGAATGTGGAGTGTGGAGCCTTGAGAGAGGTGCCCCCAGAGCTGTGGGGTCCGGGCAGCTGCAGCCACTGCAGGCGGGGAGGGAGATGGGGTCAATGCCAGGCTTCTCTCTTCCTGCTCCCCAGGCTCCTGCTGGGCCCCTCTTGGCTGAGCCCATTGGGAAGCTGGTGCCAAAGGGGCAGTTGGTGCAGGCCCTAGTGGCTGGTGTTCGGGATAGAGCAGGGTGGCAAAGGCGGGCAAGGCATCGGGAGGGGCAGACAAGTGTCCTGCTGGGGGCTGCCACCACACTGCCCGGGTGGGTTTCTGAGTGTGCAGGAGCCCTCTCTGGCCCGGGCTGCTGGGCTTTTGGGGCATCGTAAGTGCATCTTAAGGAGCAGCAGCCGGTGGTGTGAGGCTCTACCGCACCCCAGGCCATCTGACCACCTGGGCCACGTGGGCTTCTGGGCTGGCCATCTGGGAGGCAAAGGGAGTCTGGGAAGCCTCCAAGGAGGAAGAAGTGCTTGATCCCTTTGCCTTCCACACCGAGGGTGCCCAGCCCGGTGGTGTTCCCAGTGGTAGGCCCCGCGCCCAGGACCACGTCTGCATGTGGTTGCCTCAGCAAATGCTGTTGTGTAAGCGATGGCCTGGACCTCCCTGCTAGTTCTAAGAGAAAGGCCCATCTTCAGGTGTGGGGGAGGGGACCTGGGGCTCCTCAGGGGATGGGGTGCAGCACCCAAGGCCCTGCGAGTTGGGGGCCCTGCCCTGGCCCCAGGTGAAGCCCAGCCTCTGTCCCAGGCCCAGACAACAATCTCCTGCCCCTTCTGCACACTGAGCCAAAACCACATGATGCTAATACGGCTCCCTGATATTGAGCCCTTCCACGGTGTGCAGCCCTGCACCCCACGACAACCCTGGGGGACAGGCACTGTTATTAACATCCCCATCTGATAGAAAAAAAGACTGCAAGGGAGGCTGAATGTGAGTTAAGTGGCTTTACAAAGGTCATTGGACAATGACGGTGGAGCCGTGGCTCCTGCTCAGGCCTCTCTGAGAGCAGACGTTGGCCTCTGTGCCTCTCTGCTTCTCCTAGAAGGCCACCAGGCAACTGGGGTCCCTGCAGTGGCCCTGGGGAAGAAATGGCTGAGTCCCAATTTGATGATGCGCCAGACCCTTGGGCAGAGCCACCCTGGCTGCTTCATGCACCAGGACAAGTTCCTCTCAAATACCCTTCCCTTCGAGACCCTCTTCTAACCACCACCATAGACCTGCCCCAGGCCCCTGTACCTCTGCCTAAAATGCGCCTCTAAGCAGTCCTAACAGTCTGCTGTTCAGGTGTGTCTGTGTCTGGAATGGGCCCCTGAACAGTCCCATGCTTACAATGAACCCCTGAATAGTGCCGTCCCTGGAATGCACCCATAAACAGTCCTGTTCCTGGAACGCACCCCTGAGCAGTCCTGTGCCTGGAACTCACCCCTGACAGTCCCATGCCTGTAATGAACTCCTGAACAGTGCTGTGCCTGTAATATACCCATAAACAGTCCCATGTCTGTAATGCACCCATAAATAGTCCTGTGCTTCTCTTCTCTCCTCTCTGGCCAAACGTCCACCTCACCCTGGGGACATCCCTGCAGCCCTAGCTCTGCTGTGTGGAGCTCTCAGTGCCGGGTCTCCCTCTCATCCCTCGGGTGGCTCCTTTGGCCTTGGAGTATAACAGACCATCCTCAGGAGCTGGCTTCAGGGCAATGGTGACAGGTCTGACCCCGCATTCAGTGCTTTCTCAGGGGGCTCATTCAGGAAGGGAGAGAAAAAGCATCGTCCCAAAGGGCCAATGTTTCAGGAGCCGATGACCCTGCAGGCCTCTGTGGCTCCAGCTGCTTCACTGGGCTCCTGGGAGCTGCTTCCTTCTGAGCCTGGGGACGTTCACCCAGGAGGCCTTAAAAGGCAGGTCTCCCCAAGCCAGCTAGGGTGGGGACTGCTTGTGCTACCGGCTTGGTCCCTCGGCCCTCTGATTCCCTCTACTGGCCAGAGCAGGTTACTGGGGCCGACCCTGCAAGCTGAGGGACCCAGAATCACAAACACACACACTCAAGACAAGAGCCATCCAGGGCCAGGCCTGCACACCAGCTTTGCAGCAGGGGGACTGTCCCTGTTTTGAACGTGTCCATCTACCCGGCTCTGCTCTGGAGCCCTCCCTGTTTCTATCTCGATCAGCTTGAGTGACTGGCGGGTGGTCGCATCTGACTTCCCATAGTGTCTGAGATGCGCATAATCACAGATTTCTTCTGAACAGACCTACGTGGCATAATTTAATGCTCTAATGTTTACGTCGTTTTGCTAAATGGCTTGCCATGGATTTGGGTATATGGTTTCAAGCCAATGGTCTTTGGAAGCTTGTAACGTCTATGCTTGATTTCTCAGGAAAAATGATTTCAGACGTCTGGATGCTGGAGTCAGCAATGGTTCTGCCAAAACATCTGAGTGTAAAATCCGGATGGAAGTTTGCTGGTCTGGGGAGCCCTCCGCCTGCATGGGCTTCCCAAGTCAGGTGGCATTAGCCCACCAGGTGCACCCATGCTCAGTGCAGAGCCCTGATAGGGCAGCCTGGTGCGTGAGCTCTGTCCTGGGGGAGGCTCAGCTGTAGGCACTCACCTTGCACTCACTCTCAGACACAGTTGGAAGCAAAGATCTGACATTGTTTAGAAACTGAACGGTAGCTTACCCGCTAAGAGGAGTTCATTCTAGGAAACCTAGAGAAGATGATAAAATCCCATAGCTACATGTCTTCTTTAAGGTACCATCTTGAGTGAAGCATTTTTAGTGTTATGAGTGTGTTGTTTAATTTGTCTCTTTTCCTTTGGTCCTCTGAATGTTGATCAAAGTGGAAGATTCTCTCCTTCTGGCCTTTCTAGGGATTTCCATCATTGTCTCAGTTGTATTGCTAAGGAGACTTATTGCTAGTGTGACCTTTCTTCCTCTCCTCTTTCCCTCCTTCCTTTCTCCTCTCTTCTCCTCTCTTCCCCATTTTTATGACAAGAATCAAACAGCATTCAAGTCATTGCCCCTTCCTCAACTATCCGGATAGCCAAAGCTGCAGCTGCAGTCAGCTGAGTGGGGTTACTTCCCATGAGAGCCTGCATTGCCAGGGGAACAGCTGGTAGCAAGGGTGCAGCCTCTTGCAGTGAAGGCAGTATGGACACCAGTGCAGATGCAGGCAAAGGTCACCCAGGTGGAAGTCAAGGGCCACCTGTGCCTGTGACTTGTGGCCCATTCTTCTTCCATCTGAACCAAGGTTGTATCAGCGTCATCAAGCCAGTTACTCCTGGGCTGGAGCTCTCTCTGTCCTGCTAGGAAGCAGGGAGGTGAGGTCCAACCGGGTTGAAGAAACTGGGATTTTATTCACCTATGCCCTGTCTGTCATTGACTGAGGCTGAGTGAGCTCCTGCAGTCAGAAAAGATGCCTGAGACAGAGTCTGGGTGTTACCACTCAATAGCCTGGGTCACCTGTAGGACGTGTAGGAGAAATGCAGTGCTGACAGCATCCGTTTGCTGCAGCTTCTCCATGTGCCTGGTGTCCCTGGGGCTGCTCCAGCCCCCTGGCCAGGGCCTCTCCTGGAATGTCTTGCCCTGTGTGTCAGGTGCCCTGCTCCCTATGATGAGAGCCCTACCCCTGATACCACTGACCTGTGAAAGGCAGGAACCTGCTGAGCTTTTTCTACTCCCTTCCCTGCTGCTCAAGGGTCGAGCCCCACCCTTTGTCCTCTCTCTAGCAGTGGTTGGGTTCAGGCCCACCTGTTGCGAATTTCTTGATTCTGATTTGTATCGGAGCTCTCACCGGATCTTCAAAGGATGGGTGATATGGTTTGGCTGTGTCCGCATCCAAACCTCATCTTGAATTGTAGTTCCCATAATCCTCACATGTTGTGGGAGGAACCAGGTGGAGATAATTGAATCATGGGGGCAGTTTCCCCTATCCTGTTCTCGTGATAGTAAGTTAGTTCTCACGAGAGCTGATGGTTTCATAAGGGCCTTCCCCCACCCCGCCCCCACCCCGCCTTCGCTCAGCACTTCTGCTTGCTGCTGCCATGGGAAGAGGGACATGTTTGCTTCCCCTTCTGCCATGATTGTAAGTTTCCTGAGACCTCCCCAGCCATGCTGAACTGTGAGTCAATTAAACCTCTTTCCTATATAAAGTACCCAGTCTCCAGTATGTTATTAGCAGCGTGATAACAGACTAATAGAATGGGAGATAAGTTAAACATTTAGTTCAAATTATTTTGTTTTCTTAAAAATGAATGTTTTATGACGTTAGGGGTTACTATATAGCTACAGTAATCAAAACTGCGAGGTACTGGTAGAGGGGTAAACATGTAGTTTCATGGAATAACATAGAAAACCCAGAAACAGACCTACACAAATATGCCCAACTAATACTTAACAAGGGTACAAGGGCAATCTGATGGAGGAAGCGCTGCCTTTTAAACAAATGGTGTTGGAGAGGGGCAAAAATATAAACCTCAACTTCAGCCTCACACATTATATAAAATTAACCCCAAGTGGATTACAGACTTGCATTTAAGCTGTGAAAGCACTAAACTTTTAGGGAAAAAAATAGGAGAAAATATTTTGGACCAAGGGCTAGGTGAAGAGGTAGTTGCCTGACTTGATACCACAGGCACAATTAAAAAGGCACAATCCATAAATGGATGAATTGGACATCAAAACTCACAGGTCTTGCTCTGTGAAAGACTCTGTTATAAGGCTGAAAAGCAAAGCCACACCTTGGGAGAACATATTTGCAACCCACATATCCAACAAAAGATTAGTATCTGGAATATATAAAGAACTCTTAAAATTCAACAGTAAAAAAATCCATCCTGGCTAACACAGTGAAACCCCGTCTCTACTAAAAATACAAAAAAATTAGCCGGGCATGGTGGCAGGCGCCTGTAGTCCCAGCTACTGGGGAGGCTGAGGCAGGAGAATGGCATGAACCCAGGAGGCGGAGCTTGCAGTGAGCCGAGATTGCGCCACTGCACTCCAGAGCCTGGGCGACAGAGCAAGACTCTGTTTCAAAAAAAAAAAAAAAAAAAAAAAAAAAAATCCAAACAATTCCATTAGAAAACGGGCTAAGGACATGAACAGGTATTTCATCAAAGATAATACACAGTTAGCAAATAAGCTCATGAAAAAATGGTCAACACCATTAGCTATTAGGCAGAAGCAACCTGAAACCACAATGAGCTATCACTATGTACCCATAAAAATGGCTAAAATAAAAAATAGTGTGAACACCAAACGTTGGCGAGGATGTAGAGAACCTGGATCACTTATACATTGCTGATATAAATGTAGGATGGTACAGCTCGTCTGGAAAAGAGTACAGCAGTTTCTTACAAAAGTAAACATGCCCTCACCATACGGCCCAGCAATCACACTATTGGGTATTTATTCCAAAAATTCAAAAACTTAGCATTCACACAGAAACTTGTATATAAATGTTCATAGAAGCTTTATTTATATTAATACTAGCCCCCAATGGAAACAACTCAAACGTCCTTCAGCAGGTGAAAGGTTAAACAAACTTTGGTACATCTGTATTTCAAAATACTACTCAGCAATGAAAAGGAAAAGGCCATGGATGCATTCAACAGGTTGGATGGATCTCAGGGGAGTTATGCTGAGTGAAAAAAGGCAGTCTCAAAAAGTCATCTGTTGCATGATTCCATCCATGCAGCATTCTTGTAGTGAAAAATTTATAGAGGTGCAAAATAACAGACTAGCGGTTGCCAAGGGTTAGGGACAGGGAAAGAGGGAGTAGCTGTGGCTATAAGAGAGTAGCATGAGGGATCCTTGTGACAGACCATTCTGTATCTTGACTGTGGTGGTGTCACAAGAATGTACATGTGACAAAATTATATAGAACTAAATACACACACACAAACATACCATGAGCACACGTAAAACTGGTGAAATCCAAACAAGGTCCATGGTCCCTATCAAGATCAATTTTTTGATTGTGACATCGTGCTGCAGTTATGCAAGATGTTGCCATGGAGGAAACCAAGTAAAGGCTATATAAGGTCTCTCTGTATTATTTCTTACAACTGCATGTGCATCTTCAAGTATCTCAAAGTACAAAGTTTAAAAATGGGTTATAAGAGAAATGAAGCCGTGTACACAAATGTTCATATCATAATTGCCCACAGATGGAAACCATGCAGACATCTGTCAATAGGGTGACTAAGTAAACAAATTATGGTATATTCAGACAATGGGATACTACGCTGCAATAAAAAGGAGTAAACTGAAGATTCACAGAGCACCTTGGGTGGATCTCATAGACACTATTCTGAGTGAAAGAAGCCAGACACAGAAGAGTACATAGAATCTGGTTCCATTTATATGAAACTCTAGAGGAGACCAATCTAATTTACAGTTTAGATAGGTAGTTGTCTGCAGCTGGAGGTGGGAGTTTGACAAAGAAAGGGCACGAGGGGACCTTTTTGGGTGATGGAAATGTTCTCTATCTTCAGGGAGGTGGTGGGTACCTGATTTCTTTTTTTTTTGTTTTTTTTTTTTTTTGAGATGAAGTCTTGCTCTGTTTCCCAGGCTGGAGTGCACTGGCGTGATCTTGGCTCACTTCAACCTCCGCCCCCTGGGTTCAAGTGATTCTCCTGCCTCAGTCTCCTGAGTAGCTGGGATTACAGGTGCGTACCACCACACCTGGCTAATTTTTGTATTTTTAGTAGAGACAGGGTTTCACCATGTTGGTCAGGCTGGTCTCAAACTCCTGACCTCGTGATCCGCCCGCCTCGGCCTTCCAAAGTACTGGGATTACAGGCGTGAGCAACTGTACCTGGCCAGGACCATGTTTTTATGCATTTGTTGAAACTCATCAAAATGTATACTTCATGTACATAGGTGTACATATTTGTCAAAATTCATTGAAATGTATGTTTAAAATGAGTGCAGTTTTTGGATACAAATTATATCTGATTAAAAAGAATAGGTTATCCAAAATTCAAGCAGAAGGTTTTTGGCCCTGTTGCTAGCCCTGGTTACAAATGTCAGTGTTAGAACATAGTTTCCCATGTTCCATTGACGACTGGATGAGATTTATCTCTTCAAAGATTTCTCTGTGTTTTGTAGATAAGTTAACTCATCCCAGCTGGGCCCTAACAAGCCCATCCACTGTGTCTCATGTGGTTAATGATCTATTTAAAAGTGTCCACGGGGAAGAGACTTTTGGCACTGGAATTATATACATCAGTTTTTTGAGGTTAGGCCCTATTCTTGTTTATGTCTCAACTCAAGCGGAGTTCCTTTAGGATGAAATCAAGATGTAATTTAGATGATGTTTTACTAAAGAGTAGCTTGCTGTGGCGGCTATGGCGTGCCCCGCTTGGATCTCCCTCCAAGAAAGAACTTGCTGGAAAGCTGGAGGAGTGTGTTAGCCAGTGTAACTGCCGGAGGGGTTCTTCCTGTTCCCTGCACAAAGAAAGACGATGGCATCGTAGCAAAGAAGGAGTTTAATAGACACGAGGCCGGCCACACTATGTGGGAGACGGAGTTAGTACTCAAATCATTCTCCTCCAAAGCTCCTAGGTTAAGGGTGTTCAAAGGCAGTTTGGGGGAAGGGGGCGGAGGTGGCCAGGGTTGCTGCTGATCGGTTGGGGTGGCGATGAAATCAGAGGGGTTGAAGCTGCCCTCCTGTGTGCTGCATTGCTTCCGGGTGGGGCCACGGGAGTGGGGTTTGGGGGTCCAGGTGGAGCCAGGGGTATCAGACATGAAAAAAAAAACACCAAACCCTGAAAAGGTATCTCCAAAGGCCAATCTACAATACAATCTGCAGGAGTAATTGCGGAAGTTGCATATCCTATAACCTCCTGAATAATTGCTCGCCATTCTGAGTAACATGATGAAATCTTGTGCCATACAGCTCCACCCCACTGTGGATGTGAATCATCTCCTTGTCCAGCACATCCAGCCTGTGTGTGCTACCCCCGACCCGTGACTCAGTTGGTAGCCATCTACGTTATCAGATCGACTATTGCTGTGTCGCAGTGCTTGTAAACCCCATTTTACTTAATAATGGCCCCAAAGCAAGAGTAGTGATGGCGGCCTGTTTTTATAATTGTTCTATTTTATTATTAGTTATTGCTGTTAATCTCATATTGTTCCTAATTTATAAATTAAACTTTATCATAGGTATGTATATATAGGAAAAAAACATAGTATGTATAAGGTTTGGTACTATCTGCGATTTCAGACATCCACTGGCGTCTTGGAATGTACCCCCCTTGGATAAAGAGGTCTACTCTATTTCAAATAGAGGACGCGATACAGAGAGGCATTTCCACAGGTGGTGGAAAGAGATGAGAAGCTAAATGCAGACAGAACAGGCAATGAAGACAATAGCAAGAACAGGAAGTTCCTCGCTTCTCAGGCCTGGAGGGATAAAGCAGGAGAAGATGCAGTAGAAGATGCAGTAGAATCCAGGACCTGGGGCTGCCTGGAGGAAGTTGGAGTCATTGCAGGCATGTCTGGGGGCAGCTAGAACTCCAGAGGGGTGCATCAGGGGAGCTGGAGCTATGGGGGAGATGCAGCCACTGCCTCAAGTGCTACCTAAGCAGAGAGGCACACACACACACGCACACACACACACACCACACACACACACCACACACACACCTCACACCCCCCCACACCCCCGCACACACCACACACAACCACACACACACACCACACACACCTCACACACCCCCCACACATACCCCACTCACACACCACACACACCACACACACACCACACACACACACCACACACACACCACACACACACACCACACACACACCACACACACGCCACACACACGCCACACACACACCACACACACCACACACACACACCACACACACCACACACACACCCCAGACACACACACCCCACACACACACACCACACACACAGACAGAGAGACAGAGAGAGAAACACCCCGACCTTCTCCCTGCCTGTCCCCCTCCAGTCTTCCACCAGTGCCTGCCCTGTCTAAACTTACCGAGAAGCTAGGAGACAGTGGGGCCTGGGAACCGTATTTTCCTTCAGTGCAGAGCAGAAGAAGGAAAGGTCAGGATATGAATCTGAAAGAAAACAGGGAAACGACACAGGTGCTTTTTCCAAAACTTCATTTCTGTGAATTCACTAAAAATATCATTAGGATTCCAGCCAGGTGGCTGGATGGATAGGTGGAGAGATGGATTGAAACGTGATAAAGGAAATGTGCAGTGAAATATTAATGGCAGAATCCTGATGATGAGATTCTTGCAATTTTGCTGTATGGTTGGGCATTTTCATAATAAAATATTGTTTAAAATAAATGTAGGTAGAATTTTTATCTTTCAATGGAAAGAGACAGGCAAGCCTCTGGCATAGGCACTTCTTGAGGGAGCACAGTTGTACAGCCTTTTCTTTCTCTCTCTCTCTATATATATATGTAATACTTTAAGTTTTAGGGTACATGCGCACAATGCACAATGTGCAGGTTTTTTACATATGTATACATGTGCCATGTTGGTGTGCTGCACCCATTAACTCGTCATTTACATTAGGTATATCTTTTAATGCTACCCCTCCCCACTCCCCCCACCCTACAACAGGCCCCAGTGTGTGATGTTCCTCTTCCTGTGTCCAAGTGTTCTCATTGTTCAATTCCCACCTATGAGTGAGAACATGCGGTGTTTGGTTTTTTGTCCTTGCGATAGTTTGCTGAGAATGATGGTTTCCACCTTCATCCACGTCCCCACAAAGACATGAACTCATCATTTTTTATGGCTGCATAGTATTCCATGGTGTATATGTGCCACATTTTCTTAATCCAGTCTATCGTTGGACATTTGGGTTGGTTCCAAGTCTTTGCTATTGTGAGTAGTGCCACAATAAACATATGTGTGCATGTGTCTTTATAGCAGCATGATTTATATTCCTTTGGGTATATACCCAGTAATGGGATGGCTGGGTCAAATGGTATTTCTAGTTCTAGCTCCCTGAGGAATTGCCACACTGTCTTCCACAATGGTTGAACTAGTTTACAGTCCCACCAACAGTGTAAAAGTGTTCCTATTTCTCCACATCCTCTCCAGCACCTGTTGTTTCCTGACTTTTTAATGATCGCCATTCTAACTGGTGTGAGATGAAATCTCATTGTGGTTTTGATTTGCATTTCTCTGATGGCCAGTGATGATGAGCATTTTTTCATGTGTCTGTTGCCTGCTTAAATGTCTTCTTTTGAGAAGTGTCTGTTCATATCCTTATGATAAGCCCACTTTTTGATGGGGTTGTTTGTTTTTTTCTTGTAAATTTCTTTCAGTTCTTTGTAGATTCTGGATATTAGCTCTTTGTCAGATGAGTAGATTGCAAAATTTTTCTCCCATTCTGTAGGTTGCCTGTTCACTCTGATGGTAGTTTCTTTTACTGTGCAGAAGCTCTTTAGTTTAATTAGATCCCATTTGTCAATTTTGTCTTTTGTTGCCATTGCTTTTGGTGTTTTAGACATGAAGTCCTTGCCCATGCCTATGTCCTGAATGGTAATGCCTAGGTTTTCTTCTAGGGTTTTTATGGTTTTAGGTCTAACATTTAAGTCTTTAATCCATCTTGAATTAATTTTTGTATGAGGTGTAAGGAAGGGATCCAGTTTCAGCTTTCTACATATGGCTAGCCAGTTTTCCCAGCACCATTTGTTAAATAGGGAATCCTTTCCCCATTTCTTGTTTTTGTCAGGTTTGTCAAAGATCAGATGGTTGTAGATGTGTGGTATTATTTCTGAGGGCTCTATTCTGTTCCATTGGTCTATATCTCTGTTTTGGTACAAGTACCATGCTGTTTTGGTTACTGTAGCCTTGTAGTATAGTTTGAAGTCAGGTAGCGTGATGCCTCCAGCTTTGTTCTTTTGGCTTAGGACTGACTTGGCAATGTGGGCTCTTTTTTGGTTCCATATGAACTTTAAAGTAGTTTTTTTCCAATTCTGTGAAGAAAGTCATTGGTAGCTTGATGGGGATGGCATTGAATCTATAAATTACCTTGGGCAGTATGGCCATTTTCATGATATTGATTCTTCCTATCCATGAGCATGTAATGTTCTTCCATTTGTTTGTATCCTCTTTTATTTCATTAAGCAGTGGTTTGTAGTTCTCTTGAAGAGGTCCTTCACATCCCTTGTAAGTTGAATTCCTAGGTATTTTATTCTCTTTGAAGCAATTTTGAATGGGAGCTCAGTCATGATTTGGCTCTCTGTCTGTTATTGGTTCATAAGAATGCTTGTGATTTTTGCACATTGATTTTGTATCCTGAGACTGCTGAAGTTGCTTATCAGCTTAAGGAGATTTTGGGCTGAGACGATGGGGTTTTCTAGATATACAATCATGTCATCTGCAAACAGGGACAATTTGATTTCCTCTTTTCCTAACTGAATACCCTTTATTTCTTTCTCCTGCCTGATTGCCCTGGCCAGAACTTCCAACACTATGTTGAATAGGAGTGGTGAGAGAGGGCATCCTTGTCTTGTGCCAGTTTTCAAAGGGAAGGCTTCCAGTTTTTGCCCATTCGGTATGATATTGGCTGTGGGTTTGTCATAAATAGCTCTTATTATTTTGAACTACGTCCCATCAATACCTAATTTATTAAGAGTTTTTAGCATGAAGGACTGCTGAATTTTGTTGAAGGCCTTTTCTGCATCTATTGAGATAATCATGTGGTTTTTGTCTTTGGTTCTATTTATATGCTGGATTATGTTTATTGATTTGCGTATGTGGAACCAGCGTTGCATCCCAGGGATGAAGCCCACTTGATCATGGTGGATAAGCTTTTTGATGTGCTGCTGGATTCAGTTTGCCAGTATTTTATTGAGGATTTTTGCATCAATGTTCATCAAGGATATTGGTCTAAAATTCTCTTTTTTTGTTGTGTCTCTGCCAGGCTTTGGTATCAGGATGATGCTCGCCTCATAAAATGAGTTATCTTTCTCCTTGCCAAGAAAACAGGGGTAGTGGAACTCCCAGGGTCTGCAGTATTGGTGGTCTGCCTTCCATCTTGGTGGGAACATAGGTTGCGTGCCCATGGGCTGGCTTCAGTCCAGGACGCGATATGTGTGGCTCACCTACTGTTTTACAACTTTTGAGTTAGGTACTCGCATGTCAAAATCTGAAAAATTCTCATAAGAAGACAGATATCCAGCTTTTCTTTGAAAACAAAAGATTGGACAACATCAGGCCTGCATGTCTTCATTGTGACAGCTGCGTGCAGCTGAGCGAGTTGAGCACACCCTTTCTAGTTCACCACTGCCTCCACCGCTCCCTATTGTATCACACCCGGCCCACATTCTTCATTTAGATTTCCTGTGTGGTCCCTGAAAACATTTGAATTTAGAACCCTAGATCCATGAGACCACTTCCATTTATAATGAGCACACAACTATCCCTTCAAGTCGATGCTTCCTAAGTATGCTAGCATTCCTAACTATCCCTTCAAGGCGATGCTTCATGAGTTCATCCATGAACTCTCTTTTGGGACTTGCCATATCCATGTGCTAACTCTACTTAGTTAAAACTTTAAAAACGGATTCTCTTAGAGTCAAGGCCTATTTTTCCTGTTTCCTAAGTAGTAATTCCCATAAGACCAAGAGTTTGGTGTGCTTAATAGGTTTTTTTCCCTAACACAAAACAAAACCTGCTTGCAGCTAAACCCTCAGAGATCATCTCTTGCACTCTGGTGACACATGCACCTCCTCCCAGGCAACACGATTTGTGTGCCCAGGAAGACTGACCCTGTCTTATTAGTGTGGCCATCCCTCTCCCCAGATGGCCTTGCCTGAGTTACACTTTACTGATCCTAGGCCATCTATGCTTCTGCTGTGCTAGGCTGCCTTTCTTGTGAATCTCTGAGCCTCAGAGCATGTAGAGTGGCCTCTGAAGTCCCCACAACTCCAAGAGCTGCCTGGTTCTTGCCCTTCCTGAGTCCTGGTTCTTCGACGCTTCCTTGGATTCAGGACATCCTCAGTTTGCTTAAGTTTGCTCAAGTTCATTTCTGTTATTTGTACACAGAAACCTTTAACAAGTTCAAGGTATAAGTCGTTCATCATGGATGGGGTGTGTGGTGGGAGGTAGGAACACGGCTGGAGGGGTAGACAGAGGCTAGGGATGAGAGGGTCTTCTGTGTCACACTTAAGGATTTGATGGTCAGTGTCATTGACAGAGTATTAATAATTCCCTCTCTCAAGAAACCAATAACTTGTAGGAATCATCGTGTTATGCCAACAATGGAAATAGGAATAAGAACAACAGCAGCAACAATAACAACACCCACATTTAGCAAGCATGTACCATGAGTCCGGCACACACATCATCTCATTTAATGGTCATAAGAACACCTTGAGGAAGCTACACTGACTCTGGCTGTTTCATGGGTGAGAAAAATGATATTCAGAGAAGTTAAGCTACACGAGTAATGCCCCACAGCTATAAGTGATGGAGTCAGTGCCCAACCCCAGGTCCATTTGACACCGATGTCCACACTCTTCATGACTTGCTGTTTGCAGGCATTTGATGCTGAGTCATTTCCTGTCTTTTGGTTAGTGAATCCCAGTCCCTTCCACCTTCACTTATAGGTCAAGTGGCTTTGTTATTCTTGGATTTCCCTCTGGGTTCTCCACCTTTGCTCTAATATAGCATCCTGAATTAGGCACAGTGTTGTGAAAAGGGCATACAAACTGACTTGACCAATGTGGCCAATTTTGGCTCCCACAAAGATGCTGTGTGTTCTCCTTCTTCACTAGGTGGGAACCAGCAGTTACTCAAGCAGCCTCCACCCTTCAGAGGAATGAATTCCTCTCCATTCCGGCCAACACCACAGAATACTCTGGAAACAAGATGAGAGGCTGGTGTTCTGATGTTACTAAGCCCTCGTTTTCTGGCTCAGTAATGCCCACTGACTTTTAGAGCTGGAAGGGCCCTGTACATGATGTATTCTCCAAACTCATCCTAGAGCAAGCAAGAAGGTGGGTTGGTCCTGCTGTCCTCCACGGGAGGCTGTCCCAGTTTACACTCCCACCAACAGAGTATGGGAATCTCTGCATATGCTGCGTTCGTCCCACAGAGGAAATAGATGAGGGAGCAGAGACACTTAAGGCCAACCAAATAGTCATCCACTCCTCTAACTTCCAAGCCTTCCTTGTCGTCAAGTGGGGATCACATGGTCATTCTGGTCAATGGAATGTGAGTGGAAGTGATATGTCACTTCTGGACAGAGGCATTTGAAAGTCATTGTACTTCCTCCAGCTCTCTCTCTTTGCCTCTGCTATGATGCCTTTGGAGACCACAGGATCCAAATGATGCTAGCTGTAAGATGGAGGAGGCCACTGGCCTGCCCAGAACTAACTTGAATGAGTATGGTAGCTGGTCTTCAAAGAGTGCCTCAATGAACCACATCTCTTGATATTCACAGCCTTGTATCATGCCCTCCTGTGTTGAATCTGAGCTGGTCCTCTGACTCCCTTGAAGCAATGGAATATGGCAAAAGGGGTGCTGTGCCAGTTATGGATCCAAGATGGATCCAAGCCCTAAGAAGACCTGGTAACTTTCACTTTTGGGAGCCTTAATCTGCCTCGTATGAAGTGTGGCTGAACTTACCAATTTGGAAGGGAGAAGCCCTGAGAGTACATGAAGAGAGAAGATGCTCAGCTATCTTAGTGTTCTTGCCATCTCTGTCAAGGTACCAAGTGTGTGAGTGAACCATCTTGGATTTTCCAGCCCAGCTGAGGTCTTAGGGGACTGCCTTACCAGCCAACATCCTGTGGAGCAGAAGAACCACAGAGCAGAACCTGCCTAACCCACAGAATCATGAGACATAATAGAATGGTGGTTGTTTTGTCCCAGTAAATCTTAGAATGTTTTGCTTATAGCAATAGACAACCAATGCAGTGAGAGAGTAGCTGGTGACATCTTGGCTACTATGACTTGGCAGTTTGTTGGGGCTGTTAGTGTCTATTTCCTTGAGGTAGCAGGTGACTAGTGCATTATATCGATCAAGAGATAGCCTTGAGCTCAGGCAAAGGTATAAAGACTGGGAGAATGTGCAGACACAACAGTTGCTCTCCTCATTTCCTGATTGAGTAGAAAAGGAGACTGAGAGCAGAGAAGTGACAGTGACTTTGAGAGTCCCAGCCTGTGACCATGAGAGGATTTATGGTTTTTAATGAGGGCTGGGGACCCAGGAACAGGAGTAGGTCTGCTTGAGGTAAGAAACAAGAAAAAGAGGGCATTCGAGTTTTGGATTTAAGGTGCTGATGGGCTCTCAATAGGAAAGTAACCATCAGGTAGAGGGAATTTAACTTTGCTGCTCAGACAAGAGGCCAAGGCTGGATATAAGAGGGGAAGTGAGAGCTGACTCCATGAGAGAATGACACCCATGGAGAGGGTGGAGGGAAAGGGAGAAGACAGAGGGATAGTCATGGAGAATGCTTCCATGGAACTGGCACCTGGGGAGCTAGCAATCAGGGAGGGAGACCAAAGAAGAGCTGAGACAAAGAGATGATTCCTCAGAGCCTGGGGTCAGAATTTTACTTAGTGAGAGGGAGTCAGTGGTATCAAAGCCTGTGGTAGTGCTAAGAGGGGCACTGACAGCAGAACCCCAGACTCAAGCCAGAGGCGATGGTGAGCAAAAAGTATTAGATCTTCATCTGTCCATCTGTCTATCCCTTCATTTGTCCATTCATTCACCCATTCACCCATTTACCCATTCACCCATCCACCCATCCATCCACCCATTCACCCACCCACTCATTCACCCATTCACTCATCCACCCATCCAACCACCCAGCCACCCAGCCACCCATCCACCCATTCACCCACCCACTCATTCACCCATTCACTCATCCACCCATCCATCCACCCATCCAACCCATCCACCCATTCACCCACTCATCCGTCCATCTATCCATCCATCCATTCATATATCCATCCATCCATCCATCCATCCATATATCCACCCATCCATCCATCCATTCATCCATCCATCCATCCACCCACCCATCAATCCATCCATCCATCCATCCATCCATTCATCCATCCATCCATCCACCCACCCATCAATCCATCCAATAAATCCTTGTCAGAGCCTGCCATGGGCCAGGAATGGGAATCGTATTAGGGTGCAAAGTAGATGTGGTTCTGTCCTTTGTTGAGAACATTTAATGGTTCCCCTCAAACCCTAAGATGCTCAGATTTCATGCTAAGTTCCCTCCTGCATATGAAAGGCAACAGTAAAGATAATAACCACCATTTGTAGAGCACTTGTTTGGGACCAACTACCATTCCTTGTGTGTTATATACATTGTACAACTTTATCCCCCCCACAACAGCAACATAAGGCGGAGACTATTTGGAGGTGAGGTGACAGAGTTGAGAGGTGACTGAGGCCAAGACATGGTGAGCATCTGATCAGAGCATGAGGTGGCCTTGGGAGTCACACTCATATTGTGGGTCTCCAAAGCTGATGGCCACTGCCTCATGTTCCTGTGAGTGCCTTACACCATCACCAGGCCCTCCTCACTGCCATTCACTGACAGGAGAAAGGGGCTCCCTTGTCCTGATCTGGACATCAGAATTTAACTTCTTAGGGAAGCAAAGCTATAGATGATGTTGAGGGGAACTGGAAAGGTGAAAATGGTAGTACATTTCAGATACTTTATTGAAGAAAGAGACATCTATGGGTTAACTTTATGACCAATGCACATAGTTTCTATGGGAAAATGAGTTTCAAACTCCAAACGACTGACTTGAAAACACAGTCCTGGAACTCAGCCTGCGTATAAATCAGGGTCTGTCTGTAACTGTAAAAATTGTTTATTTTGAAAGTGGACCTAACTGGGCTTTCCTTTCCTCACTCTTGTTCTTTCTCTTACGTTTTTTCTTTTCGTTATGCTATGCAAAGATCCCCAGACTTCCTCTTCTAGCTAATTGGCAAAAACCACATTGTCCCCTAGCTGAGTATACATTTTTGTAAATACCCCCTAGAGGTTCATTTCATCATGATGGAAAATGTAATTCTGTTTTCCTAAGTGACGGGATGTGTTTATCCAGGGACTCCAAGTGGGCTCGGGTGCTGGGGCCAGATGGCTCCAGATGTCCTCAGTGTAACCTGAGGAGCTGAGCCCGAAGGACCTCCCTGAGCCATGTGATGTGCAGTGAGGGCCAGTGTAGACAGAGCTGTCCACATGGTCCACATGGTTCTGCTCCATGGAGGCCTGAGATGGTGTTGCAGGCGGGGGAGGGCTTGCTCCCGCTGGAGCGGTGGTGGGGCCCTCCCAGCCAGATGTGAGTCATGCCTATGTTTAGCATTCCACTCACCCAGGTGGGCCCGGTGCCACCCAACTGCTCTCCAGATTCTATGTCTCTATTTCCAGTGTCGGAGGGCTAGACCAGTCAGGGATTTGGTGGCATTTTCCAGCCAATCCTTCTGTACGTGTGACTCTTAGCAGGGTTGGCAATGGAAAGAAGGAAAATTAGCCATTTTGGGAACTGGTGACATTATGAGAGTGACATTTGTTTTATGGCTCTCAGGGCTCAGTAAGCCAGGGGCTGGAGTAGGGATGAGAAGTAGCTGTGCACTTGCCACCACCCCAACTCTTCTACAGGGACAGAGGTGACTGACTGGTCACGATGCTCTTTCTTCCCTGTGTGTGAACACAGCTTCAGAAAGCACCATGGTCAATTAGACACGTCTGTCTCTGAGGGGTGGTGAGGAAATCCCCATGGCCACGCACTGCGAATGTGCCATCCTGGGTTGATGGGTGTTGAGACATGATTTACTTATTGTACAGAATTTACTTATCTCTGCCTTCTTGGCAGCAGTTTGTTAGTATGGACAGAATATCTTAATTTGGGGCTCCTCAGAAGCAGACTGAGACAAGAATTTGCGTTCAAATTTATTTGGGAGGTGATCCCAGGAGGACCTGAAAGTGGTCCAGTGAGACAGGGTGTGCAAACAGGCAGGTGGCCACTGTGGCCTGCTAGGGCTCAGTCTCATTGTGGAACTCATGGGGACTGGGTAGAGCATGGCCCAGAGTCGTCCCTCCCTAGGGCTGAGGAAGCGGGAGTCCCCATCTCCAGCCTGTCACTGAGTGAGGCTCCTGTGGCTGAGTAGCACCCTGGTGCTTTTGTCCTGTCTGCCTGGGGGCCATGCATGCTTCTGTGTCCAGAGAGAGCTCTCAGACTGAGCTGCAGGGGAGCCGGTGGGAAGCTAGGGAGAGGAGTTCCGGGTTCTGGGTGGGACACAAGAGTGTCTGCTATGGAAGGCCATTCATGACAGTGTCATGAAGTGGAGAGAGCACCCACTCTGGACTGCAAGAACTGGTTCATACCCCTGCCTCGCTGTGCCACAGTGGACAAGCCACTCAACCTCTCTGGCAGCTGTAATCCCTGCCCTGTTACCTCAAGGGGCTGCTGTGAAAATGTCACCAAACCAAACTTGGGATCTGCTCACCCAGGGCAGTAAGGCCACATGTCCACACTGAGGTTTTGCAGTGGGAGAACAGAGGGCGTTTATTTGCAGGACACCAAGCAAGGAGAATCAGACAGCTCACACTTAAGACCCTATGTCCTCAATGGCTTACAAGCAAGGGCTTTTAAAGGCAGGGGTAAATTTCAGGAAAGCAGAAATTACAGGCAAAATTGTAAATCAATACATGGAGGTTGATATGGTTTGGCTGTGTCCCCACCCAAATCTCATCTTGAATTCTAGATCCCACAATTCCCACATGTTGTGGGAGGGACCTGGTGGGAGGTAATTGAATCATGGGGGTGGGTCTTTCCTGTGCTGTTCTCATGATAGTGAATAAGTCTCACGAGATCTGATGGTTTTATAAAGGGGAGTTTCCCTGCACAAGTTCTCTCTCTTTACCTGCCACCACCCATGTAAGACGTGGCTTTGCTCCTCCTTGCCTTCCACCATGATTGTGAGGCCTCCCAGCCATGTGGAACTGTGAGTCCATTAAACCTCTCTCCTTAATAAATTACTCGGTCTCAGGTATGTGTTTATTAGTAGTGTGAGAATGGACTAATACAGAGGTTATACATTGGTTTGCCCTAAAAAGATGAATATCTTGAAACCTGGGGGCTTACAGTTCCTATAGGTGCATTCAAAAACTCTCTCATTTGCAACTGGTTAAGGAAGTGAAGCTTTGCCTAAAACCTTGGGGTCAGCAGAAAGGAACATTATGATCTGGCCCGTGGTCATGACTTTCTCCAGGTCTCTGTGGACAGAGTTCAGTCCTCACCTCCCCTCTTATCTGAGGCTGCATGCCAGCAGATCGATTTTGTGGGGATTTGGGCTTCTGAAAAAATAACTCAGAGACCTATGTTAAGATGCTGTCTTGATAGGAATCATACACCTTGTGGCTCTAAGTTTCTTGGTTATTGTTTTAAGTTGTTGTTACCTTCTTGCTCATCAGGTTGCTTATTTACTTCTGAGGGCCAGCTAGGTGCCTGCAAATTCCCTTGAAGGAACTCAAGATTTTCTTTTATTTCCATGCTTGGAGACACCTGGCAGACCCCTAAGAGGTGTCCCTGCTCTGTCTCAAGAATGAAATGAAGTAATGTCTATGAAAATGCTTTGTTAATTTTAGAGATCTCTGTAAACGTCTGGGTGAAGATAAATTTTGGCTGCCTGTTTAACTCCAGGGAAATGCTAATTATGATCTCTTACTTCCCACCTGCCACACAGGTGGCACATGGCCCAGCCTGGCCCAGTGGAGTGTTCCCTCCTCCCGACTGCAGTGGTCAGCTCAAGAGGAGCACGTGACCCATGCAGGGCCAACCAGGCTCTCCCTTGGGATGGATATGTGGGTCCTGGGAGACAGAAGACCTCTGTCCTTGCTGTAGGAGGCTGTAAGTATGGGGTTGCTGGTGGTCACTGTGTCACACTAGGGAGGCCTCCCTGGAGAATAAATCAAGGAGAGCCATGCAGGGCTGACTGGCAGAGAGAAAGACAGAGAGAGTCAGAGAGAGAGAGAAAGAAAGAGTGAGAAAGAGAGAGAGAGAAAGAGAGAGAACCCTAGCACAACCTTCACTGGGTCCCTGGTCCAGCTGTCACCAAATTTGGCACCATTCTCGAACTGTCCTGCTGGGTGAGTCTTTTTGCTTTCATCCATTCGAGCTGGGGTTTCTGTGATTCATGGCGGGAACCCTGTTAACTGAGGATAGAGACATTTGGAAGTGATGGGGAGCCTGCTGCACAGGTGCTGGGTTATATTTGCTGCTATTGAGGGATCTTAAGGCAGCTACTGCCTGGCCTGCATCAGGTGTGGAGTGGCTAGGGGTCCCACATTGACCAGATTTGCTCCAGGCACAGTGGGGATGCCCTTTCAACTTGTTGGCCAGGATTCTCCCCTCCCACCCCATCCCTGAGGGGCCATATCTACTTGGCCCCTGACCTACCCTTGGGCAGGTTCCTCAAGGCCCTTCCACTTTCCCTGCAGGGCCTCAAGGTTACTCAGTCTTGCTGGTGTCTGTGATTCACTCCCAGTTTTGAGGAAGAACTAGTGCCTGCTGTTGACTTAACAGGCAGCCTCTCTCTGGGGATGCATTCTCAGCTTTGTCGTAGAATCTGGTTTTCTTAGATTTTCCTCCCCAAGTATCTCCAGTTGGGGAGGACAGTGAATGAGCAGCCCAGACACCAGGGGTCGGGCTCGGTGGGCTGGGTGAAATCTCTCCACTGTCTTGACATTCATCCATAACAAGCAAGTGAAATTTGCTTTCTATGACATAATCTATCACCATTTTACTTACCATCAAATAATGTTTTCAATGACTTTAGTCTGCCACCCTCAACTTGGAGTTTAGCAACATTCCAGAGCGACGGGCGAGGTTTAGCCTGTGACCTCTCACCCTTCCTAGTTATGCTGGGGTACAAGGACCCTAGTGCCACACGCAGGGCCCATGTGAAAGGGCTAAACTGGGGTGGGGTCCCCGTGCCCTGGACGGTGTGTCCTGCCTCTCACTCCCTGCTCGTGCCTTTCCTCTCTCTTCTCCTGCTGCCATCTGATGTGCCTTCCTTCCGTCTCCTCTCAGAGGACACACTCCCCTTGGGGCCGTCTCAGGCACCAGCATCTCCCTCAGAATGTCCTAGTTTTCCTAAGGAGCCCTTACCCACATTCCCTCCGCCGCTGTCACGGGCATTGAGCTGTGGCCTGGCCATCTTTGGGGCCCAAGTTCCCGGGGAAAGGAAGGATGCAAGGTGTTGAATGCACCTCTGTCCCTGCAGCACAGAGCAGCCTGCTTGGCACATACATAGTAAGTGCTCACTAAGTGAGGCTGAGCGCCACTCCCTACGGGCCACCTCCCTCTCTCCTTTCTCTGCGTGGGACTGGTTTTCCTTTGTGATCCGAGAGGAAGCAGTTTGAAAAGGCCTTAGGGGAGAGAACCTCCCCGAGCATGGCCAGCAGGAACTGGGATGCTCAGGGGGAGATGGAACCAGCCATGTGAACTTGCCATTAACTCTGGGGAAGAGGTGGGGGTGGTGCAGTCCAAGAGCCTTGAGTGGGCTGTGTTTGGCGTGATGGTTCCCAGCTGTTTTTCATTTTCGCAGGGGACTGAAGAGGAAATGGGTCTCAGCTGCAGCAGGAAGGGTCTTGCATTTCAAAAGTAAGGGAGACGCTGTCATTCCAGAGACAGATTCTGGATGGGGCCCAAAATGCAGAGATGCATCTTTAGGGCCATATGATGTGGCTCTGGAGAGAGGGGTCAGGAGCCCCAGGGGTGCCGGAAGGAGCATGGTGCCTTATCCTCCGGCGGGAGTGAAGGAAAGTCAGCTCCGTCTTTCTCCCCACATGCCTCCCCGACTGGACCAGCAGAGGGGGCCTGCGTGGTGAGAGGGTGGTGATAGCAGGACATGCTAGTTTGGGCAGAGGTTTGGCCGGTTCCTTTTTTTGTTATGGAGGGCTTGTGTGTGCCTCCAAGGAGCTGCAGCGGCCACAGCGGGACTGGATGATGCCAGAAGAAACAGCCGTGGACTTGCTAAGGGTTCATCCGGGGCCCAGGGGAGCTCAGATTTTCTTTTGCGATGCGTGCTGTAGGGCTGCGTGCATCCCCGCATAGCAGGGTGAGCTAAGCACTCCACAGGTTCCTCGTGTCATTTGCCACAGCTCTGTGCGCTGTGCACGAACTTTGACGCAAATTTGCCGAACTGATTTTTGACAAAGGTGCAAAAGTCATCTTGTCAACAAATGGCGACGGAGCTCATGGCCATCTGCCGGCAAAAGAATAAACAGGCAATCTTATACAACATTAACTCAACAGGGATCATGAACTCGAATGCCAGGCATAAAGCTGTGAAGTGCTTAGGAAAAGCACAGGAGAGAATCTTTGGGAACCAGGAGGAGGTGAAGAGTTCTTGGACTTGGAATCAGAAGCACAACCCATAAAGTGAAAAAGTGATAAAGTGGGCTTCATCAAAATTAACAGCTTTTGCTCTGGAAAGACACTGTTTAAAAAAAATGAAAAGAACAGCTTCAGAGAAGGAGAAAACATTTGCAGATGGAAGATCCGACAAAGGACTAGTAACCAGAACATGGAAAGAACTCTCCATGCAGAATGTCGGTGGAGTGACCTCCCTAGAGGGCTGGGATGCCAGGCACTGCCCCTTCCTCTAGAACATTCTGCAGTGAAGGAAACATTTGCCGGCCCTGTTCACGGTGGTGGCCACCAGCCACATGTGCCTCTCCTCCCTGGTCACTGGGATTCGTCGAAGGTGGGCATGCAGCGCAGGCTGGCCCCTTACAGCACCTCCTTTTGCTGCCCTGTGGCCTTGGCCTGAGACCCAGGGTGGGGAGGTCCGTGCCCACCTGGCTGGGCATCACCACCTCCCATGCAGCTTGTGTGCCAGGCCGGGCAGCCCGGCGCCTTGCACCATTGGCCTTACTGCTGTGCTGCTGTTGTGCGTAGTTGGGGTGGACGAGCTGAACTGAGGAAAGGGTGAGGAGTGTGTGGGTGTTGAAAAGGTACTCGGCTCCTCGTCTCTCAGATGTGGGCTTTATCCCTCCCTCTGCAGGATGCGGAACGGGCTTGCTGGCCAGTCAGTCAGCCCCTGACCCGTGATTACAGCCAGACACCCCCTGGGGTCTGTTCAACGGTCGTTTATGCTTTTTCCCAACACCATGATGCCTGCTTTAAGAAAATGTTTTCAGCAAAAATGTATTGAGGAAACAGGCAGTATGAAAACTGCCTGAATTTGTTGGGACTTGGGGACATGGAAAGATACCACGTTATCCGCTGGAGGTCAGAACTCAGATGGCCACCACCACATCACATTGTCACGTGGTACACAGTCATCATGCACCGTAGGCCTGGCTGGGGAGCTCCTGCCTCCCTGGGCCTGCCTTTCCCTTGCTGGTGCCTCAACATGGGAATTGGAGCTGTCCCCCTGGACCAGGGTTGAACCTTGTCCTTACTGCCCATGAGCCCTGAGGCCTCTTCTCACACTCAGAGTGATGGCTGCAAGCTGGTTCCACTTTCCCACCTCACCTTCTAGAACTTTCTGTGTCATTTCTCTAGTCAGCCCTCCCTGGCCTCAGCCTCTCCCTCTAAAATGCCAGCCCTCCCCTCACACTTCCTCTGCCCCTCCTACTTGATTTTGTCCTAGCTCTTCTCACTTTAACACAACAGGGTCTCCCTTATGTATCTGGATCCCTCTCTAGAGTGGAACCTCCCTGAGGGCAGGAGCCTTAGCCTGTCTCCTGTCTCCCAGGGCATCAGAGAGCAGCATCCAACACAGGGAAGCTTCTCAACACAGGCTTGGTGAATAAACGATCAAATGGAGTGCCGTGCATATGACACCATGCAGTCATTTTTGGCACAAGAAGAACCAGTTGGATCCATAGCAGAAAGCAGGCAGGACGATGTGTTCCCTTGGCTGGAAAGCTACAGAGCAGCCAGTGCTCTAGTGAGTGACACACCAGACTGGCAGGGTTTGCAGGATCTGGTGTCATTTATGCAAACAGCATCAACAGCAGCAGCAGAGATGGACAAAAACCGTTAATGGCCTTTTCAATAAACGAACAAGAAGACCCTTGGACCGCACTTCCTTCTGAGCTGACTTCTGTAAACACATGCAGGTCAAGCCCGATTCCCTGCTCCCAGTTGGGGCGTTTCAGCCTGGCTTCTGCCAAACAGGAAACACTTGGGCTTCCTGAAAATACTTTTCTTATCTTTGACAAAAGTGCTAACTTAGAGGAGGTTGATGTGGGCATTGGGCAGTTGGGGGAGCTGTCAAGGATTCCACGGAGGCCCCTGGCACACAGGGCCTCTCTCCAGGCTCAGGTGCTGGAGAAAGGAGAGGGCACAGCATGCTTCCTGGCTGGGTCTGAGGGAGGATGGAACCAACTCGGTCCTCCCGGGAGTGGGGAGGGGAAGGGAGCGCGGTTGGGGGAGGCACTTGGAGAGGGTGAGGCCGCAGATCAGACTTGCCCTCACCCTGCTGTGGTGGGCAGAGAAATAACAATAAACAGTTGAATAAATAAAACTTTCCACTCAAAATGGGCCACAGACATATGTTTTTCCACTTTTTTTTTTTTTAGAATGAAGATAAATCTCTCCATCTTGGCATTCTGAAGGGGAATTTTATTTTCCTTCTTTTCTAAGTGGTCTCTTCCAGCTTGGTTAAAAACCTGCTCAGATCAGGAAATATTAAGGACCGTGGGTTTGCTTGTGCTCAGAACCTTCCAGATGTGAGGGAGGGGCTGCCTGGGCCTGGGCCTTTGTAGAGAGATGGGTTGGAGTCACTGTGGCCCGGCTGCTGGGCTTCTGCCCTTCCTCTTCACCTGAATTCTAACACGTCGGAGAGTTGGGGGTTGCTGGTGATGGACGAAGCTGTGATGGGGGCCCTGAGCACCTGGACTCAGCTCCCCTTCTCATTTTCTCAAGCACTTTCCTGGGTTGGCCTGGAAATACTTTACTAAAATGGCCCCTCTGCCAGCCCCGAGAGATCCATGTTTGCACCCTGTCTTCGAAATACTTTCTGGATTAGATGTGGGTCTTAAGCCCCTTGTCTCAGCACCCTCCTTGAGGAAGGACACCTGAAGGTCACAGCCTTAGGTCTCCAGCCCTCCGAGGAACTGGGACATGGCCTGGCAAGGAGCAGCTTGGGGTGCTCCCGCCTTTGGTGATGTCGCTCCATGAGCCCAGCGTGCTGTCCTCTGGGTCCTGCCCAGTCTTGAACCCCTCACTCAGCTTCAATCCCTGCCCAGGCAAATGGCACTGGGGACAGTGACTCAGAAGTTTCAGGTAACAGGACAACTGGCTGTCCTCAGGGGAGGGGTGGGCCCCTGGAGGGCAGGGAGAGTGAACGTCTTCTGGAGCTGGGGTGCAGGGGAGGACTGAGGCGTCCACCTCTGCCATGCCTGTGAGAGTGCAGGAGAGGTCGAGGGCTTGGGGTCTGATTCTTGTCACTTTCGAAGGGCAAGGATCTTGATCTATTTTGTCTCAGGCTGCGTCCTCAGGGCTGAGAACAGCTCAGGACTCATGGAATGAATGGGCAAACAATGAAAGTCCCAGCACCTCTAGTTCCAAAGTCTGGACTAAAAGAAAGCTGTGTGGATTACAGAAAAACCTTTGGAATCTCCAGATGTGGCTCAGATTTGGGCATTACTTCCTAGTGAGTTGTTGGATTCCAGGCCAATCTCTTGACTTTTCCAGCCTCAACTGCTTTATTGGAAAACGTGGGGACAGGCGGTGGAGCAAACGCTGTGGAAGGAGTGGCTGCCGGAGAGCATGGAAAACAGCCTGATGGGTTGGATGGGTTGCTTTTCACTGGGGAAGCCCTAGCTGGGGTATTTATTACAAGAGCAGGTTCCTTGCACATCATCCTCGAATTACCCAGGCCGCTGCTGTTTCTCCCTCTTTAAAAAACACTTGTTTCTTGGTGAGAAAGATGGTGTACACATGCCGCTGCTAGCAGAGCCTGGGAAGCAGCGTTTCTGGGAAAAATCTGAGAGGTCCGCAAAACCCACCTGAGGCAAGAGAGGCAAGAGCAGTGAAGGACCAGAGAGGCCTCGGAGCATCGCAGACAAGGTCTAGGGGAACCCTGGCCTCTACCAAATGCTGAAAATTAAACCAGCCACACGAGAGCGTCAGTGGTCCCCAGCATGGGAGCATCTTCTTGTTCTCATTGATTGGTAACCTGGTTCCTTCATTTTCATTTCAAAGGCTATTTTCATTTCCAGAAATGGGCTGTCTCCCCTCTGGAATAATGAATACACTGAAGTGTTAGGAAAAGGTCTTTGAATTTTGTTATAGTTACTAGCACTTGTATTTGAATTTTTTTGTTACTTGTTCATCAACTGAAATTAACTGTTCATCAAAACCATAATGTAATGCTGTCTTCATAGTAAGCCTTCTCGGGCTGTTTCTGATGACAACGGTTTTGGTTTTTCCTAATTAATCTGTTCCAAATATTTGTCTTTATATTTTGCTCTAGAGCGAAGAGGGCTGCTATGGTCAGAATGTTTGTGTTCCCCCAAATTCTTGTGTTGAAATTCTAACTCCCAAGGCGATGGTATAGGAGGTGGGGTCTTTGGGAAGGGGATTAGGTCATGAGGGCAGAACCCTCATGAATGGGATGAGTGTCCTTATGAAATGGGAGCTTGTTCATCCCTTCCACCACGTGAGGACACAGCGAGGAGGCGCCATCTATAAACCAGAGCGCGGGCCCTCACCACACCCCAGGTGCTGGTGTCTTGATCTTGGATTTCCAGCCCCAAGAACTGGGATGCACGGATGTCTGTGGTTTATGGGCCACCCAATTTATGGCATTTTGTTAGAACAGCCTGAAATAAGGGCTCTGTTTGTACAACACTATAAAGTGAAAGCAACTTGATAGCTGGGTTGAATACTCCTTGGTGTCTTTGGCAATTAATGTGCATTGATGTTAAACTTTCATCTACAAAAGTTGAATTCTACATTGTTAGCAAAAAAGATGGTTGCTTGACTCCATATTAAATCTCTTTGTCCCGCCTCTCTGATTAGGAAATGTTTTTATTTAGAAAGCCTAACACAGGCATAAAAATCACACCAGGACCGTTCCTCCTCCAACAGCAGACTCTGGCTGGGGGACTTCCCTTCTTGGAACTGCGCTGGAATCTGAGGCTCCTCCAACCAGGTCCTCAGGACTGGGAGTTGCTCAATATGTGGGAAAAATGCAGTTTTCTTCTCAAAATACGTGATCCACATGGCGGTCACCTGTCAGCATTCACTGAAGCCATGGGGAGGGCAGGACTGGAGTCAGCGCTGGGGCCGACCAGGCTCTCTCCGTCCTGCTCTGTCACTCTCCCTGTGCTAGTTTATCCCGCGAAGGCGCCACGCTCCCTGGCTTTCAAGCCTTTGCAGTGCGAGGCCCTCCCAGGAACCCCACCGGGGCAGGGATGGCGATGCCCCAGGCCATGCGGGAGGGGTCAGGCAAGGCCACGTTCCACAGGAAGCCTGGTGCCCAGAGAGCTGCCCGGCAAGGTGGGGCTAGCGGGAGCTGCCGCAGCTGGTAGGAACCCGGAAACCAGGCCCAAGGAGAGTGCCAGCCAATTCTCACCCAGCCATACCTGCCTGCTATGGGGCCATTGGGCCTACCCAGGTCGAGAGGGTTTTGTAAGCCCACCCACCCCTCAGGAGCTCTTTTCTTCATCGGGCACCTGAGTCAGCGCTGCCCACGACAAGCCTGGGTGGGAGGGCCCAGATGCAGCATCGCATTTATTGTTGGTGAGCGACCCTGGGGCTCTGTTCTTTGTGGCCACTAGCGCTTATGCCAGTGTCCCCGCCCTGGGGCTCCTGCACCTGAGCATGGCGCCAGGCTAGCCAGGGACTCTGCCCGGTGCCTGAGCCTGTGCCTCCCTGGGCTGAGAGGTCCTCCCCACCCAGACTCCTGGCGGGGTACATAGCTACTCCCACACAATAGCATAGATTTTGTTTCTCTGCAAAAAAGGAAAACCCCAATTGCTGGTGCTGGTGTGTGGAAAGAGATGAAAGTAAGGAGAGTTTTTTTAAAAAAAGGCTAGTTCTTTGAGAGAAAATTGCTTTATGAATCACTTTAATCTTGCATGCATTGATTATCATCTGAAGGCGCCGCTCAAATGTTCACTGAAGTTGTGTTTCATGTGATACAATGAATTATACGCTATATAATTACATGCACATTTTTGGGATTCGAGAAAAGTATCAGATGCAACACTTTAAATCTCCAGGGTGGAAAGCATCAACTTTTTATGTGTGTGAGTCTTCCTTTTCCCCAAGGGACCAAGTATCCCTTGAGGGGAGGAATTATTATTATTTTTTGAGACGAAGTCTCGCTCTGTCGCCCAGGCTGGAGTGCAATGGCGCAATCTCGGCTCACTGCAAGCTCTGCGAGGGGAGGAATTATTTTCTATGTCTTTGTGTCTTCACACCGTGCCTGACCCAGTGCTGAATATTTAGAGGTGCTTAATAAATGCTTATTAAGCGATTAAATCAGAAGCTACATGAGCCTTGGTTTTTGCTCTGCCTTCAGCATTCTGGGGGAGTGTTGGGACAGACAAAATGTACCCCCAGAAAACAAGATAAGAACATCTGGTACACAGCCACGTTAATAGTTGTAAAATATACCTGTGTTTCCTTACGCTATGGCATGTCCCAGCCACAGTGATTTTCTACCCACTCCACCAGCTCTGCTTCCTCCCAACCCTTCTCTCCCAGGTGCCCCAGATTCCCCAAGGCTGCTGCTGGCTGTATACATTGGGATGTGTGGGCTGGAGACTGAGCAAAGGGTCCAGGTGTCCTCTGGTTCCTTTGGTCTGTTCTCCAGGTGGGCATTGAGGCCTCCACTGGACACTGTCCCCTTCTTCACCAGCGTAGCCCTCTCCCGTGGACACTGTCGTCACTGTTGACCACACTGGCTGCCTCTGGCTGGAGACCCAGAATAGCGCTGCCATCTCTGGAGTCCCCAGGTGCCCCAGCCAAGCGGCCTTTCTAAGAGAAAAGGGATGGCGCCTCCTTTTTGGCTTTGGTATCTGTGCTTTGTCAATGAATGGCTGATTGTTCCTGTGGGGTGTGGTGACCCAGCCTGAGGAGGTAGCCCCCAGATGGTGAGGGGCGCAGGAGCCCCGAGGGGCCTGTGGAAGGGGTGGAGCAGGAGAGCTGCTGGGAGGGAGGCAGGCTGGGCAGCAGGCTCAAGAAGGCCTGAGAGTTAAGAGTATTCTTCCCTGGGCAGTTCTGAGAGACACAGGCGTGGACATTCCTGCTGCTTCCAACCATGTTTAGGCAGCTGGACTGTTTCTTTGGATGGGACTGTGTGTGGTATGGGGTGCAAGAGGAGGCTTCCAATCCTGTTTCAGAGGCAGGAGGACAACTGACTTTGAGGATAGCCATGCCCCAGGGGCTGGATCTCCGGAGGGAGCCAAGGGCAGGGTCAAGAGGAAAGAGGTAGGAAGCAATGAGAAAAGATAACAATTTGTAAACTTCACTATTGCAGTTTTAGAAATATAAACAATTTGGCTTGATTTCCAAAACACAATCTGAGAGGACTTAAGATAGCCATGCTCAAGCTTTAAGGCACAATGGTAAAGACTTCACATCAAGATGACAGATGGCTCAGTAGCTGTATCTAGTCTGTCTGCAGCTCCATTAAATGCAGTCAAGAAGTTTTTAATTTATAAACCCACAAAAAATAAAGAGATGGGAGAGGATCCTTCAAACAATGAGTGGGCCAGGTGTGGGGGCTCACGCCTGTAAGTCCAGCACTTTGGGAGGCTGAGGTGGGAGGATCGCTTGAGCCTAGGAGTTCGAGACCAGCATAGGCAACATGGTGAGACCCTGTATCAACAAAAAATACAAAAATTAGCCGGGTGTGGTGGTGTGTGCCTGTGGTCCCAGCTACTCAGGAGGCTGAGACAGAAGGATTGCCTGAGCCCAGTAGTTTGAAGCTGCAGTGAGCTATGATAATGCCTCTGTACTCAGCCTGGATGGCAGAGCAAGTTCCTGTCTCAAAACAAAAACAAAATAAAAACAAAAAAAAAACCCAACTCCCAACTCCCCATCTCCCCCCCCAAAAAAAAACAAACATAAAAAACACAACAAGCAATTTCAACAAATGTTGGGAAAGTGGAGAGCAGAAGAGGGTGTTTGGTGGAGGTGTCTCATATGAACACTTGCAGGGGGCAGAGCCCTGCAGAGCCCAGAGACGCCCAGAATTCTGAGTGCCAGGTGTGGAGAAAGCTGTGGGCCTGAAACAGGGGCACCACCCCATTCTCCTCTCCCTGGGGTACCTGGCATTTACCTATTCCTTCTCCCCAACCCCTGACTATCCCACCTTCCCCTGCAAATTCAACGAACCAACCAATCAACCAATTAACCAACAACCAGTTCAACCAACCAGTCCAACCAACCAACTAACTAAGCATTCTGCTCTAAGGAAATTTAATGGGTTATTTTGGGAGGTCTAGAAGTTATTTTGGAAGGCACCGGTATTCCGGAGCCAAGCCCTGTGCAGTTTGACATTTACTGACCCCTCCCCTGGACCCTGGTCCTGGGATCCTGAGCTGTTGTTTGCACAAGTGCCATCACCTGAAGTGAGATCTACCAGCTATTGGCCCCTCTCCCAGGCAGCTTCTATTACCTGCTCAAATAAATGAGCAGACAGCCAGGGACTGCCAGACACTTAAACTGGCAATGTGGAGGAGAACAGAGGAAAACACTCAGAAAGAAATGCAGAGGAAACGAGCATAAAGGCTGATGTGCCAGCCATGGAGGTGGGCCACTCCGATCTCCTTCCAAGGGAGCCTGCAGCTCACAGGCAGCTCTGACTGGGTGCCTTCAGGTTCCGCCCTGCTTCTGAGCCAAGACCACATGCTCTGCCAGCAGCCCCCAGCCAAAGATGGAGAACAGCGGTGGTACAAGGGCCACCCATCCCCGGCTCTGTGTTGTTTCTCTGAGGATATCATTGCACCAGAGCTCCCTGATGGGCTGGCAGAGGCTCTTCCCACCATCACAGTCCTTCCTCCCTCTCCCTACAGAGGTGTTACACCTACATCAATATCTAAAGATGTTATTTTTGCTTTTGTTTGCAGAGGACCTAAGAATTGGGTTTAGGAGCTGGATTTCCCACTGCCTGGTTGGCAAGGGAGACTTTATCCTAAGTGGTATGGGGCTAGGGATAGTCCCCAGCACAAGATAGTGGCCCAGCAGTAACAATTTTAATGGCGGTGACTTGCACAAATGTCCCACTCAAGAGGGAAAGCCCTGACGAGTGTGATGATTCGATCTTTTGAAACATACAGAGGCAACAGTGCACATGAGGAGAGTGAAAATGGCTGGCTATTACTGCATTGCATTTAATTCTGCATTCACTTCCCAGATATGTAACTGGGGTCAATATATTTGGCAGTGGGTTCAGCACCCATGCTGAATCTTGGAGTATGGAGTAAGAACAATTGTGATGAGGAAGACCAAGTAGAGTGCTCTGAAGTTCTACTCCCCACCCACCATGACAGTGAATCACAAATCCATACTCTGGAAGGGAGGAGGATGGATCAGGCTCAGCCTTGGGGATTTTAAGAGTGTAGGATTGGTGGTCAGACCCACCACATCATATAGCTGGGTGTGCCTGGGGAAGTCCATTTTCACATGGAAATGGCACAGCTGGCATGGAGCCTGAACAGGACCAGAGGACATAAGTGAGCTATACAAGCAGTGGTCCCAGATGACCACGTCCTCTGCCACGATGGGCCAGTGCCCTCCCCCAGCTAGCATCAACAGCCCTGTGGGTGGGTCTGATAGGCTCTGCCAGAGGAGAAACAAAAAGCTGAAGCCTGGTTTACAGATGGTTCAGCTCAGAATCTGGAGGCAGGCTGGAAAGCCTCCTTCTCCCTTTGATCTTAATCATCACAGGCTTTTCTGCCAACACATCTCATTCTCTCTGACTCTGTCTTCTTGTCTGCCTTGCAGATGACCCAATTCCCCCTCCCTCCTCCCACACATACACACAACCAGCAAGAACAACAATAAAAAAGAAATCAAACAAACCCTTAAACCCCATCTAAATGAGCAACTTAGATGAATTTTGTAAAAAGATAATTTACGAAGCGTGAATAGAGGGCTGTGAGAATAGGTCACCATGAGAAGGTGCAGCAAAATTAAAGTGTGGGAAAAATATCAGTACAAGTGTTGGAAGAGAAGTAGGAGAAATCTCCCAGAAAATAGTACAAAAAGACCAAGAAATAAAGAATATGGGAGAAAAGCCACAAAGGCTCAAGTCAAAAGCTCTGATGTTTGACTATCCGCAGTTTCAGAGACTACAATGTGGGGACAGCCTTTCTCTCTCCCTGATGTGGCACTCACACTTCCCTGCTCCTCTCCCAGATCTCTCTCCAGGAAGGGCCCTGTGACCCTTCTGATGGGTAAACGTTGGAAGGTTACTGGGCAGGGGCAGCTCTGTCTTTCTTCCTCTTCAGAGGGAACTGCCTCCTGCTAGGAGCATTTTCTACTCTGTCCCCCTGTCAGGAGGTCTGCTGTGACCCCAGTGCCACTGAAACTGGGTGGATGAGTCAACCCAGTTCTGGAGCTGTGTGATTTCTGAATCTGTCTTATTTCTAGAACTATAACATTTCTGGAGCTGTGCAATTTCTGGAGCTGTCTTATTTCTGGAGTTGTGTCATTTCCGGAGCTGTCTCATTTCTGGAGTTGTGTCATTTCTGGAGCTGTCTTGTTTCTGGAGCTGTCCTGTTTCTGAAGCTGTCCTGTTTCTGAAGCTGTCTCATTTGGTTTTCACCATGAGGCACATCCTCCAACTTGGCCTCCCCCAGTAATATAGGTGATGTTTTCTATCTCCCATCTGGCACTTCCTTGTTTTTCAATTTGTTTTAAATTTGTCTTCCCATGCCTCAAAAAGACAACAAGCAAGACCAGGCAGCATGGAGGGGAAGACATTTTCAATGACAGAAAGAGAGTGTGACAAAGATCACTCATGAAGAATTAAATACTAGGCTTCTCAGAATCCTCACCAGCAGCACTGGATGCTAGAAGCCAACGGAGCGAGTTCTAAAGGAAAAGGACTTTAGTTTATGACACCTTAAACTCAGTATTCAACATCCTTAAACTATTGCTCAAGTGTGAGGGAATAACAAAGATTTTTTCACGCGTGGACTAACTAAGCAAGTTTACCTCTCATGCATCTTTCCATGGGAGGTGAATGGAGGACATTCTCCCAAAAGAGAAGAAATTAAATCAAGAAAGAGCCAGACCTGACTTCTAGCAGTTGGTGCATTTGATTGTAAGAGCACCATACTCTCTGCAAGGATGGTGGCAGTGGGGCACAGGCTGGAGGGAAAGGCTGAGAGGAAGTCTCTGGGAAAGGAGGAAAGAGTAAAAGAGATAAAGCAATTGAGATCCTGGAGGGTCTTGCAAAGATATAAGGCAATTAGCAGAGTGCAAAAAGGACTCATGTCCAGAGACAATTCCTTTTTAGTTGCATTGTTGGCCTTCCAGAGAAGGAAATGCAACACCAGCACCCTACTCAGCTGTGCAGTGACACACATTTACATTGTGTGTGTGTGATATCTGTGTGTAGCAGTGATAGGTTTTTAACTTTCAGATTCAATTTTTGGATAATTTACTCCATATGGAAACAGCATTGAATGTTAATATTCCCAAATTTTTAAAAATAATAAAATAAGAGCAATGATTCCACAGAGTGGGGTGGTGGAAGGTGCTGAGGAGGGGCAGAGGGAAGATGAGGGCATCATGTCCTATTATAACATGGGATTCAAGAGGCATAGCAAGAGTTAATGGTTGGTTGTTTTAGGCCCTTTCTTTTTCCTTATATTTTCTTTTCTTTTTCTTTCTTTTCTTTTTTCTTTTTTGTTTGAGACAGGCTTTTGCTCTATCATCCAAGCTGGAGTGCAGTGGTCCAATCAAGGCTTATTGCAGCCTCGACCTCCTGGGCTCAAGAGATCCTCCAACCTTGGCCTCCCAAAGTTCTGGAATTACAGGTGTGAGCCACCTTGCCTGGCCACCCTTTCAATCTATTAATGCAAGTCGTTCAATTCTGGGAAGTTTTCTTGTGTTATTTCTTTAATAATTTCTTCTCTCCATTTTGAGGCTTCTGGAATAGATTGATCCTTTAATGGTCTTATCTTTTCCCTTCCATTGTAAATTCCTTTTATTTTTGTTCAGCCTTCTTGGAGATTTTCTCAACATTATTGTCTATCCTTTTTGCTATTTTTTTTTTTTTTTTGGTATGGAGTCCTGCTCTGTTGCCCATGCTAGAGTGCAGTGGAGTGATCTGGGCTCACTGCAACCTCTGCCTCCCAGGTTCAAGCAATTCTCCCTGCTTCAGCCTCCTAAGTAGCTGGGATTACAGGCTCCCACCACCACGCCTGGCTAATTTTTGTATTTTTTAGTAGAGACAGGGTTTCACCATTTTGGCCAGGCTGGTCTTGAATTCCTGACCTCAGGTGATCTGCCCACCTTGGCTTCCCAAAGTGCTGGGGTTACAGGTGTGAGCCACCGTGCCCGGCCTATTTTTTTTGCTTTTGATCCTTGTGTTTTTAACTAAAGTGGCAGTTAAATATTCTGCCTTTAAAAAAATTTAAAATAACATCCTGCTCTTGTTTTAAGAATGCATTATTTTTTCTTTCTTTGAGGTTATAAAATATAGTGTTTTTTGAAGTTTTATTCTGCTCTCTTTATTGCTTACTTTAACTCCTCCCCCTCCCCATTTGTTGATTGTCCTTGGTCTTTGACTTCTATGGCAGGCACATATGTAAATTTGGGGCCTCAGGATGATGGTAGGAGGGTTTCTAAACATGAGTAACTTGGGCTTTACTGCAGGGTGAGCTGCAGGCCAACTGGCTTGTTCATTAGGAACCCCCAGTGGTCAATCTCTGTGGCTGTTTTCTCTGGAGCAGTTTGGTTTCTGTAGAAAAGGACTCTCTGATTGCCAGCTGGGTTGGGGCAAGGGCTACTGGTGATCTGGGTGAGACGGCAGGACTGGGAATTTCCATGCTCGGCATGCACAATTTCCTGGCCCGCTGGGTTTCAGTCCAGCCACTCTTTTCTCCCAATGTGCCTGCAGGTTTGGTTCCTTTGGTTCACTTTCCCCAGAGAATAAACTTCCTGTCTCAGCATCTTGGGGCCACCTGGATGTGGAACCCAGGCCAGAGGGCTCCTTGTACAGATGTTTACACCATGCGCTATTTCCAGCAACCCCTGCCCTCGCCTCCTGGGTGGAGGATCTACAGGCTATGTCACCTGCAGTTACCTGCACAGGTACCTGTCACCTGCAGTTCCCAAGCCTTCCTGGATATGCTTCTCATTGTTCTCTCTCCCACCGGCCTTAAGTCCCGCCCTCTCTGGCCCTGCTGTAAGTTTCCCATTCATCTGCCTGCTTCCTGCTTTCACGTTGTGAACTGGGGTTATAAATATCTTTTGTGTCCCTATTTCCCTGTTCTCCTTGCTAAAATGTGCTTTTTGAGAAAAGTTGGGAGTGGAAAAGCTTCTACTCCAGTATCTTAAAACTAGGACTCCCCTGTGTATTTTTTTAAATTAGAAATTCAAAAATAAAATGTAACAGGGCATTCTCTGCACTCATGCCTGCTTTGAAGGGGTTTATCATGCAGCCTGGCCCCAGAGTTTAAGTACAGCAGCTCCTTTCTTCCTCAAATCCAGGCACAAAGTGGCCTGCGGGGCTGTGGGGTTGTCTCCCCGGGGTGCCTGAACAGTTAGGTCTGAGAGGCTCAGAGTGGATGGGGGCCTTGATGGGCTCACGTTGTGGATGGATGGTTGGCAGACACCATCTGGAGCTGGCAGCCTGCGGGTCACTCTGGTGATGACTGATGCCTTAGCAAGCTGTCCTGGACAGGTGCAGCACCCACCGGGCTCCTGGGTCCCCAAAAGCTATTCCATGGAGTGGCCTTTCTCTGGTCCACTGACCATGGCTGATTCTGGGGCTGCCCACAGAAATGGGCTCAGGTGCTTAGATCACCCCCAGCCAGTGCTGCTTCTCTGACCCTCCCCATGTCCTATTTGAGCTCCTGTCCTCACTGGGCAAGGTGCCATGGGACCCCTTCTAAGGGTGACATCCTCTCTTTGTTTCCTGTGGCTGCCATAACAAATCACCATGAACGTGATGGCTTAGAATGACAGAAATGTATTTTCTCACAGTTTTAGAGTCCAAAAGTCTGAGATCCAGGTGTGGGCAGGGCTGTGCTCCCTTCCAGAGGCTCTGGAGGAAAATTCTTCCTGCCTCTTCTGGTTCTGGTGGCTCTGGTGTTCCTCGGCCCCAATCTCTCCATTTTCACAGGACCTTCCCCTCCTGCTCCCCTTGCAAGTCTTCTCTCTTCCCCCTCTCTAAGGACACTATTTGTGGATTTAGGGCCCACCTAGGCAGTCCAGGATAATCTCATCTCAAAAATTTTTTTTTTTTTTGAGATAAAGTCTCTCTTTGTCACCCAGGCTGGAGTGCAGTGGCACGATCTTGGCTCACCGCAAACTCCTCCTCCTGGGTTCAAGTGAATCTTGGCCTCAGCCTCCCAAGTAGCTGGGATTACAGGCGTGTGCCACCACACCTGGCTAATTATTTGTGTTTTTAGTAGAGACGGGGTTTCACCATGTTGGCCTGGCTGGTCTCAAATTCCTGACCTCAGGCGATCCACCCGCCTCAGCCTCCCAAAGTGCTGGGATTACCTGCATGAGCCACCGCGCCTGGCCTCGAAATTCTTAATTACACCTGAAAGACCCATTTTCCAAATACGGCCATATTCTGAGGTTTAGGGATTAGAACATGGATATACCTTTCTGGGGCCACCATTCAACCCAGGGTACCCTGTAAACTCCTGACACATCCTCTTTTTGGCCTAATCCCTGCGGAGTGAGTTTTCTGCAGAGTCTTACTGATGACTATGAAGGAAACAGCCACCTTGTTGGATCTCCAGGTGACCATTCTGCTCCTGGGCCCTCACAGGTGGGATAGTCAACAGTATGAAGGGGTGACCTCTTCATTTGCGTTCATTTAGCAGACATTTACCCTCCATGTGGCACAGAGCAGGTGCAGTGGTGGAGCAGCTTCTCTTCGAGGTGTATCTGTTTTTCCCTTAGGATGGCGCCGCTGCCTGAACCAATCTTCAGGCTCATAAACCCTTGGCTGGACCCTACACTGCACTTGCTCCCTCCTGGGGCTGGCCTTCCTCCGGGGTTGACCAGCTATCTGGCATGGCCACACGCCCCACCCCATGAACGACTCTTTGAACACCCAGTCCCTGGTGACAAAGCAGGAATTCGGTGCCCCCTCCTGGGTGAGCATTTCAACAGGGCAGAACTGTACTCCAAGGAAGGGGCCAGCATGATAATTTTCAGCAGTGTGTAAAGTGAGAAGGGAGCATTTTGGCGAGGGGATATGTACTACTGAAGTTTAGTAAAAATACACACGAACTCTTAAAAGGAGTAGTAAAAATAAAAGAGCAAAGAAAGAGCAGAAACTAGATAAAGGAAAGGGGTGGGGAGAGAGTGTACCAGAAACACTATTTGTCCTCAAAAGTGCTAACATTTTCTGTTTGGAGCCTGTTGCCTAGTGAAATTCCACAACCAGGGTGTCATTCCTGCTGCGTGCAGGCTTCTCCAGAAGCCTCATGAGACCAAGGCCTTCTACTATTTTAATATATGGGTCAATGGAAAACAGTTGGAAATCAGGTAGTTGGTTAAAATTTCACTGGCCAGGCCCTTGTTTGAATAGACACATTTATAATTCAGTTAATGCTCTAGTAAAATTACACCGAGGTGGTTAGAAAATTTAAGGATTTTTTTTTTTATTTTGGAGAGGAGAAGAGGAGAGGTCAGAAATGTCCAGCTGGGAAGGCACTGAAAGACCCTGTGGCCCACCCCTCCCTTGTTGGTGAGCCAGGGGACAGAATTGAGACCTGTCCTCAGGTCTTCTGGCTCCAGCTTCTGTCCCACTTCCCTGGCAGAGGTCACGACTCTGCAAATGTGTTTTGCTTCAGAGAAAAAATTTGCTCCAACATGTAAAAATTCAAATCTCACAAAAAAGGTGGAATTTCTAGCTCCTTTGAGAATGCTGGAAGTTCTGCTGCCTGTGATGCTGTCCCTGTAAGGGTGGGCTGGCACAGCCATGCAGAAGCCAGGGGACCACCGTCCACCTGCTCTGGGGCCCCATGGGATTTGAGTCCTGTGGTGGCAGAGGAAAGCAGCTCACCCTTAGTTCAGCTGCACCTCACCCAGCAAAGACGGCCCCTACAGGTCCTAAAGGGGCAAGGGACGCAGCCAGGGAAGCTTCTTGCAGACTCTCTGAGGTCTCCGAAGTCATTGTTGACTCCCAGGGGCCTGACCCCCATGTGCACGCCTTCGTTTATTATCTCCTGGGGTGATGTGGGAGCACGTGGGGCATAAGGAAGGAGGGCTCGGGAGCACCCCTGAATATGGTCATTACTGGCATCGTGAGCCCCTCCCACCACTTCCTGCCACCCCCACTCGCTTTCTAGCCGTACGGAAATGTTTGTGGTTCTCTGCATCTACCACAGGGTTCCAGGGCCCACGTCGTGGCTCTCACAGTCCCCTGTGCTGGGATGTCCTGCCCCCGCACGGCTGCTCCATTTGAACAACTCCCACACATCCTTCCAGACCCAGATTAGGTGTCTTCTTCTCCAGGAAGGCTTTTATGACTCCAGCTGACTAGACTGAATTAGACCTTCAGGGGCGGAGCTAGGGAAGGGGTGGGGGATGGTGGTGGAGGGGAGCTAGCAGTTTTAATAAGCCCCCCAGTGGCTCTGACAGGCAGCCAGGCTTGCCAGCACTGCTCTGCTGGAAGCATCCTGCAAAAGCCGTGCTTATTTATTTGCTTTTGTGAGCTTCATCAGTTCTTCCAATTTTCACCCTGAAAATGATCCTTCAAACTCAGCCGCTGGATAAGACACCCTGAAATGGACATGCCTAATGTGAAACGTAGGTGCTTGATTGGGTTGGGCTGTGATCGTCTGTAGAAGGTTGACTAAATGGGTGTCCAGTGTCTTATTTGTAGCTCAGAGAGACAACCTTCTGGCTACAGTGGTAAGAACTGATGTCTCCTCCAGGTGCTTTTGATGGGCCAGGTGTGTTCCAATTACTTTAAGTGTTATGCACGCATGCACTCTGCACTGCACCCTTATGTGCAAGTGTGACTATTATCCTTATTTTACAGAGAAAGACAGTGAGATCTGGTGAGGTTGAGTACTTGGCCCCCGGTGACTTATCACACCTGGGATTTGATCCAGACCCTCTGGCTTACACCTGTCTTAGGTCTGGCTCCGTGGAAACAGTGCCTGAGACAAATTCTCAGTGCAAGTGACTGATCAAGGGATATGGATGCTGTGGGAGAAGCTAGCACAGGAGGGAGGGGAGCGGGAGAGGTCGGGGAGGAAGTGGGGCAAGGGGTGTGCAGGGGAAGTGCAGCCGAGCCGGCTCTCATGTTGCTCAGGGGCATTCATTAGATTTGCCCTGTAGTGCTTGGCAGCCTTCCCTTTGCCAGTCTTTGGCTTTGGGCCTTCTCTGGAGGGAGACATAGTTCTTGGGACCTCTGGGGAGGGGCCGCTGTTGCTTAGGGATGATTCTCCAGGGAAGGCTACCTGTGCGAGCGCTTAGCAGCACCTGCAGCAGCTGGGAGATGGGCTCTCCCGTGGACAATGAATCCTAGGGGCTGGAGGGGGAGTAGCCAATGATGTGGCCATCACCCATCACAGCCCTCATCCTTAGCCATGATACAGAGTGCAGAGCTGTAAGCCATCCGGGCAGCTCAGCCTGGCCCAGACAATTCTGGAAAGGGAAGGTTCCTGGGCTTTTTTCTCCTGTGCTCCGGGATCTCCACTGTGGTTGCCATCAATAGACATGATTACCAGGCACCTCTCTCTGGCGGCACCTGGATGGGCTTCCTTCCTTGGGAGTCTGAAGGTGGCAAAAGGGTGCAGAGGATGTCCTGAGAGTGCAAAGTCCTTCCCCTGCACTAAGAGTCACACGCAGCCATCTGTGTTCTGTACCTTCTGTACCTTTAGCCCATGGCACAGTCTGGCACATGGTAGCTCTCAGGGACAGCTTAGTGGCATGAATGAATGAGTAAAGCAATGATGCCATCAACCTTATTGCCACCAAGTTCCCGGCCATGCTGCTGTCCAGAAAGCCTATTGGGCAAACTTGAGGCCTTGTTATCTTCTCCTTCACTGTCTTTCTAAGAAACAGGCTTGCAGCCCACTCGCCACCCCTCCCAGAGTTTAGTTGGCAGATTTGATGCAGGTCTTGGGTGTCTGAGAAAGTGATCATGTGTGTTTCCTGGGGACGCAGACTGCCAACGTGCAGGTGAGAAGCTACGGGGCAGTTCTCCAATGCTCAGTGACCCCGCTCGGGGCTGGAGAGGTGAGTTGAGGAGACAGCGAGGTAGGGATGCTCATGCATGGTTACGGTTACTGTTTACAGCTTCTCGGCCATTCGTGGCTGCAGCCAGTGGAAAAAGGACTTCACCATTGCTTATAAACCATGAATCAGTGTCCGCCTTTGCTAACGGCTTCCTTGGTGAGTATCTCATTCACTTTGCCCCTGAGGGAGGATGGGGGGTAGCTGGAACAATGTGCGTCTGTGCCATTTCCTGTGAATGGCTGCCTGGCAGTCGTCTGCTCATCAACCCCAACGCAGTGCTCCGACCCCTCCCGGTCTGTGGCCGAGGTGGGCGGGCGGGAGGTGAGCCTGGCTCCTCTGCTGGCCTGCCTCCCCACTTACTCACTACCATGTCATCTACCCAGGCCTGTCCCCGCCCACTTGCCGATGGCATCCCGGACCTGGGACAGCCTGGCAGGGAGCCCATGTTCCTGTTCCTCCCTTCCCTTCCCCAGAACCTTCTTTATCTACCCCAGAGAGCCAGCATTCCTTCCTGCAGGGGCTCATCCTCCTGCAGTGCTGTGGTCAGCAGTGGGCTGGACACAGAGAGGTGAAAGCTCATGTCCTGTCTGCGAGAGGTGCATGGTCTTATCACAGTGTGCACAAGTGATGACACGGAGGTCGGGTACACTCCTGCTGGCAGCCCTGTTGCAGGAGGGCATCACTCTGTCTGGGTTGCCAAGGACGGCTGCACAGCAGAAGTGATTGTTAAGTGTCTGGGTGGAGAAGAGGGAGAGGATGTTCCAGGCAAAGAGAACAGTATGAATGGCTGTGAAGTTCCAAGGCTCTTTATTTGTTACATGTGCTAAAACATTCTGTGGCCTTTAATCTCTTCTACTTACTCCTCTCAACCAATCTCCATGATAACCCTGGGAGGCCGGAAAGATGAGGGCATTATTGTCATTTCACCACAGAGAAATTGGAGGTCAGATGGAGTAGCCAACAATCCACATCCTCTCCTTCAGACCAGTGACAGCCCCCAGCCTGCAGCCTGCCCCCCACTTCTCCATTGCTGGGTCAATGCACAAGATGCATGATTTCATTTCATCCTATTTCACTTCATCTCATCTCACTGTATTCCGCTTGCCTCCTGCTCCCCAGCTCTAGGCAACTACTGACCTTTCTGTCTTTACAGGTTTGGTTATTCAAACATTGCATAGGAATGGAATCATAGAACACATGATATTTTGTGACTGCCTTCTTTCACTTGGCGTAATGTTTCTGAGGTTCATCCACGTTGTAGCGTGTATCAATACTTCATTCTTTTTAATAGATGATTAATATTCCATTGCATGGATGTAATACATTTTGATCATTCATCACTTGATGGACATTTGGGTTGTTTCTACTTTTTGCCTATTAGGAATAATGCTACTAAAATAAACATTTTTTTTGTTTTGCTTTTGTGTGAACATTTGTTTTCAATCCTTTTGAGTGTATAGCTAGGGGTGGAATTGCTGGGTCATAGGATAACTCTATGTTGATCCTTTGGAGGAACTGCCAGAAAGTTTTTTTTTTTTGAGGTGGCTGCACCATTTTACATTCCCACCAGCAGTGTGTGGGAGTTCCAGTTTCTCTGTATTCTCATTAATACTTGTTATCTAAGTCATCCTAGTGAATTGGAAGTGGTAGTTCTTTGTGGTTTTGATTTGTCATTCTCTGATGACTGGTGACATTGGGCATCTTTTCATACACTTATTGGTCATTTGTACATCTCCTTTGGAGAAATGTCTATTTAGGCGCTTTGCCCATTTTACAGATTGGGTTTTTTTTATCTTTTATTGAGTTGTGAGAACTCATAATTTATTCTAGATACAAATCTCTCATGAGATATGTGATTTGCAAGTATTTTTTCCCATTCTGTGGGGTGTCTTTTCACTTTCTTAAAAGTGTCTTTTGAAACACAATAGTTTTAAAATTTGATGAAGTCCAATTTTTCTATTTTTCTATTTGTTGCTTTTTTTATGTGTCATATCTAAAAAAAAAACCATTGGCTAATCTAAGGTTGTGAAGATATACCCCTATATCTATTTCTAGGAGTTTTTATAGTTTTAGCTCTTATGGCTAGTTGTTTTTTTGTTTTTTTTTTTGAGACAGGATCTTGCTCCATGGTCCAGGCTGGAGTGCAGTGGTGTGATCACAGTGCAGCTTCAACCTCCTGGGCTCCAGCTCCTCCCACCTCAGCCTCCTGAGTAGCTGAAACTACAGTTGTGTGCTACCATGCATGGCTAATTTTTTAACTCTTTTGTAGAGACGTGGTCTCACTATGTTGCCCAGGCTGGTCTCAAACTTTTGGGCTCAAGTGATCCTCCCACCTTGGCCTCCAAAAGCATTAGGATTGTAGAAATGAGTCACTGCATCAAGCCACATTTAGGTCTTTGATTCATTTTGAGTTAATTTTTGTATATGAGGTGAGGTAGGGATCAAAGTTCATTCTTTTGGATGTGGATATCTTGTTTTCCCAAGAATGATGGAAAAGACAACTGTTTCCCTTGGAGTTGTTTTAGTGCTCTTGTTGAACATAAATGTAAAGGTTTAGTTATCAATTAAACATAAATGTAAGAGTCTATTGCTGGGCCTTTTTGGATTCATTAATCTATATGTCTATCCTTATGTAAGTCCCATGTGGTCTTGATTCCTGTTGGTTTGTAGTAAGTTTTGGAATCAGGAAGAGTGAGTCCTTCAGCTCTGCTCTACTTTTACATGATATTCTGGGTACCTTGTGAATTTTAGAATCAGTTTGTCAAGTTCTACCAAGAAGTTAGCTCTTTTTTTCCTTGTTATAGATCCAAATTTCTGACATCCTGATCATCTTAAGCCCAAGGAATAAGCTCAGAATGGCAATGGAAGAAGTGTTGAGAATGTCAGATGCTAGGTTGGGTGTGGTAGCTCATGCCAGTAATCCCAGCACTTTGAGAGGCTGAGGTGGGTGGATCACTTGAGCTCAGGAGTTTGAGACCAGCCTGGCCAACATGGTGAAACCCCGTCTCTACTAAAAATACAAAAAAATTAGCTGAGTGTGGTGACCCATGCCTGTAGTCCCAGCTACTCAAGAGGCTGAGGCAGGAGAATGGCTTGAATCCAGGAGGTGAAGACTGCAGTGAGCCAAGATTGTGCCACCACACTCCAGCCTGGGTGACAGAGTGAGATTTTGTCTAAAAAAATAAAAAAGTCAGATGCTATAGAGACAGAGTCACGGGAAGCATAGTCAAGAGGTGAGGGAGTGGTGCAAGCTGAGGGACTCCAGTGAGCATGGGCCCCGCCTCCTGGCTGGGTGCCTCCTTTCTGGGTTGTAAGTGGATTCAGGGCACCAACAATCCCCAGAGTCCCACAGGGCTGCTCAGCAGCCTTTGCAAAAAGTTCTCACCAAGCTAGGGACACACTTACGTTTATTTTGGGGCTAATAGGATAAAAGAATTTTGCCTTCAACCCTGTCTTTATTCTGCCTGTAATTTTTGTATCTGAAACTTGAGTTTCATATGTTTTCAGTATCTTGGAGACTTGTGATCTCAAGCAACTGTATAGAAGCTTCAACTGTTTGCATCTTGGATACAGGCTGAGGGCTGGAAAGCCAACAAGGACAAAAGGGCAGAAGAAGCCCGTTTCTTTCCCCATGAACATTGCAGGGATGTGACTCGGTGTCACTTAGGTGATGTGCATGACATGAGGGAAAAACCAAGGCTGATTTACAATAGGGAAGAAGCATCATTATAGTGTGTCTTCTACCAAAGATCAAAATAGTAAAAAAAAAAAAAAAAAAAAAAAAAAAAAAAAAAAGGAAAAACATGTTGACACTGAAAATATAGAGAAAAAGTCAATGTTCTCCTCAGGAAGTTTGTGGTTGAGGGTTAGAGAGTATGCAGCAGCCCACCTGGAGAACCACAGAAAGATGAGAAGGTCATCAAGAGAGCTGGGACTGGCAGGGAGCTGGAGGCTGAGGCTCTGCAGTGGATCTGCAGCTAGACCTTCCTGTGCCAGTCATGGTCTCTTCTTGCCTCAGTTTCCTCATCTGTAGGATGAAGATTTGCACTAGACGCTCTCTCAGGAGGCTTTTAATGATGAAATTTTTGAATTCTGTGGATTGACATATTTTGGTGTGACATGAAGCTCTCCTATTGCACCAGTGATTCAAAGAGACTCATGGGAAAGAGGAGGCTCAAGACACTCATCAGACAGAAGAATGAGTGGAGAACTCAGCACTTGCTTCCTTTGCCACCTGCCAACATCCAATCAAATTGTGAGGAGAAATGGTTTTGGTTGGCAAAGCATTTGTTCAATGCTAGGAATTGAGGAAGCTTGATTTTCTCCAGCTCCTTTACAGAATAATCCCAGTAAATGCCCTGATATTTTAAGAGGAGGGAGAGGGATGGAGAGTTGAGAGAGTTATGAATAGAGGAAGGATGCACAATGACTGCTTGAGGCTGTGGGGCTCTCTTCCCAGGCCCATCTAAATCTCAAGCACCTTTACGACTGAACTCTGGGTCTATTTGAAGTCTGTCTTCATCTTCCCCCCTTGGGAGTTTGTGCAGGGCTCAACTGTCTGGGTTCAAATCTCAGTTTTATCACTTATTAGAACAGTGAGCTTGGGCAGATTTCTTAACTGCTCCAAGCCTCATTTTCCTCATCTGTAGATGTCAATGGTGACAAGAGTGTCTCATGGTGTTGTGGTGAGGTTAGAGAAGGCAAAGCATGTGATGTTCCCACCATTGAGCCTGCACTCAGTGCTGATCATTGCCACTTGATGGAGGTGGCAGGGGCCCCCACAGAATGCACAGAGCCTATAGCAGATGAGGCTTCCTGACCTTGGGGCCACTTTCCAGAGAGTGGGGCTTCCCCATGATGATGAGTCAGGGAGGCACCTGGTGTCAGAGAAGGAGTTGGCATTGTTGGGTAGTGAAGAACATCAATACCAAAACCGAACCTCAAACCAGAAACAAGACCCGAAACTCAGCTTGCCTGCTGTCCTGCCATTAACGAAGCAGATCAGAGGGGACAGAACTGCATCTTTGCAGAGACTCACAGCCATGCAGGAACTTTACAGACTGAGATGGAGAGCCACCTTGCAGGAGATGAGGGTAGGACTTCACATCAAAGGGATGAACCAAAGCCACCCCAGAATGGCTGAGGGGCCACTGTGCTGCACTACATGGCCTTTCACAGCCAGAGTAGAGACACCACTGGAACCCAGTGGTAAGGCATGTGAGAGGGGCTGCTTGGCACAACCTCATAGACATCTGGAAGTACAAGTGTGGGGACTGACATTGACACTGATGAGGCATGAATTGGTGGTTTTCAGCTGCTGAGTCCTAACTCCCTTGGAGCTGCGTAATGTCCGTGTCTGAGAAGTGGGAGTGAACAACAATGATTCCTTGGTCTGCCCACCCCTCAGGACTCATAAAGCTCATCCCAATGTCCATCTTCAGGAGAATGAGGGCCAGTGAGGCATGACCTGGCCTCACATCTCTGAAGGATGGTTCTTGGAGCAAGCATGGCCTTACTCTCCTCCCCTTCCACAGGGATGGCCATGACTTTTGTATACTCTGGCCCATTTCTGTTTTGAAATTGTTAAATTTTATCAACAGCTACCTACAGAAGATTTGTTCATTATACATTTTCTTGGCCACCATATTTTTTAATGGCAAGTTAAATCAAAAGAAGTCTTAAATGGTATTGTGATTTGTTCCCTCCCTCCCTCTTTCTCTTCCTTCCTTTCTTTTTTCTTTTCTTTTCTCTCTTTCTTTCTTTCTTTCTCTTTCTTTCCTTCTTTCTTTCTTTCTTTCTTTCTTTCTTTCTTTCTTTCTTTCTTTCTTTCTTTCTTTCTTTCTCCTTCCTTCCTTCCTTCTTTAGATGGAGTTTCGTTCTTGTTGCCTAGGCTGGAGTGCAATGGCACAATCTCTGCTCACTGCAACCTCCGTCTCCTGGGTTCAAGCGATTCTCCATTTTCAGGCTCCCAAGTAGCTGGGATTACAGGCATGTGCCACCACATCTGGCTAATAGTGTTTGTTTTTTAGTAGAGACCGGGTTTCACCATGTTGGTCAGGCTGGTCTCGAACTCCTGACCTCAGGTGATCCACCCGCCTTGGCCTCCCAAAGTGCTGGGATTACAGGGATGAGCCACTGCGCCCAGCCCAAGTAGAATCATTTCTTTTAGAAAATAAGGGCTTTTACTAGACTTTTGGATTTAACTAGAAGTTTCAAAGAGCTCAATCCAGATCTTTGGGTACAGATTAAAAGTGAAGAGTAGAATTAGACCTTAAGAGGCGCAAGCCTGAATGTATTTTGGGAAAAGAGAGGATGTGGAAAGAGAAGATCCTTATGTTTTAGGAAACTATCTTCCACCATCTTTGCAGTACACAGCTGTTGCCATGGTACTACTAACCTGGTCTGTTAGTGAGCTCTGCTGTGATAACAAACAACCCCCAAATCTCAGTGACTTTGAACATTGAACATTTCTTTCTTCCTTATGTTACACAAAAAGTGGCCTTGGATTCGCTAACAGCTGGGCTGCTGCAGCTGGACTCTAGGAATCCAGTATCCTGGAAAAACAGCTCCTATTTCATATGTGCTCATTTTGTAGCATGTAGAAAGGAGAGTTGGGGGTTGCAGAAATTTGTGATGTGTTTCTCATATATCACATTTTCTCAAGTTCCATTGGCTCAAGCTAGTCACATAGTCAAGGCTGGCAGTGCGATGAAGAATTAAAATCTAGGCCGGGCACGGTGGCTCATGTCTGTAATCCCAGCACTTTGGGAGGCTAAGGCGGGTGGGGTGGTGGATCACCTGACGTCAGGAGTTCAAGACCAACCTGACCAACATGGTGAAACCCCGTCTCAGCTAAAAATACAAAATTAGCCAGGCGTGGGTGGCACATGCCTTTAATCCCAGATACTTGGGAGGCTGAGGCACGAGAATCGCTTGAACCTGGGAGGTGGAGGTTGCAATGAGCTAAGATCGCACCATTGCACTCCAGCTTGGGCAACAAGAGCGAAACTCTGTCTCAAAAAAAAAAAAAAAAAAGAATTAAAATCTGCATAAAGGTGGGTTCGGTAAATCAATGATGATTGGAGGGAATATATAATCTTCTACCAGGCAGGAGCACACATGGTAGAGGAACAATCATACCCTCCGCCACACCCAGCAGGTTGTCCTCTATTTCCTGTAAACAGGGGAAAAGTCACAGATATTGGAAATTTCAGATTGGCTTCGCATGGTGGATGGGACGCTCACCAGACTGCATCCCTACAGTTAATATAGTGCCTACTGCATAAAAGGTATGTTGAATGAGTTAAAGAATGATGGAACACAGACACAGTTGAGATGATCATGTGTCCTGTTCTTTAGTAGTTGTTTTATTTGTGCTGTCTCAGATTTTAAAACACAAAAGCCGCAGTTAATTTCATTCACAAAATATGGTACATCTGGGGAGCAACTCTCCAAATTATCTTTTGGATTTCCTTCCTAAGCAGGAAAATTTTCTGGGAACACAGAATGGCTGTTCATTTAGAATTAATGAAAAGCAGATATTTATAGTTTAGTCTTCAGAACCTTCCCTAACTAAGCCCCGTGTCTTAGAAGAATGATGAAAAACACGTTTGGAAGGCATATTGGCATGGCACAGCTAAAACTACCAGTACATGTAAATATCAGGAATGACCTGTGAACAGCATGGGTCTCCTTGGCAGGCAGTTCTAGTCCATAGGCACTGCCCCAAGCCACTCCAGAGTCTCTTCAAATCACCAAGGATGGGATATGCTTATCAGTTTGTGATAAGGTTGGAATCTGTTTCAGAAAACACAATCTATCTGTTTTACTTATGACCGAGGGACTCAGTAGAATAAGAACAGATGAGAAAAGGCATTTTAAAATAAATTTCTTCTTGCTTCGGCTTGCTATAGGGCAAATCCTTAAAACTGAGACACCAAGACAGAAAACTACACCTTGGAGACTGCACACAATTTCCTTCTACTGCTGTTTTGAAAGGTATGGTGGATTTCAAGAATGTGCCAATCCGTTGCTTTTCTTTCTTTCTGTTTTAAAATGGTAAAAAGGATATGTGTATATAAATTTATGTCAGAAAGTTTTAAACTTTAAGCCCAAAATTCCATCTCTCCAAATTGAAAAGTAGTGCTTGGGAACAAATAAACTTGATACTGTTGCTGGGACCCTTTTCCCCAATTTTCCACCCTTTAATCATCTTCAGAAATTTTGAAAACGAATTATTTGACAGGGAGCTACATTTAAAAAAATTTTTGTCTTGATTTTCTCTTTCTTTTTAAAAAGGGATTAAAAAAAATAAACCACAATCCAGCAACCCTCTGTCTTTCCTGAAGCCACTTTAACTCTTTTCACTTTTTCTTCTGTCATTTTCCTCCCTGTGAAATGCTTATCCTGTTCATCTCAGCTTCTCCAGTTATAAATATCTCTGACTTCCTTCTATGGGAATGAGCATTTCCTTGTCTTATGTCAGCCATTCCTCTCTCCCTGATAATTGTATCACAAGTGTTGTTTAAAGAATTCTTCAGTGTTTACATGATCACGAGAGCTAAAACAACCTCTTCTTTGGTTTGTTCGCTTGTGCATATATATATATTTCCCCCAAACTCTTCAATAATCATTAAATGCAACACTGATCCATCTGCTTTCTAAATTCATGGAGGCCTCCCTTTTGGGACCTCCCTATCCTCTTGCTCTGGGCCTGGCTCATTGATCTTGACCTTGTGCCCACTGCATTAGCAGTTGTTCTTTCTCATGTATTGGAAATGCACTGTCCCTGCGTCTTCTCTGGGATCCCTGTCTTCTAGAATCTTTGTTTTCCTTTTTCCTGATTTCTCTCTCAACTTGGTTTTACACATCCTTGGTGTAACACAGCCTTTAGTGAACTTCTGAGCAAAGATAATGGATAATAACTTTTGACATCTTACCTAGCAGTGAATTTGATTAATGGTTGGTTGTAAAATTTTAGGTTGGAAATATTTTCTTTCCAGGCTTTCAAAGGCATTGCTCCATGGGCTCTTTCCTTCCAGTGCTGCTGATGAGAATGTCTGATAGGCTTTCTGATTCCTGATGCTTTGTATAAACCCATGCAATCTTGTTTTTCTTTTTAGCTTTCTGTAAGTTGTTAGGATTTTCTCTTTATTATCAGTGTTGTGAAATGTGACAGGGATGTTTCCTCATGAGAATTCTTCTTCATTCACTGTTTCACTGTTCGATCGGGAAACTTACACTGTCCAATCCTGGGAATTTTTCCATATTATTTATTTGATCATTTCCTTCTTGTTGTTTTCTGTTCTTTCATTCTGTCACTTTTGTTTCTCAGATGTTGGACCTCCTGGATGAGCCTGTAATTTTCTAGGCTTCCCTGTTTTATTACCTCTCTTTGACTTTTTATTATACTTTCTCAGGGATTTTCTCAAGTTAATGTAAAAGCTTCTATTGACTTTTAATTTTTGCTATGGTATTTTTGATTTCTAAAAGATTTTTTTTTTTTTTTTGAGATGGAGTCTCACTCTATTGCACAGGCTGGAGTGCAGTGGCTTGAGCCTGACTCACTGCAACTTCAGCCTGCCAGGTTCAAGCGATTCTCCTGCCTCAGCCTCCCGAGTAGCTGGGATTGCAGGTGTCTGCCACCACGCCGGGCACAGTGGCTCATGCCTGTAATCCCAACACTTTAGGAGGCTGAGGTGCGTGGATTGCTTGAGGTCAGTTCTAGACTACCCTGGCCAACATGGTGAAACCACATCTCTACTAAAACTACAAAAAAGATTTCTTATTCTGTAAATGTTCTCATTTCAAAAGTAACATTCCTGTCTTGTTTCATGGATTATTATTTTTTCTTTGAGCCCTGTGAATATTGTTTCCCTGTAGAACAGTTTTCTCTTTTTTTCTGTGTTGTCTGTTTCCTCCAAGTCTGTTGGCCCTCCCTCCTGCTCTCCCTCCCTTTCTCTCTCTCTTTCTTCCTCCCTTCCTTCTCCCCTTCCTCCCTTCCTTCCCTCTTTTCTTTTTTTAGATGGAGTTTCACTCCTGCTGCCCAGGCTGGAGTGCAATGGCATAATAGCGGCTCACAAACCTTCGCCTCCCGGGTTCAAGCAATTCTCCTGCCTCAGCCTCCTGAGTACTTGGATTATAGGTGCCCACCACCATGCCCGGCTAATTTTTGTGTTTTTAGTAGAGATGGGGTCTCACCATGTTGGTCAGGCTGATCTTGAACTCCTGACCTCAGGTGATCTGCCCGCCTCACCCTCCCAAAGTGCTGGGATTACAGGCATGAGCCACCGTGCCCGGACTTCTTTCCCACTTTCATTTACATTTCTGCTGCTTATTTAGGGATATCCTTAGAGGGTGTGATTGACTGTTCATATTTGAGAATGAGTCCCTGAAAAGCTAGTCGGAGCTCTGTATTTATGGGTGGGACTTGGTGGGTAGTGAGTTTCCCAATGGCTGAAGACTTACCTATTTTTTTCAGGGTGGTGGTTGGGGGGAGACCTTATATATTAGCATCTTCTATCTTTCCTTTTGGTCCAGTCACTTTCTCCACGGAGGAACTTTGCCATTTCCGCTGGTAGAGTGGTACAGATTGAATTGTGTCCTCCCAGAAAGATTTGTTCAAGTTTTAGCCTCTAGTACCTCAGAATGTGACCTTATTTGGAAATGGGGTCATTGCAGATGTAATTATGTAGACGATGATGACGTCATGCTGGAGTGGGGTGCTTAATCAAATATGACCGGCGTCCTTACAGACGAGGAGAGACAGACACAGAGGAGAACGCCGTGTGAAGACAGACAAAGGGAGAAGCCTTATGGAGATGGAGGCTGAGATCAGAGTGAGGCAGCCACAAGCTAAGGGACTCTGGGGGAAGCAGAGAGGGAGCCTACCGTAGAAGCCTGGAGGGAGTGGGGCCCCGCCAACACCTTGATTTCAGACTCCCAGCCTCCAGAACAGTAAGAAATAAGTTTCTGTTGTTCTAGGTGACCCTGTTTGTAGCACGTTGTTACAGCAGCCCTAGCAAACTAACACAGAGAGTGTGTGTGCCCACTGCTGCCCAACATGCTGGCCAATGGGACAGGAGCTTGACGGGTAAGCACTTTCCCGAACCCCCTCCAGTTCCCGGGAAGAACTTTCCCGAACCTCCTCCACTTCTGGTGAAGCACTTTCCTGAACCCCCCCTCCACTTCTGCGCCTGCTGTAGGTCTCCCCGGGCCCTGTTCTGTGCTTGTTGTCCCCGGGTCTGGAGCTTCTCTGGTTTAATTGCTCTTGAAATTAATCCCAGGGTGAGGAGGGAGGAGAGGTCAGCGTGGGGTGGGGACCTAGGGGCCTAAGTCCTCCCTACTGAAACTCCCAACTCATCCCTGTGCTTTCAGCCTCAGCTCAGTCTTGGAAAATAACGGGAGCCTCCAGTTCCTGAGCGATCTGTTATCACTGCAGATCGGATTTCCAGTTTACACGTTCCTCAGGGCTTCCTGCCAGGTGGAAGTGAGGGCGCCCTCTTCTGGCGTCTCCAGCATCCTCCCGGCCCGTCTCGGCCGGCCCCTTAGCTCCGGTTCTCCGCGGGTCTGCAATGAGATCCTCGAGGTCCACGCCTGCTTCATTTTGGCGTCACCTCCACTTCCTAGGGCAGGGCTTCCCCACACAATAGCCCCTCAGTGCACATTTGTTGAGTAAGTGAAGGAATGAAGGAGTTGAGATGACTTTGAAGCTAAAATGAGTAGACATCTGACTTTGTGCCTAAGAGAAAATTCTTCCTAAGGCTAAGATTGTTAAATAAAGGAACTGGTCCACCCATCCTTTACACATGGAAATTTATATTTCAAACTGAAAAAGGCCAAATTGGCACTTTGGTGTCGTTCTATAATTATAAAACCAAACATCTCCTTGCTAAAATGTTTGCATTCCAATCAACTGCAAAAAGTTTCTTGGATCTTTTCACATTTGGGCTTGACATCCTTAAAATTAATCAGCTGAGCATGGTTTATAGCTCACAAAAATCTAGGGAAATTTTTTTTTTTTTTTTTTTTGAGGCGGAGTCTTGCTCTGTCACCCAGGCTGGAGTGCAGTGGTGCGATCTTGGCTCACTGCAACCTCCGCCTCCCGGGTTGAAGTGATTCTCCTGCCTCAGCCCTCCTGAGTAGCTGGGATTACAGGCACTCGCCACCACGCCCTGACTAATTTTTTTTTGTATTTTTAGTAGAGACGGGGTTTCACCACATTGGTCAGGCTGGTCTCGAACTCCTGACCTCATGATCTGCCCACCTCGGCCTCCCAAAGTGCTGGTATTACAGACGTGAGCCACCGCGCCCGGCCAGGAAAATGCTATATTTTTAACTGGGCAATTTTACACTGATTTTTCCTAGAGCCAGCTAAAAGCTGGCACATTCTCTTTAATGCAATCTTCTCATCCTCCCCAAATGTCCAGCTTCACATGTCCCCCCAAAATTAATCATTCAAGATGAATATAAAATTGTTTGTTAGACTTTCTTCACAAGAATGTTTATTTTCATAAGGTGTTTCCCATACACTCAAAGACTCACTTTAGGACCCCCAGTCCTCGCCCATATCTCCCTGGGTTGACGCTTTAGGACACATACTAGACATCTACTTTATATTTCAGGCTTTTGTGCTACTCAGAAACAAAGACTTCCCTTCCTGCCTGTTTCACTTATTTATTTATTTTTTTGAGACTGAGTTTTGCTCTTTTTGCCCAGGCTGCAGTGCAATGGCACAATCTCGGCTCACTGTAACCTCCACCTCCCGGGTTCAAGTGATTCTCCTGCCTCAGGATCCTGAGTAGCTGGGATTACAGGCGCCTGCCCCCACACCCAGCAACTTTTTGTATTTTTAGCAGAGACAGAGTTTCACCATGTTGGCTAGGCTGGTCTTGAACTCCTGACCTCAGGTGAGGTCCACCCATCTCGGCCTCCCAATCCTGCCTGTTTTGATGAGAAAAGTTTTTAAGAAAAGTCAAGGAAAATCAAGAATAGCTACACTTTTACCACAGCAGAAGAAATCATGGAATTACAGTGGGAATTAGTGTAATGGCTTGACTGATCTGCTAGTCCAGGACTTATTTCAGAAATGTGTCTTCTTCAAACAGATTGTATTAGTGCACCAGGCAGGACTTCTTTGGTTGTAAGTGTTGGGAACTTAACTTGAACTAGTATAGAAAGGATGTCTGAAATCAGAGAGCTGATTGCATTCTCTTTCTCTCCTCTCCACTTCTCTCTGCTTTGATCTCCCTGACTGGCTTCCTCCAAATGGTAGCAAATATGGCAGCTCCTGGTATTATCAGAGAGGGCTCAAGACTGGCTGGCTCTAAGATGTAAGCAGGCAGACCTGGGGATGAGCTTACCAACTCTGGATCACCTGGTAGAGGAGATGCTAGAAGGTTCTTCTGGAAGATGGCAGCTCTCATTTGAACCCCTGGTCAAAGTAGAGGATGGGCATTCCTGAAATAAGAGAAGTGTTGGTCTAGACACATGACCCAACAGCTTTCTGTGCATGGCTGGCACTACGTTTTCCTTCATAGCCTGGTGTGTTTTAGTAGCATAAAGTGAAGTGCTATTTGGTTTTAGACTCTCGAAAATCGCAGAAACAGCATCATTTGTGCAGTAGAATAGAGTAGGAAAAATTCACACCAACATGTCCATATGAAGTGTTTAGGGAATGGGGAGGGGCAGCTGGTCCATCTTTGTTCCTGAGCCCGGGTCTCAGTGGGACTGAATCTAGAGGTGGGAGCTTTGAAATGTGCAAATTGGGGCAGGGATAGAAGTTGAGGCTAGAAATGAGGCAGAGACGAATATGGCTGATGCAGCCCAGATCCCTGAGGGGTTATTGCTGGATGATTCTGGACATTATTGAGCACAGCTACCACTCACTCTGCAGAAGAGAAAACAGAGTTGCAGGAAGCTTAGTTGACGTGCCCAAAACCTGTGGTGAGTTAGTAGCAAAGAAGGCACTAGGGCCTCATTCCCAGAGATCCGCTCAACTTTCCACTCTGACACTCGAGGAGGCTTAAAACAGGCACAGGGATGGAATGAGAAACCCCAGCTGCCCTCTGGCTGTGGGGTCAGTGGAAGCCTCAAGTCCTCTTCCTTGATTGGGCTTCTAATCCTTCTTGTCTTGAAACAGGCCTAGTTGCCTCAGTGGAGCATTTTACTTTAAGCTGATTTTGGAATGTCACATACCTCCTCTTCAATAAGAGGAAACTCCAGCCTCACTGCAACAAGCAAATCTATTAACATGATTGCAGATCCATCACTGGGAGCTGGTTGGGAGGGTGAGAAGAGTGGACTTGAGCTGGCCCTCCAGGAATATCTCCCAGGATATCCCAGCATAAACCCTCTGGTCTATTCTGGGAGGCAGGGAAACAGGAGCCTGCCCCGGAGAGACTGAACTTAGGAACACACTGCACAGCCGCAATCCAGGGTTTACAGGACAAAGATCGAGGCACCCTTCAGCAGCTGTCTGGATGCTGGGATGCGGGGTGTGGCAGATGCTGCTGCTGTGGCTGCGACTTCCCTTTGAGTCCTGGAGACTGTGATGGAACTCGGATGCTTAGTCTGTTACACAGTCTGCCACTGCCTCTTAACATTCAGGGAGCTGGAGTCTTCATATTGGCTTCTCTATGACTGTGTGTATGTTCAAGTTCCTTCTAGCAGAGCCTGAGACAGGGTGTTGTGCAAGCGATTACTGAGGGAGAGCTCCCAGGGGAAACCTAGAAGGAAGGCAGGAAGAAGGATGAGGGCAGGAGAAGAAGCCAGGCAAGGAGTGGGTTCTGAGAAGTCAGGCTGGTCCCATGGCAGGTGTTCTGCAGTGAGAATCCTCTTGCCAAGTTTTTCTGGCCCAGAGGCAATGGACTGGAGTGTCACATCCCACATCAGACATCACTGGCTGTGGGCCACCCCAAGGGAGATGGGCTATAACCCTGTACTAGTTATCAACTGCTGTGTAACAAATTGTCACAAAACTAGCAATTTACGACAACATGCATTTAGTATCTTGGGTCAGGAGTTCAGGCTTGGCTTCACTGGGTCCTCTGCTGGGGTCTCAGAGGCTGAAACCTCCGTTTGGGAGACTACATTTCTTTCTGAAACACGGAGTCTTTTCAAAGCTCACGTAGATGTTGGCAGAAGTCAGGCCCTTGTGGTTGTCGAGTTGGGGTTCCTGCTTCCTTGCTTGTTAGGAGCTGCTCTCAGCTCCCAGAGGCCCCCACATTTCCTTGCCATTGGCCCTCACAGGATGGCGGCTCACTTTGTCAAGGCCAGTGTCTTAGTCCATTTGGATGGTTGTAACAAAATGTCTTAAACTTGGTGGCTTAAACAACAAAAATTGATTTCTCATGTTTGGGAGTTTGAGAAGCCCAAGATCAAAGTGCCCGCAGATTCGGTGTCTGGAGAGGTCCTGCTTCCTAACTCGTGCACTGCACCTTCCCTCTGTATCCTCACATGGTGGGAGGATGGAGCAGTCTCTCCATATCCTCTTTTATAAGGCACTGATCCCATTCATCAAGGCTTCTCCTCTACGACCCAATAACCTCCCAAAGGCCCCATCTCCCAATACCATCACTTTGGGGGTTAGAATTTCAACATATGGATTTTTGGGGGACATGACATCCAGACCCCAGCAGCCAGCAAGATAATCTCTCCCTGCCGTTTCCTAAGACAGAGTCTTCTGTGATCCCTGGGTGACTTCCCACGACCCAACTGTAACCTAATCCAGGAAGGGACACCATTCATTTTTGTCGTGTTCAAAGGCTGGAATCAGGGCTCAGCTTCCATTTGCACGCAAGGGGGGTGGATTACGCAAGGGCTTGACTCCTGGGGGTCATCTTGGAATTCCACCCACCTCACACACCCCAATGTGTCCAGAAGAGACAGATCCCAGCATCCACGAACAGTCCTCCAGGAAAGGGCGTGGGTGTGAACCACTAACATTTGACTCTCATCTGAGGGGAGTCTTGCAGAGGCACCCATGGGACCTTCCACACTGTCCTTGCCCGCAGGAGAAAGGGCAGCCAAAGTCTCAGAAAATCGCCATCCCTCAGGCCACCTTCCAATCCCATAGCCGTGTATCTGGATGGGGAGGCCCCATCCCCATCAGGGCCACAGCTACAAGGGAGCTTGGAAAATGGAGTTCTGAACTTGCTAACTTGTGTAGTTAAGGACAAGATAAGGGAAGAAAATGGGAAGAGGTGCCAAGAGCCAGTTCAAGCCTGCAGTGAAGGGGAAACAGAATTGAGATATTCCGTGACTTATGAGGTGAACTGAGAGATTCAGTGACTTATGAGGTCCCACCGATGGCCGGGCCTAGATCCAGGACTCAGGACGTTTAGGGCAGCTCAAACTTTTGAGGTTGTTTTCCTCCTGGGATCAGGTAGCAGAGAGGAACTGGAAATGTAAGTGGGAATCCACATAGTGGTGATTAAGGAAGAAAGCTGCCATAGAACCCAAATTCTCTCTTGTTAGCACAAGGGAGGTTTACCATGAGTTTCTGGAAGTTTCTAGAGCCATGGGCAGTGCTGAAGAGGATCTGGATCATCAATGAGTAGGTGCAGCTAAATATTAAAGATTATGGTTTCCTACTGAATGGGAGCTTTTATTTCTTTAAATCATGTTCTAAATGATTTCTTGCCCTTGCTGTTTAAATATAGCCATCCATTGGTATCCATGGGGGACTGATTCCAGGAACCTCCATGGATACCCAAATCCACAGAGGCCCCAATCCCTGAAGGAAGGTGGTGTAGTATTTGCACATAACCTATGCACATCCTTCTGTGTACTTCAAGCCATCTCTAGATTACTTATAATACCTAATACAGTGTAAATGCCATGTAAACAGTTGTTATACTGTGTCATTTAGAGAATGATGACAAGGAAAAACATCTGTACATGTTCAGTATATATGCAATCATCTACTTTAAAAAGCATTTTTGAACCACAGTTGGTTAAATCCATGGATGCAGAACCCATGGATACGAGGTCGACTGTAATAGAAACTTTCAATACCAAGGAATGCATCTGCCTAGCGATTTTGCGAAAAAGAGTGTATTTGTATTTGAAAGAAACCGTGGAGTGGAAACACCTAAAACGTGCTTGTTCAGTTAACCTCAGTTTGCTGAGCTGCTTGGAGCATGGGGTTGTAATCAAAGATTGTCTTCTTCGCAGCAGACAATGTTCTGGGAGAAATAGTCCTCCTTAGTGCTGAAGTTGCAGACTCTAACCAAGGGGGTGGCAGCAAGTATCCCCGGTCTCTGTAGGGGCTTGAGTCAACGCCTGCACTGTGCAGAGAGGATGAGGGCAGAGAATTGGATGCCGCTGGAGGGGCGTGTTGTCCTTCTACATGTCATGCAGGCAGCGCGGTTCTATACTCGGAGCCTCTGCTCAGCGTGTCTTCACCTAAGAACCCCATAATTCAGGTTCCATCCTTGTTCCCTACTCCAGTGCTCTGCAAGTGAGCCCTTTGGTTTAGAGATGGGTTGGGCTTCTTTATGGGAGAGGAAGGGAGCCCTGGAGCTGCAGAGGGGAGCAGGCATTCTCTCTGGGGTGCTGTCTCCTTTCTTCCCTAAATTGGAGGGAGATAATCCATGGAAAGGAGTTAATGATTTCTTTGCTCTTCAAACTTGGTTTGGAAGGATCTCTCAGTCAAAAAGAACCTTTCGGATGTCTCTTGATATTTCACATTAATGGACTTTTCATAAGGACCACATGATGGGAGAGCAGTGAGAAGTTTGGGGATGGCCAAAGCTGGGTTGTCATTTGAGCTCTGTTACTAACCCAGACTGGACAATGACGATGTCACTTACTCTCTCGGAACTTCTTTTCTTTTCTTCTTTTCTTTTCTTTTTTTCTTTTTTCTCTTCTCTTCTCTTCTCTTCTCTTCTCTTCTCTTCTTTTCTTTTCATTTCTTTTCTTTCTTTCCTTTTTCTCTTTTTTGGAGTCTCACTCTGTTGCCCAGGCTAGAGTGCAGTGGCGCCATCTCGGCTCACTGCAACCTCTGCCTCCTGGGTTCAAGCAATTGTCCTGCCTCAGCCTCCCAAATAGCTGGGACTACAAGCGCCTGCCACCATGCCTGGCTAATTTTTATATTTTTAGTAGAGATTTAGTAGGGGTTTCACCATGTTGGCCAGGCTGGTCTCCAACTCCTGACCTTGTGATCTGCCTGCCTTAGCCTCCCGAAGTGCTGAGATTACAGGCATAAGCCACCGTGCCCAGCCTGTTTCTTTCATCTGTAAAATGGGACCACAATTTCACCTAATAAAAGAAGACATCTTTCTATTTAAAAGGGCTTAGGGTGTTGATGTTTGTGATAAAGGAGAGAATGTATATTGAAGTGTTTTGAAATGTGCAAAGCTTTCTAGAAACAGAAGTTCTTACTCAAGTATTTTCCCGAAGCTTTGGCAAGATAACCATTTTTATTACCCCGTCTGTGCCTAGAATGGGCCTATAAGCGCCACAATCAGAATCATTAGATATAGAAATTAAGAGAAATGTAGCCTCCTTTTTTTTGCCGGTGAACAGAGCTTTGGTTAACAGAAAACCAAGGCGATTTTAATTGCTGGTTTTTCTATTTGAAGGGGGAAGTTATTAGTAGAAGTCTCAATTCAGAAACTTCAAGAAGAAATGGGAGGGTGTGGTGAGGGTAAGCGGGGGACTGCATTTCCTGTTTTCCTTTCAGATGGTGTTGGAAAACATTGCAGGAAAACCATGGATACCCACGAAGAAATTCCAAAATTTATTCTTTTTGACGCCAAGGGCCCAGCCCAAAAGGTGACGAGTAGGAGTGGTCAATTTTTTTTTTTAAGAGTTGGGGCTTGCAGGAGTCCAGCTAAACGCTTGTAGGGTGAAGACAGAATTCAGAGGGTGACATCAGCCTGAGCGGGGGCCAGAAGAAACAGAGTGGAGGAGTCTGGTTTCATTTACAGTTTTGGGTCAGTTCTGCAGTGAGGAGGGGGAGAGGAGGGGTCCGGGAGGGAGGAGGAGGAGGAGGAGGAGCTGGAGGAAGCCCTGACTGGTATCCCTGGCCCCAGTCCAGTTTGGAGCTCAGTCTTCCACCAAAGGCCGTTCAGTTCTCCTGGGCTCCAGCCTCCTGCAAGGACTGCAAGAGTTTTCCTCCGCAGCTCTGAGTCTCCACTTTTTTGGTGGAGAAAGGCTGCAAAAAGAAAAAGAGACGCAGTGAGTGGGAAAAGTATGCATCCTATTCAAACCTAATTGAATCGAGGAGCCCAGGGACACACGCCTTCAGGTTTGCTCAGGGGTAAGTGTGATTTCTCTTCTGTTTTTCCAGGTTTGGGGCTAGAAGGAAATGCTCTTAACCTGAAGTGATCCTTTCTAGGTAGCGTTAGTGGCTCTTACGTTCATGCTGATCGCCAGTTTTCTGTACATGTTTTAGGTCTCTGGAAGATTCCGCTGATTTTTCTTTCTCACTTTATGGCAATGGGATTTCCTTAAATTGGTTAAGGTCATGATTGCCTAAGAGTGTGAGCACTTTTCCACCGCGTGTCTGTGGCTGCTACACGCGCCCTGTGCATTCCGGGCGGCAGTGTGTTTCGGCCCATGATTTATTTAAGTTACTGCCGCCTTCTAAAACCCATTCGGGATCCGCTTTGTTTGCAGAAGCGTCTTTGCTGAGGACTAGCATAGCTCCCTGCCGGGCGGCTCCGCTGGGAGATGTTCTCTGAGCTCTCTGGGTGGTGACACTAGGTCAGGGTGCAACAACCTGCATGGGTTTTCTGCCCAGGGCCGCCCATGGGAAGGTCCTGGTGGAGCACATTTGCTGCTTTCACAAGATTGGAGTAACTCTGGTGCTCAGGATCAGGGCCAAGTAAAGGGTCGCTCAGTCATTGCCGTCAAGCTTTCGTCTTTCCAGGAACCTGAAGTCTCTATTGGAGACTTTGTCCCTTGGGGTTGCTTAAAGGAGTTGCAGGGGTCAGAGGAGAAGAAGGAATTGGGCATTTGGGCAGCATGCTGAGTGTCTAAGGCAGGGCCCCTGGGGCTGCAGGGCCAGCCCATGCTGCACAGAGGTGAGGCCAGTGCCGAGCTGGGAGGCCCCGAGGGCTGTTCTCTGGCCCGGAGGATGCAGGGTGGGGCTCGGGCCCTCTCTTGCTGAGGATGGACACGTTCGCTGACAGTGGCCAGCCTGTTTGGGGAACCTGTTTCAAGGGGCCTACTATGTTGGATAATGAACGGGTATTGAAGTATGGGTGGGGTCACTGGGAGGGACTAGGGAGTGGTTAAAGAAAAATCTGCTTCCACAGGAAGCCCCAGGAGCCAGTTTCGAGGCCGGTGCAGACCCCAGGAGCAAACCCCTCTGAGCACAGGGGAGTCTGCTGTGCTGGATGGGGAGGCAGGGCTGTGGCCCCGGCTGACTGGCTTCTCTCCCCACATACAGCTCACCCCGGCGAGGACCACAGGGTGCTAGAGCTGCAGGGTGCTCAGAGCTCACGGGGATGGTGGATGCTCAACCTGGGATCCCCCAGCTCCCCAGGGTCCCATTCTTAATGCTGTAAAAAACAACCGAAATGGCTTTAAAATCAAAGTTACATTGCTCCTAAGCAAAACTATATTGAAAACTGAGTGGGTGGCCGTTGATGACATTACTGGGACTTCTGAGGTTTTTGTTGGGCTAAAGATAATGGAAGAGATTTTTGGTCAGAAGCCACTGATGCAGTAGTTTCCTGGTTTTCAAAATGAGCAACCAGGGGCTCTGAGATGCGGAATTCCTTGCCCAGGCCAGGGAGCGAGTGCCTGAGATGGCAGTGAAATCCTTCCCCATTGAAGGAGAGCAGACAAGCCAGTGACGGAGGATCCCAAATAACTCACATCTCGTTGGGAAAACTGCTTTGGGCTCACTAAGACTCTACCAATGAACCGAGAAAGAAGGGAGGTGGACCGTGGGGCGGGGGCATCGGTTCCGTGACCGGAATACCGGGGCTGGCCGCCCTGCTCAGGCCACCTCCTGGGGGTGGAGGGCGCTGAAGGAGGGGACCTGTATGCTCTTCTTTCTGAAGTGGGCTTGTAGCTGAGGATGAAAGCCTGGGTGGGGAGGCGTGGCTTTTACAAAGATCAGGATGTAGGAACAGCTGCCTGTCTGGACTTCTTTGTTTAGGGGGTTTCTTGCTACCCAGAGGTTTAGTTCTCTCCTTTCCTCACTCATGGTCGAGAGAAGCCAGGAAGCAGACACTGAGTGGAGCAGAGGGCTTGGGAAGGAATTCCATGTTGGGGTGAAGTGAGGCTGTCCTGGCTTTTCCTATCCAGGCATTGGAGGGTGTGGCTACAGCACCTTTCTGGGAGGTGGCTGGGGAAGCCTCTAGAATGTTAGCCCTTGGCCCCGCTCTTTCCCTGCTTGGCAGGGAGCGTGTTCCACCCCACTATAGTTGTGGCCCACAGGTGAGGGGACATGTGGCAAATGTCCAAACCTGGGGTCTGAATGATATTTTTGATACGAGGTAGGCACCTTTCTGAAAAATTGTCTTTACTTCACACTTCATTTTATTTCTAAAGCATTCAGGACTCAGCAAATTGCACTGACTTTATCATCAGTGCCTTTTGTGATTTCCTATCCTAGAACTTAATACGTCCCCGATGAGAAAGTAGGAAGAAGCTCCTCTCTTCAGTCGATTGTTGATTTATGGTTCCAATGAGGCTGCTCATCCTGACCTTAGTTTCAGGAACGGAACCCATAGACCTGGATGCCTAAAGCCAGCTTGAAACAAGACCGCCTTCTTTGGAAGCTTTGGAAGCTGGCAGTGACTTTTTGCCAGCGAGGTTTCATTTGTTTCCTTGCTCAGAGTGTTCAGACAACTGGATCAAGCGTAGTCTTCACCAGCGGTTGATATCACCTCCCACTTATATGTGAAATTCCATGTTTAGGACTTAAAATTCACCGGCAAGTCGTGAATACTATTGCGTGACACTTCCTTGCAGGCGCAGTAACAGCTTTAGCAAAAATTTTTATTTGAAAGTTCAGTTTTGTCACTGCTCTTTTTGGAAGAAGCTGAAAATCTGCTATCTCTTGGGGGAAGGATTGCAGGCGGTTTCCATCTGACAGGGATGTTGTGTACCAGGCAGCTTTTCCACCCTGACTTACGGGAGCAAACTTTTCATGGTGTCCTGGCTGCAGCAAGCAGGCAGTAAAAAACACATCACTGCTACATAAATAGCTGACGATTTGAGGAGGGACCTGACATTTAAAGAAAATCCTATTAGCTCTAGCTAAGAAAATGAAAGCCGCAAACCCTCCAAATTTTAAAGTGGGGGAGCTTTAAAGTTTCCTACTAATTCAGACAGCCATGAACTAGACAAGAATGGTTATCTTCATTCTCCCGTTTCTAGATACAGCTTCTCTGTTTCCACTGTAAAACTTCAGTGGAATTCAGTGTAAAAATTCAGTGCAAAGAAAGGACAATCCTATTCTTTAAATAAAACATGTTGCTTGCCCCCTCTAATGTGTGGTCATGAATGTCTTATTTCCAGGGAGTATTCCACAGGTCCTGATTTTGCAGAGATATTCCCTTCAACAATTCACTTTGTTAATTTTGAAAAATATAATTTTTAATACATTCTGGTCTTATAGTCCATTTTGGGAAAGAGATGAAATTTTGAGGGCTGGGCACTGTGGCTCATCTCTGTAATCCCAGCACTTTGGGAGGCTGAGGTGGGCGGATCGCTTGAGCCCAGGAGTTTGAGACAAGCCTGGGCAACATAGGGAGACCTTGTCTCTACAAAAGCGTTTTAAAAAATTAACCAGGCATGGTGGCATGTGCCTGTAATCTCAGCTACGAGGCTGAGTTGGGAGGATCACTTGAGCCTGGGAGGTTGAGGCTGCAGTGAGCCGTGACTATGCCACTGCACTTCAGCGCCTGGGCGACAGAACCAGACCCTGTTTCAGAAAAAAAAAAAAAAAAAAAGAAAAGAAATTTTGAGTTAGCACGTTCATCCTGGTCTGTTTTTGAAAAGGCAGTTTGGTTTTCTTTCCTCTAGAGGGAGGTGTATCTCTGCGAGCTTCAGAAAAATCTCTGAAGTGGTGCCTGGAGTCTCCCAGGGTGGAGTTTCAGGGTTTGTAGTAACTCAGTGATGACCATCTCAGCAGAGCTTGCGGGCAGTTTTAGGACTGATATTTCAATACATGATTGTCATTATTATATTTATTGTGGCTGTTCATAATAACGGAAGTGTACATACGTTAGAGCTTTGTTTTTCTTCTCTGCTCAGGTGTAAGTGTATTGAGATGAAATTGTGCCATCAAAGGAGGCATCTTTGTTCCCAAACAATTGCATTACAAGGGTATTCAGCAAATAAGACATTTTATAGGAAGCATTTTACCCATATCTAATTACAGAGGTTTAAATGAACAGTCGGGTGCTTGAGAACCAAAGTAGGTTTGCATATTCATGCCATTGCGTATCCCTGTAGAATTACCGGATTTTAGAACTGTAAGGGTGCTCGTGACATGTCCTTTGATACTTTCCCCTAATAATGGACAATGGGTTTTAACATACTTTTAAAAATTCACACAAGCTATGATTATGAATGTCTCGTCTTGAATATTTATTAATACAAATATATATTACTGACTCTCAGATTTATGTCTGTTCGCTTGAGATAACCAGCATTAAGACTCTGAGGGAGACAATTCTAGCTCAGAGCAAAACAAACAAACAAACAAACAAACAAAAAAAACAAAAACCTAACCCTTTGGTTGGTCTTTGTGTTCTCATGTTTACTTAAGTTTAACAAGACCTATTGTGCATCATGGCCTTGAGCCCTGAGGTTCAGGGAGGGGATATATCCCTAATGCTAAATGACGAGTTGATGGGTCCAGCACACCAACATGGCACATGTATACATATGTAACAAACCTGCATGTTGTGCACATGTACCCTAAAACTTAAAGTATAATAATAATAAAATAATAAAAAAAGAGAATACATTCTTGGGGAATATTAAAAAAATGACTAAGACATAGCCCCCTCTCTTCTGGTTGGCAAACATATAATTTCTGTTTGGCTAATTGAAATATCAAAAAAACTACTACCTTGGTGGATGGTTTCTCCACGCCCTTTATGCTTCAGATGAAGAAAGAGAGCTCAGAGAGGTATGCCCAGTGACAGGGCCACAGAGCTAGTAGCAGAATTGTCTGATGTTTCCAATATGCAGACATCTTGGAATCTGGACATTTCAAGGGGGACAAGCCTTTAAGAGTGTATTTTAGGGTGCCATGTGGAGAAAGGTACTCTTCCCATTCCCAGTCTTCCTTGGAGTAGCCTCTTTTAAGTTGATTCAGCAGAGGAGTAACTGTTGCTTAAAAAAATCTGGAAAGAAAAAGGAGAGAAGAAAAAAACAAATACGAAAAGTTCTGCCAAACCTTCTCCCAAAGGCAAATTGTTAGTCTTGTAGGGGTCTGGCTGCATTCAGCATAGTATGATCCTACTGTTCTCCTGAAGTTTAAACTCATGAATTACAGAGAAACATTTGAGAATTGCAAGTGGCCAGGGAAAAGTACAATGGGAAATGTTTCTGTAAAACCCCCTGTGTGTGCTATACATTAGGTTTTCAGGAACCCAGAGCATCAGGAATTGGTCACTGGAAGGAAGAGCTCATGGCTCGGTTTAATTTCAAAATTAAAAATTGAACAGCAGCTGGAGTTGACTCAGATCTCAAGGGAAACCATTCCAGGAAACTGGTTTTTCACTTCTGGAATCTTCATTAGTTGATTCAGCAGCCCAGGGCCGGTACCCAGAGTTAGCGCCAACTCAGCTAAACCCACAGCCGGCCCGGCGGTGCACCAGGGTGCTCTGTTTCTAACTGGGGCTGCAGAAAACCCATCATTCATCAGAGCCCAGGGCAACAGATGGAAGAGAGCAGTCGCAGGACTATGGCCTGTTCGAGCAACAGGCAAGGAGCCTTCTTTTACACAAAAGGGAGGCTGGGAGAGATTGGCCGACCATTGCTGACAGAGGCAGTAAGGAAGTAGAATTTCCCAGGTTACTGCAATAAATCCAGCATGGATGATATTTTATCAGATGTTCCAACTTGATTTTTGAAAAGGTTTCTGTTTTCAAGAATGATTTTATCTTCTCTACTTGATTATAAATTAGACTAGAAAACAGACAAAATATCTAACTTTTCTCTTTACAAAGAGAGCACCTTTCAGCCACTTTAATCATTTACAGTGGAACACCACAGTTTTGGAAAGGTCAGTAGCACCTTAGTTCATTGCCAAGAAGGAAAAGACAGGAATAAGTGCCAAGCTCCAATTTGGATCCAGCAGCGTCACGTGGCAAGGAGTTGGAATGGAGTGGGCATTTGTGCAATATTTCTTGAAGCATTTTCTAATGCACCTTTCTTCTTTAATGTTGAAATGGAACTAGTCTCTGCCTGATGTTTATAATTAGCAGTATAAGTGCAGACAAAATCTTGTCTGGCTGCCGTATATTTCAGAATGTGGAATGTGTTTTACATTTGCATGGTGGCGTCTAGCTTTTCAAATCACACCAGATATGGAACTTTCTGCCTCATGGTTATTATCTGCAATGCTAGGAATATGTTTTAAAGTAATTTTTTCAAATATCTGGGTAATTAATCTGGAGTTTCTTAATTGCCTTTGTAATGGGAAGGAGACCCACCTCTGAGGAGCTTGGCCTAAGCCTGGCTGCAGGTCGGCATATTCTTACAGGTGCTCTCATTCACAGAGGGAGGGCATTGGTAGGGGATGTCCAGGCCTTCTCTTTCTGCATTGCTTTGTTATAATCCACAAGTTGCAGAACAGGTGTTGCTTTGTTAGATTTTACCAGGAAGAGTTGAAGATCTCGAATCCGCTACTCCATATCTAACAAGGACCCCCGTAAGTGACAAAGGACCCCAGTAGGTGACAAAGGAGGTCTAGTTACCCTGCCTGATGAGAAGAGTTTTAAAATGTTGCTATCACAGGATACACATTCAGTTTGAGTCAAACAGATTATTGTTCTAGAGTATTTTCATAGAATAGAAATTCAAAGGCCAGGTGTAGTGGCTCATGCCTATAATCCCAGCACATTGGGAGGCCAGGGCAGGAGGATCCCTTGAGCCCAAGAGTTTGAGACCAGCCTGGGCAATATAGTGAGATATTGTCTCTACCAAAATTCAAAAAAAATTAGCCAGGCGTGGTGGCGCACACCTGTAGTCCTAGCTACTTGGGAGGCTGAGGTGGGAGGATTGCTTGATCTCAGGAAGTTGAAGCTGCAGTAAGCTCTGATCATGCCACTGCATTCCAACCTGGACAACAGAGCTATACTCTGTCTCAAAAAAAAAAAAAAAAAAAAGGGAAAAAAGAAAGAAATGTGAAATCCAAGTTGTTAAATAAACAGTAAAAAAACAAAATTTGCTATATTTCTTTGGAGGTTTCTTGGAGCTCTTCCAAAACATTTTCTTTTGAGGATTCTCCTTTGGGTCTTTCAAACACCAAGAGCATATTAAATTCCACTCTCCTCCTACCCTAATTGCAGGACTTAATAAATCCTTTCTTAGCTTCCTCCCTGAGGAAAAGAACGGGGACTCCTTTCCCAGGATTCGTGCAAAAAGAGAGAGAAAGAGTGAGAAAAAGAGAAAGAAATGGGGCGCTCCTTCTTGCAGTCTAGGAATGGGCGTGGCAAAGGCAAGGGTGGATGAGTGCCTCAAATTTACTGAAATTTGACTTTCTATTTCACAGTCAGTGTGCACGGCTCTCCCACTGTGGTCTTTGACTATTTCCACTGCTCCCATTTTAAACAGGACAATTAGGAACTAACAGAAGTCCCAGAACTTGATAGGAGGGACAGGCTGATTTTAAAAAGCAGTGCTTGGAGAAAACCAAATAAATGACTTCAAAATGGAAGCTCTGGATTTATTTGAGTCTTTGTTTTCAAACTATTTCCTTGTGTGCATGCGTGTGTGTCTCTTTCTTAAAAAAGATTTCCAGACATGGAAAATGAAAAAGGTTTTGAGTAGGCTAAATGAAAACTAATTTACAGAATTGCAAAATAGCTTGGGAAATCATATTCATTGGAATATGATTGAATATGATTTCAGGTTGAAGGGCCATGTAGGGCAATCTTTCTGATGAAAGGTATCCTTTTAAATTTCAAAGGGATAGAAACTAAACGGAAAAAGGCACCTCAAATCCTTTTTAGAATGAGGCAGAGTAAACAAAAAGATGAATAATCCTAAACAGAAAGATGAGAATGAAAATGTGATGAATGTCTCTTATTGAATCTGTTTCCTTTAGGACACAGAATCTAGGATGAAGGAACAGACCCCTTCCAGCCCAAGGATCTCAAGCAGCCAATTCTGAGTCTTTTTTTCATATTTGAAAGAATGATAGTAGACAGCCGACTTCCATTGACATAGAATCTGTGGTGTGTCACCACCAAGGAAGTCTATTTTTTCCCCAAAAGGCATGGGGAGTTTCCTTGAGATCTGGGCCAAATCTGGCACAGCCTCTAGGGTTTCCCGGGGTTCTTCCCATGAGCTTTGGAAATGCTAACTTGGGTTAGGGTTCTGGTTCTATGTTGTTTTTATCTATGTAGCTTTGAACAATCACTTTGCCTTGCTGGGGTTTCAATTTCTCAGCTATAAAATGGAGGGAAATCAGCCATCGGATGGTTGGGAGGAGGGCGTGAAATCCCACCCACAAGACAGAAGCCCAGGAAACGTTACCAGCACTCTCCTCTCTCCTTCCTCCGGGAGGGTGGTGTCGGGGAATGAGCGCGGATGGCTGCCTCATTCCCTCTTGTTGAAGAGGGCGGGTGGTCATCTGGTGAGATGGTGTTTGACATCTTTTAATAATCTAAATGAAAAAGTTCTCCAAAATTTGCTGCCAGGGAATTTCGTTTTTTTATAAATGGAGACTCCAGGACATGACAAACAATAGAAGAGAGTTAATTGCAAACGAAAATATCAGCAAATATTCAACAGCTGGGCTAGGAGCCCACGAGCCACAAGACCTGCTTCCCGCATGATGGCAGGAAAGTGTGTGGGGCCAAAGGCGTTTTTCCCACCTGGGAATTCAGCTCAGTCAAACCATATGGGTTCTGAATCATCAGTGGAGCCTGGATAACGCATTGTCCTACAGGCATTATCTCCCGTCCTTTTCAGAGCTGGAAGGGCTCCTTTCCTTCTCTTCCCTCCCCTCCTCTTCCCTCAATATCTGGATATATTCTGGATAAAATAATTCCTGTGCACAGTGTATTTATCCCATTACTTTGTGTTCCAATGGGAAGTATCTCCACTGAGGGGGCTACTCCTCCAAAGATTCACATCTTGAAAATAAAAATCTTTACATATGATTTTCAATGAACTAAAAGTTCATTTTACTCAGAATGGTTGAAGTAAGTGAGTGATGTCTTAGACTTCCCGGATTTTATTTTGTAACTATTTAGATTGTATTGAGCACTCTGGAAGATGAGAAATGTAATTTTGGAATTGCTCCAGAGTGAGCCCACTCAATGCTTTATATGTGACAGAATCAGTGGATTCAAAGGCTTTCACTGTGTGAGGTATGGGAATGATTAAGAAAACCATTAGCAAAACCTGCTCAAGGCATAATTCACTTGTGCTCTTTGTCAATGCTCCCTGCACAGGTGTCTGCAGCTCTTCCCATCCCAGACTCAACAGTGAGGAGACAGCTCTCATCTTATCATGTCCTATTTTTTCCACCTGGATTACAAAGCCGAATGCTTTACAAAGAGCCTCTATAATACTCTTGTGTTCTCATTCACAAACAAAAATACCACTTAAAATCATGCCTCTTGAACATGGATTAAACATTTAAAGTAATCGAACTGGATCTTCCAGAAGATTTGCATTAAAATTTTTAATTGAAGCAGTGATGCTTAAACTTTTGGGGGGTGAGGAGTGGCACAACTGCCTTTTAGAATCACATACAAACATGGACCCTTATCTCCAGAAAAACCCTCATCCATAGATGCAATTTTGCACTCAACTGTGGGAGGATCATAGACTCTTTGAATCTGTTGATCCCGTATTAAAACATTGATCTGGACCAGTTACAATAATACAGGTTGTTTTGGAAAGAACAGGCCATTTTCTTAGAAAGAATCTAGCAGGAAGCTTACCTTTGCTAAAAAAAAATTGACGCTCAAGCTTGATAGAACGAATCAAGAATAGCACATATAAAATGTACTTTTATATTATTCTGAAGTGTATATCATTATTTAATTGAGGTCATACAAAAAATTAGATATTGCAATTGCTTTTTTTTTTTATTTGAAGAAACACTCAGGAATGGGTCTAACAGACTGTAGGGAAGAAAGGTAGAGCTTGGTGGAAAAGTCTGGAAGGTTCCCAGGGTTGCATGGGCTTGAGGGATTCCTAGAGAGTGAAGGGGCAAAGTTGGGGCTGTGGCACGGTGGGGGTAGGGTCAACCTAAGTGGAGGGAGGAGAACAGGCAGTCCAGCCTGTCGGGGGTCCCTGAGCCCTGCTGTGCTGCGACCGGGCTAAAGCTTGGGAGCATTATCAAACCACAGCACAAGCACTGGAGACTGCTCTTCTACATTGTGTTAACATATATCCATGTCCAAAAGGCAGTGACCATTGCAAGGGAAAAAAAATCGGGCTGAGCTTTTGCAATACTGCCGCTATCACCACTCATTGCTGTCACTTTGTTGCAGAAAAATATCTGTTCTGTTGATAACTGGCCTCCTGAGCATCATTAGAACAGCATTCCTTTCTCACTGTTGATGCATTTCCAAGAGACTGCTGTATTGACAGGTGGTTCTATTTTAGCTGCTGAGATCATGGCTTCAAGTTCTCAGAATCTGAATCACAGGGTACATTTGTTTCATCACAGGTGGTACTTTTTGTTGACTTTCTTTGGAAATCCAAAGCCACATGGGTCCTGGTGTTCATTCCCTTGTTTGTGGCTTCATCTGTCTCCATCTCACCAATTTTTGGCGGGTCAGGCCTAGGGCCCACACTGTGTTCCGTCTTCCTCATAGCTGGGCCGCAAGATTTGGACTCCAGCTTCTCCCTCTGGGCCTGACCTCAGGCAGGAGGAATTTCACGGCAAATCCACGGGACTGAGCTTCAGGTTTCCTTTGCACCCACTTAGCTCCTGTCCTTGACTGGCAGCCTCAATCACTCTCTGTGGCTCTCCCTGTACCTTTGCTAAGTGGTCCATCTGGACACTAGTCTGCTGCTCCATTCATGGCAAAGTTACATCACTCATCAGCCGGACAGACTCTCCTCTGCTATCAATCTTCAGGTGGCAAGGCTGAGAACATTAGATCATCCTCATCCCTGATTTCATTAGCTGTATGGGGAAAATGGAATTCCTGTGCTACACAACAGACAACCATGAAGACTTGCAGAGCCCATGGGGGCACCTGTGGAGAGAGGAAGATTAAGATAGAGATACAAAAGCTCAGGCCTTGGGTGGAGCCGATTCCAAAGCTCAGAGGATACTAGTCAAGGCAGAAGCCATGTTTGCACCAGGTCTGAATGTTCATATTAGATTCTTTCCCACTTTCATGAGACTCTGATCTTCTTTGCCAAACCCTAACATTTTGCATGACATATACTCTTTTCTTATTTCTTTCCAAATCTTATTTAGAAGTAAGGGCAAACATTGTGTTATTTGAATACAGCGGCATGTAGACACACTTTAGGATGTTTAGTTGTACTGTTTTTTCCTAGTAGCTCTTAAACTCTATCACACCTCAAAAAAGAGATGCTGCACTTACATCATTCCTGTTAAATTGATGGCTACATTTTAGGGGTAGTTACCCATGCTTTTAAAACCTGGCAAATGATATTTCCTGTCCTCATTTCTATTTTAATTGTGGTAAAAACCATATAACATAAAACATACTATCTTGACTATATTTAAGTGTACAGTACAGCAGTGTTAACTATACGCACCTTGTGCTACAACAAATATCTATAACTTTTTGATCTTGCAAAACAGAAGCTCTATACCTATGGGACAGTAACTACAACTGCCTCCCTCCTGACAGCCCATGGCCAACACCATTCTAGGTTCTTTTTCTAAGACTTTGACTACTTTAAATACCTTCACATAAATGGAATTATAAAGTAATGCATTTGTCTTTTAGTGACTGGCTTATTTCACTTAGCATAATATCCTCAAGATTCATCCATGTTGTAGTAGATAAAAGGATTTCATTCTTTTATAAAGCTGAATAATATTCCTTGTATGTGGCATGTATAAGACTTAGTATAATACAGTAGGCCGTGCACAGTGGCTCACGCCTGTAATCCCAGCACTTAGGAAGGCTAAGGTGGAAGGATCTCTTGAGCCCAGGAGTTCAAGACCAGCCTGGGCAACATGGCAAAACCCTGTCTCTACTAAAAATACAAAGCTTAGCTGGGTGGGGTGGTGTGTGCCTGCAGTCCCATTTACTCAGGAGGCTGAGAAGGAAGGATTGCTTGGGCCTGGGAGGTTGAGGCTGCAGTGAGCTGTGATCGTGACACTGCACTCCAGTCTGGGTGACAGAGGGAGACCCTGTCTCAAAAAAAAAAAATTACAGTATAAGTGGTGTAATAACAGTGCAAAGTCCTAGGAGAACTGTAGGAATAGCAGTTAATGAATTTAACAAATATTTATTATACACCTACAATGATACAGACAGGCATTTTGCCATACTCTGTGCTCAGAGTGTGGCTGAGCTTCACAGTCCTGGAAGACTCTTTGTTTATGATAAAGCAGCCTTGGAAATCTATAATCAATTTCATAATTGCAAAAAATTCCATTGTGTGTGTATATATACATATATATACTTAACCAAGGAAGAAAAAAACCTGTGCACTAAAAACTATAAAACACTGTTGAAATGAATTAATTTCTTTATTCATCTCATCTATTGATGGACTTTTAAGTTGTTTCCATCTTTTGGATATTACAAATAATGCTGAAATGAACATGGGTGTGCACATATATCTTTGAGATCCTGTTTTCACTTCTTTTGGATATACCCAAAAGTGGGATAGATGAATTATATGATAATTCTGTTTTCAGTTTTTTGAGGAACATTCATACGATGGAGGCTAGCCTTTCCCCACTGTGTAGCTTTGTTGAAGCTCAAAGATCATATACATGAGGTTTTATTTCTGGGCTCTCTATTCTGTTCCATTGGTTCATATGTCTGTCTTTAAGTCAGCATCATATTGATTTCATTACACCATTTTGTAATATGTTTTGAAATTATAAGTGTGAGGTCTCAAGCTTTGCTATTTTCCACCCCTTCATTCTGTTAATGTGGTGTATCACATTGATTGGTTTTCATACGTTGAAACATCCTTGCATTCTAGAAATAAGTTCCACTTGGTTAGAGTGTATAATCCTTTTAATGTGCTGTTGATTTGGTCAGCTAGTATTGTGTTGAGAATTTTTGCATCAGTGTTCATCAGGGATATTGGTCTGTATTTTTCTTTTCAATATTGGCCTTATAAAAATGAGTTTGGGGGTGTTCCTTTGTCTTTAATTTTTTTGAGAAAAGTTTGAGAAGGATTAGTGTTAATTCTTCCTTAAGTGTTTGGAAGAATTTTCCAGGAGAGACATCTGGTCCTGGGTTTTTTGTTTTTTTTTTATGGAAGGTTTTTGATTACCGATTCAACCCCATACTAATTTTAAGTCTGTTCAGAATTTTTTTTATTGCTTCATGATTCAGTCTTGGTGGATTGTATATTTCAAGCAAATATCTATTTTTTTTCTAGGTTATCCAGTTTCTTGGTGTGCTATTTTCCTCACTTCTTACAGATCTCATGTAGTCTTGTCAGTCTTTCCAAAGTCTTGTATAAACAATTTCACGTGCCTGATTTGCTCTCATTTCCCCTTGCTTTCTTCAGGGAATTGCCAAATTATTCCTGATGCAGGGGATATAAAACCAATCTGTAAGCATTTGGAGTTTTAGAATTATAAGATGAAAAAAGTCACATTTCAAAATCTGACATATACTTGATACCCAGAAAGATGTTTTTGATTTTCATTCACACTGATGCTGAATGCCTTTACATGCTGTAATCTGTGAAACAGACTTCTTTTTAACCTTCAAACCCTAACAGTGAAATGATGATGAAAACTCAATCTCCCTAGATTATATGTATTTCAGTTTCTTAAGTCAAATGGAATTTCTAATTTAACTGTAGTCTACACTATATCATTTCCAATATCAAATAATTCTTCCTGAAACTCAATATAAGAAAAAATGACAATATTAACTAGTGTCATGAAAGTTCATGCTGATAATGAGATTGAGTCTGGTCCTTCCCCTGGGCTTCTCCGGGGAAATGTCAGTCGTCTACCCATTCTAATTCTCTCACTTGGTCACAGGGAGGCAGTGAGCTCCACCATCAAGGGACATGGGTCCCACTTACAGTTAATGGAGTCCGAGAGAGCAGATATTTGCAAACCCAGTGATCTGGGCTCAGTGGAGGCCTGGGCAGGTGGAGATGCCTTTGGTTGCTGCTTCAGAGGAGTAAGAGCTTAGCAAAATTAGACATGGAGAGGAATAGCCCATGAAATGTGTTTGGGGAATTCTGGGTTAAATCAAGTACAGCAGGTTTCTTTACTTTATTTTTCAGAACTGCTATATATTAAGGTATATTGTAACTGTTCCAGAAGGAGGCTTGGTATTCAGCACTTTCCAAACTGCGTTGCTCATGGAATGCCTGTTTTTCCCCTTAGAACATCGAATGGAATGGGTGTTCCATGAAATGTGCTTTGGGAAATGCTGATGAATGAAACGTTGCTGGAGAATGGTAGTTAGAGTTCACTTACCATCCATTCCGCGTCAGGCATTTACCAAACAGGCTACCACATGCTCCTCACAGAGGGCTGGAAGAGAGGCATGGCTATCATTGTTCTGTGTTATAGAGGAGGAAATGGAGGCTTTGAGCAAGTATACCACCTGCCTGAGGTAGGGTATGGTGGATCCAGGATCCAGATTTATCTGATTCCAAGCACCTTGTCTTTCCCCAACATCTCTGGCTCCTTTTCTGATTCCTAAAAAGCCCAAATTCAGGCTGGTGAACTTGATTGAAAAGTTGCTATGGAATCGTGGGGTTTTCATGGAGAAATAAAAATGTTCTTCTTATCCTCTCATCTTATGAACCCTCAGTGTGGCAGGTGCTATTGAGCACCAAGGTGTCTGAATAGTTGTGCACCTTGGCCACTTATTCTCTGCACCCCCATTTTTTCCTGTAAGCATGAGGATCAGCATCTACCTCTAAGGATAATGTAAAGATAAATAACACACATTATGAAAAATTATGAAAAACTGCAATGATCACATAGTAGATGCTGAATAACTTTTGATAACATGGCACCCAAAACAGCGGTTTAATAACATCCTAGCCTACCTGTGTCGCCAATGGCCTTGTTCCCCAGTACTGTTACCCAAACCTCTGAAAAGGGAACCCCTGACCAGAGAGCTCCTAACTGGGGAACCCCTGGCCAGTCTGGGTAAGAAGAGTCACTGACATGCACATCATTGCAAAATGAAAATGAGCTTCTCGTTCAAATGTTTTAAGAATTCCAAGATAGCAACATCAAAGCATCAAACTGAGCATGGGGCCCTTCAGAGCACAGGGTCCTGTGGGCAGCCCCGTCTGTGGTCTAAGAAAAAGTTAAAGGAAACCAGAATCCTGCATTAAGGAGAGGAGAAAAAAGATGCTGTCCTGGCAAGGGGACTTCAGCCTAGACAGAAAGACCCTAGCTCTCTGGAGGGGTCTTAAGGGAGACCCCAGCCCCCAAGCTGATCTCTTAGATTGGAGATTGGAGAGTGAAGAGGCTGTCACAAGATCTTGTGGTAGGAAGAAAAGGTGTTGGCAGGGGAAAGGTCTGATGGCGCACGCTACTGAGCTGAAGTGAATGTGAACTTGGCTGGTGGGGCATCATGTGTGCGGCCCCCAGAGGCGCGTGGGTATGGGAGACTCTGCATCAGGGCAGTTAGCCTCCAGGTCTGGCTTCACAGTCTTACTAATTAAATCACCCCAGGCTCATTCCACTGTGAGATTGGAGGTTGGCATATGGCAGATTTTCCTTGGAGGAAAAGTGCTAAATATTAATAGAGAATATGGACAAGGCTTGACATGGTCCCAGCTGCTGTGGTTGGGTTGCATTTGGTGTAATTTGGGCAAAGCCCGTTCTCTCCATAAACTGAAACTTTCCTCTGAGGTTCTTTTAAACATGACTTACAAACTTAAGCTGGGTGTCAAAACCTGATGCCTTGTGCCTATGAGTGCTTTTACTCCTGACCCATTTCCATTCTGCTCTTTGCTTAGGAATATGCTATTTCCAAATTGCTGCGTACATCACTTAGGGAGGAAAAGAAGGTTTAATTGCATAGCTTTTTAGCTGTGGCCAAAGTAATAGTCACTAGATTCAAAAATTCTCATTTATATGTTTAATCAAAACTATCTTTCATAATGGATAAATTTTTCATTCATTAGTAATTTGAAAAAGAAAGAGAATATTTTCAGATTGTGGAGAAACTACTATGAATGCCTATTTTCTAAAAATGTAATTGTGTTCTTTGAACTATGTTTAAGAATGTCCAGAGAGGAGAGTGAGCAGTGCCATTACAGGTGACCTATGTTCTGCTAACAAGAAGAGGTCTGAGGTCCCTTTAGACAGAGAGCTCTGCCTATTCACTTCTCACTTACCTATTCTTTACCTTCCTCCCACCTTCCCACCTTGCCTCCTCCCTTCCTCCCTCCCTCCTTCCCTCTCTCCCTCCCTCCCTCCCTCTCTCTCTTTCTTTCTCTCTTTCTTTCTTTCCTTCTCTCTTTCTTTCTTTCCTTCTCTCCTCTTTGTTTTTCTTCTGCTTCTTTCTCTTCTTCTCCTTCCTTCCTTCCATCCTTCCTTCCTTCCCTCCTTCCCTCCCTCTCGCCTTCCTTTCTTTCCCTTCCTTTCCTTCCTTCACTTCTTCCTTCCTTCCCTTCTTTCACTTCTTCCTTCCTTCCCTTCCCTTCCTTCACTTCTTCCTTCCTTCCCTTCTTTCACTTCTTCCTTCCTTCCCTTCCCTTACCTTCCTTCTCTTCTCCCTTCCCTTCCCTTCTCTTCCCTTCCCTTCTCCTTCCTTCCTTCCCTCCCTCCCTCCTTCCTTCCTTTTATATATGCATATATGTGCGCATGTATGTATCTGTATAGATTTTTATCTATCTATCTATCTATCTATCTATCTATCTATCTATCATCTATCTAACTGTCTATCATCCATCCTTTTGCTGCTGGTTCAAAGAATGAATCAGATACAAAGTCTTCTTGGAAGTCTAAAAAGGACGTAGAAAGCATGGGATTTTGAGAGATTTTGCATAATGAGAGTCAAAAACTGATCATTCCCTTTGCCCTGTTTTCTCTTTTAGGTTCATATTTGGTGCTTAGACAAATTCAAAATGAGGAAACATCGGCACTTGCCCTTAGTGGCCGTCTTTTGCCTCTTTCTCTCAGGCTTTCCTACAACTCATGCCCAGCAGCAGCAAGCAGGTAAGAGCCAGAAACGTCCTTGATTTTGTAAAAAGGAATATCATTCTTTGATTTTAGATCTTAGACATCAGGCACTGACATAGAGCTTAGATATGTTCTTAAGGTAGCTAAGCCATTTATTATAGGATAGTCAGATAGGATAGTTCTAGGATTTATAGGCCTTTTCAGATACTCTTTATCCAGTGAGAGATGACCTATTTTTATTAAAACTTGGGTTTGGTATCTTGGAATTGGCTTGAAAATGATTTGTTTTTACATTGGATGTGAACGGAAAGTTTGTATCTCAAATGTTTTACCACCTGAAGGGACTTTCCACATTTCTGGCATTGGCTGGTCTCTGAGCACATAAAGTAGGGAGAAGTCAATGATTGAGAGTAAAAACTATTTTCCCTGAAAAATACAAAGATCACCCTCTCTCTCTAACTCCAGATGCAGGAAGGCATTTTTCATCTAGGATCCTTGAATCTTTAAGATTTCTGTTTCCCAAAACGAATTAAAAGCATGGGTTCTAATTAACTCTATTAAGAATTTGATTTCAGAGTTTTAGAAAAGTGGGAAATGCTTCATGCATTGCAAGCTGGAAAGGACTCAGGTGGGTCTCCCTCTCCTTGACCCAGAGAGCTTGGCCTCTGAGGGATTCTTCCTCCAGGCCAGGTTGCTCTTAGATGGAGGGAAGTCTAGTGTCACTTCAATGGAAGAAGAACGTGGGTTGGGGCATCAGGTCAGCCTGAGGTAAGTAGAGTCCAGCAGCAAGCCTGGCTCACAGCTGCAGAAGGGCACCTCCTGGGGCCACTGACAGCCTGATACCCTGAGCTCCCACCCTTGAGGGAGAACTGGGTTCATCTGGAAATGAGATAGATAATGTTTGACATCTATGGAGACTTTTCTGGCTCTGAAAAATATGCAGTAACTAATAGAGTACAGTTTGTTCATGCTCAAAAAATCTGGAAAAAATAAGTCTTTTCCCTTCTCTACATTTACACAAGTCCTCCTCGCTTAAAGAACATGTATTTATTATATTTATTTTTCACGCAAATTACCCAAAGCATTGGGGGTTAGTGAATGGAAAATAGCAATTTTTACTTTTCCTTTTTTGTCAAGGCCCGGTTTTGTATTCCAAACTAAAGAATGAATTTATAAAATGATGGTTGGTTGTCTGTGATAAGACTTCCTTCTGGTTTAATCAGGTGGGTCTTGGGGCTCAAACTGCCACAGGGAATCATACTTGAGTTAAAGACAGCCCAGGAAATTGTTTCCCCAATCTGGAGCATGCTACTGGCCCATTCATGATGGTCTCTGAGTATGGAACTTGGGCTAGTGACTGGGCACCAGCAGCTATTGAGTGCATGGGCTCAGGTCCCTGGTTCCCAGGTAAGTGAGTCTACCTTCCTGTATTATCAGTGAGGTGTGAAGTGTTTAGTAGCAGTATAGTGTAAACCAAATTTGTTTAGGAAGGCTTTGCATTGATAGGAAGTAATTGCTTACATAGTAGAAAAATCTAAACCAATGTCTTTTTTTAAAGATGTCAAAAATGGTGCGGCTGCTGATATAATATTTCTAGTGGATTCCTCTTGGACCATTGGAGAGGAACATTTCCAACTTGTTCGAGAGTTTCTATATGATGTTGTAAAATCCTTAGCTGTGGGAGAAAATGATTTCCATTTTGCTCTGGTCCAGTTCAACGGAAACCCACATACCGAGTTCCTGTTAAATACGTATCGTACTAAACAAGAAGTCCTTTCTCATATTTCCAACATGTCTTATATTGGGGGAACCAATCAGACTGGAAAAGGATTAGAATACATAATGCAAAGCCACCTCACCAAGGCTGCTGGAAGCCGGGCCGGTGACGGAGTCCCTCAGGTTATCGTAGTGTTAACTGATGGACACTCGAAGGATGGCCTTGCTCTGCCCTCAGCGGAACTTAAGTCTGCTGATGTTAACGTGTTTGCAATTGGAGTTGAGGATGCAGATGAAGGAGCGTTAAAAGAAATAGCAAGTGAACCGCTCAATATGCATATGTTCAACCTAGAGAATTTTACCTCACTTCATGACATAGTAGGAAACTTAGTGTCCTGTGTGCATTCATCCGTGAGTCCAGAAAGGGCTGGGGACACGGAAACCCTTAAAGACATCACAGGTAATGGCAACGCCACCAAGCTACGCCCTGCCCTGCTGTTCTTGGGAGATGAGCTTGGCAACTGCTGGCCTTAAAGCAACAGCTAGGATGGCGGGTGGGCCAGGGAAGAGATGAGTGTTCACAGGTTTAAAAACAAAGGTTTGATTTGGAATATTCTTCCATAGTCTTCTCCCCAAGTAGGGCATTCACCTACATACAAGAAGAGTCTTTTTTTAAACAACTAATATTTTCAGTCTAAAAAAACCCACATTCTAATATTATGATCCCACAAAATACCTCTGCCTTCCTTAGAAAAGAAAGCCTCAGAGTGGTGAGGTGTGCATCTGATCAAACTCCTCTATTTGGTGTTGGGATCTGTTTCCTTTAAGGAAAGCTCCCTGTTGGAGAGTGCGTGAACTGAGACGGGAGCGAGGGCATCTGTTTTTGTGTCCAGTGGACTAGCAGAGAGCTTCTCTCTTCTACTTTACGGAGTTAATTTAAGAGTGTTGGTAGAATCGGAATTACAAGAAACCTCAGCTATGATCCAGTCTAGATTGATTTTGGAAAAAATTTAGTCCTGAATGGTTAGTGACAGCCGGAGCTGGAGGCTGTGCATTTGGGCTGTGGGTCTGGTCTTCTTATTTCTTCTCCATGCGGTAATCATGGCTGTGCCCACAGAGACTCTTCTAATTCTAATGGAGTTGATGAGAACCACTCTGGAAGTATTGAGAGCACACGGACATTGCATCGATGTGTCATGTGCAGTTGCATGTACAGAGCTAATTGGCCGACAGGTTATTTAACCAGTTAAGCCTGTTAGCTCTCCTTCCAGGGCTAAGTGCCTAAATGGCCAATGGGGAAGGAATTTGACAAGTACAATTTCAAACTCTACCATACCACAGCAACTGTAATGAGTGCCCAGAGCTTACTCATCAGCGATGGGCAGAGCAGAGGGACCTCCCCTTGTTAGAAAATGAGTCCATGCAGCCATTTGATAGTTGGTAGCAGAGAATTCTGGGTGGAATGAGCAGGAAATGAGAGAGGAATCCAGGGGGAGAGTTGAGCTCCAGAAAGGAGACACACATGTTCTCTGAGATGGAGGGAAGGCATGAGAAAAGGGGCTGTGTTTCCAAGATATTCAGGTGGATAAGAGGCACATTGAGAGAGTTCAAGTTGAGTTGACATCCATCATCTCAATAAAGGAGGGAAGCAGTGGGGCTTGGGGGCTTGGAGGGATTGAAGTTATTTTTGATCAGCTGCTATAGGGATGTGAAGAGGGGTCACAAAACATTCAGGAAGCAACTGCTGATTTGAAGTGGCATCCAGTTGCTATCAGAGATTACAAGTCAGTGGGTGTCTCCATTAGTGTGGATCCCTGCCTTTCTGCAGATATCTCAGGCACTCCCAGGATCAAAGGAGTTCCCAGAACTGGAACTTGCAAAGAGGGAACAATAGAGAGGACAGAAGAAAATTTTCTCAGTAAGGAAATCCAGAGTGGTAGCTAGTAAATTCCTGAAACAGCCTGCCATGGTGTCCTAGCTGCATGGGGAGCTAATGAGAGCTGGAATGGGCCAGGAGACCTCTGAAGAGCCAGAGGATGAGAGGCCAGGTCTCGGAAGGAGAGTCCTGGAGACAGCTGAGTGTGCAAGTTGGAGACGCTGCTGGTGTGTAGACAGGGAGACCTCTGAGGGCCAATCGCGGGGCTGGAGGAGTTTCCAATGGTGCTCAGTGTGGTCCTCAGATGTGTAGGAACTATAGAGAGCCAGCCACTGCAGAAACCAGAGAGGGTGGTGCTCACAAAGGTTGTCCATACAGACCTTAAAGTCTGGAGATGACCACAGAGTCTGCAGTGTGAACGCAGGCTGAACATAATGTAACTAAATCATGTAGGAATGTTGGAGACTCTCTTCTGTGTATTTAGTAGGCATGAGGAAGTGGATAATTCTTTGAATCAAAAAAGAATGAGTGGGCAACCACATGGCATAGGGGAACTGATCATAGGAAGCAAGATTTATGAACAGATTTTTCTCCTACACTTTTAAAAATGGTTACCACCAAGATGGCCACTGGGACAGGAGGTAGGAGGTGAGGTGACTGATGGAGAGTCAGTCTCTTGTGAATACACATGGATGGTGGGGCAGGAAAAAGAGAGTTGAGGCTTGGAGGCACACATCACTCTACAGGACCACATCGGAGGGACAGCAGAAGAATTGCAAGATTGCAATCAGAATGCTGGAGCAGTTGCAGAGAAGCAGTACCAGATGTCAGTTTTTCATAACAAGGATTCAGAAAGCAGGAGCTGAAGAGAGATGACCCAACATCAGCAGAAAGGAACTAGCTGTCTTGAGCAGGCAGAACTTGATGAAGAAGAGGGTTTCAGAACTAGCCAGCTCCAGGGTGTTTCAGAAGTTTGTTCATAAAATGGTTTTCCCAGTGGTTACTCCTGATTTCAGCTTTAACGGGGCTGGCAGTGCTGATGCCCTTACCTGTGGGTCTGCTTCTCCATAGGAAAGAGTGAGAGGCAGTTCAAACACTGCAAAGTGTTCCCTGCTTCCAAATGACAGGCCTCACCCCTGGCATTACCACACAGGCATCAGTCCTGCCAAATGACAGGAAAAGCTGGGTGTCTCCAAGAGCACCCCAAACCAAACACTCAGGTTACCAGGAAATGACAAGAGGGTATCTACAATGAACTGCACTCCTCGCTACGATAGTCTCAGTATCATTAATTCCCTGATCCATCACATTTCGGAATATCGGGATAATAACAAAGACCTACCAAAAAATAGTGAAAGGGGCTCACGCCTATAATCCCAGCACTTTGGGAGGCTGAGACGGGAGGATCATCTGAGGTCAGGAGTTTGAGACCAGCCTGGTCAACATGGTGAAACCCCGTCTCTACCAAAAATACAAAAATTAGCCAGGTGTGGTGGTGGGCGTCTGTAATCCCGGGAGGCTGAGGCAGGAGAATCGCTTGAATCCAGGAGGTGGAGGTTGCAGTGAGCCAAATTTGTGACACTGCACTCCAGTCTGGGTGACAAGAGTGAAACTCTGTCTAAAACAAACAAACAAACAAACAAACAAACAAACAAACAAACAAACAGTGAAAGGGACCAGTAGAGAAATGGAACATCTTTTATTGACGTTTTGTTATACTCACAAAAATAGCTGAGTTTGCCTTTATGTTTAACCATTATGTAATGGACAAACAATGAGATTACCATAGTGAATGCTAAATGAAACTACCAACATCGTGTGTTTCCACACAGATGATAAAACCTTTGTTTTTATGCCAAGAAAGCATCTCTGTCTTCTAGTGTCCAAGCCACTAGCAGCACCAGGGCAGAAAATTAATCCATTCATGTGTCTTTTCTAATTAACATCACTCTGCAGTTCCTCCTAGTACCACGTCCCGCTGCATGTTCCACGGCAAAAACATAGGATAATAATCTTAGGAAGAACAGTACATCTCTGCTTATAGTTTTTTGGAAAGCCAGTTAGAAGAGCATTATAGAGATTGCTAATTAGTTAGGGCTGCCTCTTCTTACTACCTGTCTGCTGGGTAACTTCCCCATAGAGTGTTCTTGATTATAAAACACACATATGTGTAAAATATGAACGATCACCACTGTTGTCAATGAACTCTACTCAAATAATCAATCTCTAATGGTTGTGTTTTTAAAAATCCCTCTGTCATTCTTTAAAAAAATGAATATACCTGAGATATAAAACCTTTATTTTAAAACAAAAGCTAAAGGTGACAGGGAGGATTTTGGCATCAGCTTTCTTTTCTCTGTAAAGGATGAAGATTTTTAAAATTTGTAAAATATATATACAATTTTGTGTTTTACATAGGAAACAAGAATGGGAACTTGTTTTTCTTAATGAAAGGAGGCATCACATGAGCTAAGAAAGGCATTGTGCCCACACCAGTGAGCTCGGGAAAAGAGCTTCCAGGGATGTCAAAGGAAACTGTGAATTTTCCTTGGACACTGTAAAACTTTTCTGTAGAAAACACCACAGAGGATGTGATACATAAAGCATAGAAGCAGAAAACCAGACAATTTTAAAGCTTTTAAATTGTGCATAGATCTGATTCCTTGTAACATTAACATTGGTCATTGGTCCGCCTTGCTGTACACAAGCACACATGGCCCCTGTGTGCCCTTGAGGCTTCAGCTCTCTTGAATAACAAAGCATGCCCTTGTATGTCCCATTATTGTGTGTGTAAGAGGATAATGTTGTTATTCAGTGATGACAAATTATCCAACGTGTTTCTATGACTGGCCACTGTAGATGTTCAGTCTTTTACAAGAGAATGTTCAAGGATTTTCCCTCAGGGTCCATTTATCTTATTTGCATGACTATAAATTTCAACCCAAAAGTAAGTTACAAATGGAGAAGAAATAGTGTTATCCTGCGACTTAGGGATCATTTTTAAAAGCTTGACTGTATTGATCATATTTAATCCTTCTTTTAAACGTCTTGATATGCTGAGGAAGTGGCAAATCCTTCCGTGTCCTTTGAGGTCATTGGTTTAGGCCTGGGAAATGTTGAGGAATTTTGTGGAATTTGTGGAGCCTCTGTATTATGCAATGATGTAGGCCATTTCTATGGCCTTCTGTGTAATTCACACCCCCTGGCACCACACTCTCTTGAAGATCCTTCAGGAATCTTATATTTTGGCTGAACAGTGGCAAATGCTTTGGGCCCTAATCAAGGGCCTAGTCTTATATAAAACTTTTGTGTGGCAATTACTAAAAACACAAGATCTTAATTACTGTAGCACAACAATTATCCTACTCATTGTATCTTATAAGAAGGATTGTGATAGCAATGTTGCCAGGTTAATATATTTCCCTATGCAAAGAATTAATCTGCAAATATATTGTTAGGAACTTTCTTGTATATTAGGAAGGGAAGAGGGCAGTTCCGAACCTGGCAATCTCTGTTTCAGTTCACACAATGAGAAGAGCTTGGGTAAGAATGTAATTTCACTAGAGCAGAACTCTTCAATTTTGTGAGACAAGCTTTGGATCCTTTTCTACAGTGAGAACAAAAACAATTTTGTTGGCACAAGGAAACATTAATTTTAAATATAAAATGTTCACTGTCATTGAAAAGATCAGAGATCAGAGTGAATGGTCTTACCTATAATATTACCATCATTTAAAAATGATACCCTGAGTGTAGTTTTCTGGAATCCCAGAATATAAATAGATAAGCTCAAGCTCACATATAATCTCTTCTTGTCCCTAACACATACTCAAGTTATCAAAAACATCGACTAGAATAATTGTGCTCCTCCTTGAGTTTAAATCAGCCAAATTTAAACATTCGAACTGATGCTGTGAAATCTCTGGCCCTGACTTTTAGATTTCTCGATCCCTATTCCTCCCTCAGGGCTGCTATATAACCCCGTTCTCAGCATCAGGTTGGGAATTCTCTGTTTGCCATTATGGGGGAGAGAAGAGGTCTTGGTCAGCTGTTTTTCTGCCCTTTGTATAACCCCAGGCTAATTCTAATCAGGGTTTATTCGATGCTCATGGTCCTTCTAGGTAACTAGTTTAGGATGTCATAAAAACAAGGTTGGATAATTATGTCATGACCGGTTTCATATCACTCTGCTTAACATTGTTCTGCATTAAGTGACTGAATATAGAGGCAATGACAAAATAAATGAACAAAACATCCTGCCCAATCCCAGACCTGCATTTGAGTTTTATGCAACTAAACATCATTTGAGAAAAAAGAACAACAAAAATTTCATCAAAGTATTTTTTACATGAAAACTTTAAATGTAGTTTGAGTTCTGATTCACGAAGTTGCATGTACAAGGTCATTTTGGTTTTTAAAGAAAAGAGAAGAAACAATAGTTTCTGAAGGCATCCAGCAACATACTGGGTTGAGGAATCACCAAATCGTGACTCTGTTTTGTAGCTGTGGATTTGTATAAAAAATTATTCTAATCATTTGAGGAGGCAGGAGAAATGACCAAAAATTAGAAATCATCTCTAAAGTTTTGGTAACCTACTCATTGATTTTCCCTGGTAGGTTTGGTAGTGGACAATTCATGCTACTACTTTTCCCTCCAAATTTAGTGGAAATTTCTAGAATATGTACCCAAGATTGTCCCCTCAGAAAAGTGAATATGATGTTTGGAAATTTAACTATGAGGATGGCACAAATGAAAAATTGCTATAAATGTCCCTTTTTTACACCATGATTTCTAAGAGGTTGCCTCTTATCCATTCAGAATGCAGAACTGAAAGAGAATTTCACATTCCTTCATCAACATGTGTTTTGTTTGCCCATATTTCGTGTTTCTTATTGGTTTCCAAAGAAACATGTCAGAACACTGAATAATGCATGTGGTCACTTGTTCTAATGCTTTCACATTTTTTGCATTTCTTTCTTTTAAAGCACAAGACTCTGCTGACATTATTTTCCTTATTGATGGATCAAACAACACCGGAAGTGTCAATTTCGCAGTCATTCTCGACTTCCTTGTAAATCTCCTTGAGAAACTCCCAATTGGAACTCAGCAGATCCGAGTGGGGGTGGTCCAGTTTAGCGATGAGCCCAGAACCATGTTCTCCTTGGACACCTACTCCACCAAGGCCCAGGTTCTGGGTGCAGTGAAAGCCCTCGGGTTTGCTGGTGGGGAGTTGGCCAATATCGGCCTCGCCCTTGATTTCGTGGTGGAGAACCACTTCACCCGGGCAGGGGGCAGCCGCGTGGAGGAAGGGGTTCCCCAGGTGCTGGTCCTCATAAGTGCCGGGCCTTCTAGTGACGAGATTCGCTACGGGGTGGTAGCACTGAAGCAGGCTAGCGTGTTCTCATTCGGCCTTGGAGCCCAGGCCGCCTCCAGGGCAGAGCTTCAGCACATAGCTACCGATGACAACTTGGTGTTTACTGTCCCGGAATTCCGTAGCTTTGGGGACCTCCAGGAGAAATTACTGCCGTACATTGTTGGCGTGGCCCAAAGGCACATTGTCTTGAAACCGCCAACCATTGTCACACAAGGTATGTATCCTCTTCTCACCATCTGTGTGGGAGTGGGGTGTTGTGTGTGTTGGTTTACATAGACGTAAGGTGGGTACCAGCATGATTCGCCACGGGAGAAGCTGTAAGTACCCACAGTCCAGTCCTTCCCTGATGAGCTGGGTCCTGGATGTCATGTTTGTGATGTCATGTGTGCGGAAAAACTAAAGACCAATGAGTGAGTGAAAGCTCTTACGAGAGTATGAGTTGCTGAGAAAGCGTGCTTTTAAGGCTAATTCAACAAACCTGTTGCTTTGAGATTATTAAACATCACCGTATTAACTACTTATAATCCAGTCTTCCTAAAAATGGGCTTGAGGGGCTCATTACAGTTCTGAGAAAGTTACTCCAGGACTATGGCATTGAGCTCTAAAAGTCAGTGTTAGAAGTGTGCTCATAGACAGAGTATCTTTCCAAAAGCAAAGATGGAGTGAGGGTGTCTCCTCAAAGTCATTTTGTGCTAGGGTGCTGAGAGTTATACTTCTGAAGGTAAGAAATAACAGTGTAATCACTTGATGAAATATTTATGAAGTTTTTTTTTTCTTGTGCTTGTGAAGTGTAGGAGTAATTCTCCTGAGTGGCAATATTAGGATACAAGCTCAAATGGAGGGCCTTTGGCAAAACAGCCAATTGGAGTGGTTTAAAAAACAAAAAAACCAACCAAGTCACATAACAAATATGCACTTAACAAACATAGGAGGTATGGTGGGGGCATCAGGATGCATAGCCTCCTCTACCTTTTGAACTGTTTTCTGAGACATCAGTCACTTTTCAGACCTATCAATTTCATTACCTAGGTCAGGCCAATAGGATGCCATTTGGTAAATCAGGGACACAGTGGCCCCCAACAGTTTCCAGAAACACCCAACTCACTTCCAGTGTTGCTTACACACTGGGATGCTCTAATGAGATTAGTCCTTGACTATAAGACCTTATTCTTCATTTTCCTTCCAGAGTATGGGCTCAATGAAAATTGGTGAATGGATACCGAGGCTCCTATAAGACTCTGATTATCATCTGCAACCAATCATCTAAATTTTCTTGGGTGAAATAACACATTGTTACAACTCTTATTTGCTAACTTTATAAATAAAGTCTGGGTCTACAAGATAAATATTGTAATAAGATACTGCTTTACCCATTGTATCAATTACAATTGATCAAGGGAGGTTTTCCTTTGATAAAGGAGTGAAAATAATTTAAAAATAACCATTTTGGAGAATATGCCATTGTATGAAATTAAGAGTAGAAGATTTTAAAGTCTTAATTAAAAACATCACTATCTATTTATTTAAGGAGCTGACCTCTACTTAATAGTGCCTTGCTAATCATTAGTTCTAGTTGCTGCATTCATGTAAAGGCAACACACCACATTTCCTTACAAGGGTTACAAAATTCACACTGAGTTAGATTGAACTTGCCTCAAATGATTTTAAACCACAGCTTTTGTTGTAATAAAAATTACAGGTAGAAAGCTCAGGCTATGGCATCTCTACTTAATCTGTGCATTGGAACTGTGACCAGGTGATGTAGCAAGAAAAGTATATGTGAGTGTTGCCTTCTGGAGAAGGCTGTGTCTGGCATTTATTTAAGTTTGAAAGGTCAATTCTGTGTGGCTTAGCTTTTGCTGCATACAGTTTTCCAGCTTTTCCTCTCACTTGATGGGACCATAAAATTGGCCCAAATCCTCCAGATGAGCTAATAGAGAGACTAGAATTTTGAAAATAATGTTCTGAATGCAAATGGACATTGAGAAGCAATGGAAACAGTGTACAGGACTACATGCCCGGTGCCTGGAGCTGCTCATGCTCATTCCATCATGGTGCCGTTTTGTGACTCTGGCAATTAAGAAAACAATCAAGTGAAAATTTATGACCTGCTGAGGTTTCTCTGAGCTTGCATACTATTGGTGTGCATCCCAAAGTATAGAAGCCCAGAGATTTCCCTATGTTTTGCAGACACCGACGATGCAACATGGCTGTAGATGGGAAAGCTGGTCTCTGGTCTTGGGTCTTCTGTGGACCTGCCATGTGATCCTGGGCAGGTCATGCAACCTCTCTGGGTTTCGATTTCTTGAATTTATGACAAAGGAGTTGCACCAGATGAAGATATGTCTGTACCAGGAGAAGTTTCAACTTTTTAATGAAAATGGGCAGCACATGACCCTTGTTTCAGATTTTCCCTAGCCAAGTAGAGTTTCAACCCCTTGATTACAAACATCATGTTTAATATCAATGATTAACTTGTAAATATTCAACAAATATCCTTGACTATCTGGCATGTGCCAGACACTATGCCAAGCACTAGAGATATGGTGCTGTTTAATGAGACAGATGTGGCTGCTCGTCTGTTACAGGATAATGGGGAAAGAGACAATAATAATATAAACTAGTGACCAGGCAAAATATTCTGAGCATGATAAGTTGCATTGGGGCATTCAACAGGGCTGTGATAGGAAGACTGGGGAAGGGAATTTTAGATCAGGTGGATGGAAGGCCCTGAGAAGGTGTGGAACCGAAGGCAGATGAGCATGCGGAGAGCAGGGGGAAGAGTGGTCCAGGCAGAAGGAAGAGCAGGAGGGGTGGCCCTGCAACAAGAAGGCACTTAGTCCCTTCCCAGAACTGTCAGAAGGCAGTGTAGCTGGAGCACACTGGACAGGGAGCCTGAGGTTCAGACTCCCTGGATGCATGGAAGCTGGAGAAGCAGCTGCTGTAGGGGGATGAGAAGCCACAGGGAGTGGAGCCTGTGGGTTGGGAGCCAATGGCAGAGGAAGGTAGGCTGTGGGTTAGTGGTGGGGGCAGGGGCTCTCCTCTGAGGGCTTCTATTTTCTCAGAGACAGATGAGGAGGCCTTGGAGGCAGTGGCAGAGGGCTGAGCAGAGAGCACAGCCATGAGACAGTCATTCTGGAGGACAGGACAGCCAACTTCCCAAGGAGGCATGGGAGGATGGTGGGCAGGCACAGGTCTCCTGATGGGGGTCTGGAGTTCCGAGCGTGGCATGCAGGTACCTTGTTGTGTGGTCTTCTCCAGGAATGTCCACTGCTTGGGTGATGCATGAGGAAGACTGTGGGCCTGATGGAGGCTTTCAGGAGAGTCTGATGGAGGTGCAGGGATGAGGCATGGAGGAAAACAGAGAGAGGCGTGGGAGGAGGGCTGAAGAGGGTTGTGCCATGTTGGTGAGGAGTAGCAGGACCTTCAAGTTCATCTCCCAACAAGGCAGTGAAGTCAGGCCCTGCAGAGCCACATTAAAGAGATAAGACAGCTGTGTTTGGGTTGATATTTATGTCAAGTGGAAGGAAATGCGTATGCATCCCTGACGTGGCTCACAGAAGAGTCAGCTGTGAGAATCCCAAGGTTTTTATCACTGGGTCAGAGGAGATTCATGGTGCAGCCCCCAGAGAAATGAAATGATTCTGCAAAGCCTAGGTGAATTGCGTCAGAGTCATGAAGCAAACATAGGAATTCAGTTATTCTTCCAGTTACTCAATATTTTTCAGTGTTTACTATATTTGGCTAAGCATGGTTCTAGGCATATCATCTGTCATGAGCTCCCATGACTTGAATAAAAATCAAACGTAAATGACCTCTTACCTAATCAAAGGGGACTCTGGGACAGAGCCTCTGGGAACCAGAGGTGCATTTCAGGGTTCCCAGAGCTGAATCCTTGTTGGGTGCAAGGAGACTAGGCCACTTGTTTCATTAGATCTAGAAGGTATTCCTTCCCGCTGGCTCATCGGGAGAACTTTTAGTGATGCAGTGGTAGGGGGAGGGAAAACGTGGGAGGGTAGGGGATGATATTTATCTTCTCCCACCCCAAGAGTTGTGCCATTGCTGGTACTTATAAAGAAGAATATAACAATCTGGGCCACTTGGTATAGGAGCAAGTAGCTTCTCAGGTCATTGTTATATGAGTATTTGTCTATTTTTCTGTCATGTGTGATATACATAGTAAATACATGAGTGGTAGATTCATGGTATAGCATATATGGAATTTATATGTGTCTATATACGTGTATGTGTGTATCTATATACATATATATTCTCTCTAATGGTACAAAGGTATAAGTCTTCTAGAGATCTACACATTAGTTTTATCTGCAAAGATATTTTAAATCAAAATGAAGGGGTAGCCCAGAGAGACAGCATGTTCTAAATTAAATGAAGGAAGGAAAGCCCAGAATGGATGTTCATAACAATGACCATGAAATATTGAGAAAAGGTTCAATGATGTTCTGCACACATTGTTACACCAGTAGGCAACTGTGTTATTGTATTAAGGACGTTGGTGCATAACATGTTACCCTTCTCTTAGAACATAGACCTTGTCTTGATGCTACAGGTGAGCACCCAGATGAGGCACTGCTGTCTTCATTTGGCATGTATCAGCGATTCTCACCCCAGGCATCACGCTCCCAGCTTCTGGTCCAAACAACTAGAAATGAACTGCATTTCAAAAATGTGTTCTAGGCTGGATGTGGTGGCTCACCCTTGTAATCCCAGCACTGTGGGAGGCTGAGGCAGGTGGATCACTCAAGGTCAGGAGTTTGAGACCAGCCTGACCAGCATGGTGAAACCCCATCTCTACCAAACAAAACAAAACAAAACAAAAATTAGCCGGGCGTGGTCGTGCATACCTGTAATCCCAACTACTCAGGAGGCTGAGGTGGGAGAATCGCTTGAACCCAGGAAGCGGAGGTTGCAGTGAGCTGAGATCATGCCACTGCACTCCAGCCTGGGTGATAGAGTGAGATTCTGTCCTAAAATAAAAATAAAAATAAAAATATGTTCTAGAAGGTAGCTCTGATTCTTAGAAAGTTCTTCCTTACCTTCATCCCAAACTTTGTTTCCTTTGTCTGCTTTTACAAAATCAACTTGCCATGCAATCTATCTGATGGAATACAGTAACAGAGGACTCTTTTGCAAAACAGTCCATCTCAGGTTTAATCATTTATGTTCCTCTACTTCTTGGAATCTCTGTCAGGTTTTTGGGTTAGGTGTTGTGGTCTTAACAGAGTTCATGGTTCTTGCAATATGGGCAGGGTGCCTGCACATGGATACAGCAGTTCACAGTCACTGTGAGACAGTTATCTTATTGAGATGTTTTTGCTTTATGGTTTGCCTTTAAGTTATCACTGTCATATTACTTAGGATCTTTAAAAACAGGTTTTTTGTTTTTTTTTTGGAGATGAAATCTCACTCTATCACCCAGGCTGGAGTGCAGTGGTGCAATCCCGGCTTACTGGAACCTCCTCCTTCCAGGTTCAAGTGATTCTCATGCCTCATCCTCCTGAGTAGCTGGGATTACAGGTGTCTGCCCCCACGCTCGGCTAATTTTTGTATTTTTAGTAGTGATGGGGTTTCCCCTTGTTGGCCAGGCTGGTCTTGAGCTCCTGAACTCAGATGATCCACCTGCCTCAGCCTCCCAAAGTGCTGGGATTACAGGCGTGAGCCACTGTGCCTGGCCAAAACGCAGGTCTCTTAAGTGAAAAATGTTTGCGGCACTTGCTGGCTTTGATGCTGATTTCCTTTTTATACGTTTTATGTTAAGTAATTCTTTCGTCTGTCAAATGAAGACAGGGAATATAGAACTGAAGAGAACAGGGATGTGCAGGCTCTTTCAGCTTTTGCACTTGACAATGAGCATTTTGAAATGAAGACTGTGAGGCAAAGGGTTCTCTGAGCAGACATCAGTGGTTTCTTTAATTATTCAAGCAATGACTTCACTCTGGCCAAGTTGTGTATTTACGGCAGAAGAGAACTTATTGAATTTTCAGTGACAGCATACAAAACAGGTGGCTACTAAAACTAAATTTGTTTTTGTGCAACTATTTTGTAAAAAGTACTGACTGGGCAGGGTGGAAGGTGAGCCAGCTTTCCTCCAGCAGGTGGGGAGGCAACCATAACTTATGTGTTCATTAGGACAAATTCCCTTTGGGGTGGCCCTGTGGTCACGTTGGCCACAGTAAATGAGGGTGTCCTTTAAATGGAGTTAGCTTTGTTGAAAGTCATTGTTGATTGTGCTTGGTAAGGCCATTCTAATTGCCTTATAATGTTGCCACCTACAGTCATTGAAGTCAACAAGAGAGACATAGTCTTCCTGGTGGATGGCTCATCTGCACTGGGACTGGCCAACTTCAATGCCATCCGAGACTTCATTGCTAAAGTCATCCAGAGGCTGGAAATCGGACAGGATCTTATCCAGGTGGCAGTGGCCCAGTATGCAGACACTGTGAGGCCTGAATTTTATTTCAATACCCATCCAACAAAAAGGGAAGTCATAACCGCTGTGCGGAAAATGAAGCCCCTGGACGGCTCGGCCCTGTACACGGGCTCTGCTCTAGACTTTGTTCGTAACAACCTATTCACGAGTTCAGCCGGCTACCGGGCTGCCGAGGGGATTCCTAAGCTTTTGGTGCTGATCACAGGTGGTAAGTCCCTAGATGAAATCAGCCAGCCTGCCCAGGAGCTGAAGAGAAGCAGCATAATGGCCTTTGCCATTGGGAACAAGGGTGCCGATCAGGCTGAGCTGGAAGAGATCGCTTTCGACTCCTCCCTGGTGTTCATCCCAGCTGAGTTCCGAGCCGCCCCATTGCAAGGCATGCTGCCTGGCTTGCTGGCACCTCTCAGGACCCTCTCTGGAACCCCTGAAGGTATGGTGGTGATGGCTTCAGACACACAATGGGGTGGTCTCCAGGCAGGGCCTTTAAGAACAAAACAAAATGAAGTGTGTTTGTGTTTAGCTAAGAGACAACAAATGATGAAAACAGCAGCAACGAACATGATTTATTCCAGGTTTCCTTTTGCACTGGGTTCAGGATTGTATGGTTTACAATGTCATGCAATGAAATTTCATATAAGAACCATATGATTTAAACCACAGGACCATGGGCCACCACCTGTCTTTGAAGCTTCTGGCCGAGGAGGTCACATCTCAGTTCTTATCGCTTGTCAGATCCCTGTGTTCTTCTGTTTCTACTGGTGATTTCTGTCCAGTCTCCTCCTCATCACCAGGATGTAGCTTTCCTTTCCTGAGTTGTCCATCTACTTCTAAACAGCCCCAGTCTGAGCTGTTTAGGGCACAGTGTCCTCAGCTTTTAATCCCTCTCTTCTCTCTCGTTAAGGGATTACCCTCAATGGGAAAGCATATTGAATGGCTAAGTGTGGAGTTCAAACCTAGTGGTTCTTCAAATCCCTCATTTAATATGATTGCCAGTGGAGAGTTATTTTTAAAGACATTATACAGATCTATGAGCTAATGAGTTGAAGAAATACAATTCACTGCCCTTAATGAAGAGAAGATGAGCATCACAGAATGATGCTTTCCCACCTTGCAGACTCGATCACTAGAGGATTGCCTGATGCAGGCATGACCCATGCTGCCTGGATGCATGCTTTCTCTTCACACTCCCTGGTCTTCTATATCCATCTCTTTCTCTCTCTTTTAAAATTTTTCTTAAAACTTTTAATCCACACTTTCATAGCCAAAGTTCAACTTAGGATACAATTAGTTGTGAGGTCTAAATTACAGTAGGGCATCAGGGAAGAAATAAAAAATAAAATTTTAAAGGCACATGGTAAATGTGTTGGGTCAAATACACTATTTTGAGAATTATACTTTTTATTCTTGATGTGTATAAGTTTGGCCAAGCCTAGCAACTAGTCTCCTTCTATTTTGCTGTGTATTTACGGTCCCATCATCTCACTTTGGGGGAATTCCCCTGTTGGATGATTGCCTAGCAAGACTGTGACTTCCTAATAGGAGAAGAGTCCCAGTGGAGAATGACAAACGGGGAAGTCTGAAGAAGACTTCAATATGAGACCAGCCTACTTTTGCTATTTTTTTTAGCCTTAAGGAACTCGTTTTCTCAGGTTAGTGAGGGCTAACTGCTTCTGAGCTATGGATGGAAGACCCTCTGTTTGTGGGTAGAGGTGAGCCCCAGAGGATCCAGCCAGGCAAACTTAAACCTGGCTGGGATGAGTGATATGGACTGATGCAGCACCTTCATAGTATTCATTTTTAGGGAAGGAGTGTTTGGTTTCAAGGATTCTGATCACTTTTGTTGTCTGTAAACATTCTAACTTTGATGTTGTAGCTCTCTTTGAGCCAACTTGGTTTTGTAAACTCGGCTACCAATATGTCTCACAAACACCAGCCACCACCAGAGGAAAATATGCAGCCATCTGCCATATTTTACAAGATGGACATGCTTTGCCATGCTGACTTTCTCTGTGTTCTAAATGTTGGCATGTGTGCACGTGTTGTAGGCACACATGATAAAACTCTCCGTGGTTGTGTATGTCTCACTTTTTTTTCTGTGCTTCACTGCAGTTCACTCAAACAAAAGGGATATCATCTTTCTTTTGGATGGATCAGCCAACGTTGGAAAAACCAATTTCCCTTATGTGCGCGACTTTGTAATGAACCTAGTTAACAGCCTTGATATTGGAAATGACAATATTCGTGTTGGTTTAGTGCAATTTAGTGACACTCCTGTAACGGAGTTCTCTTTAAACACATACCAGACCAAGTCAGATATCCTTGGTCATCTGAGGCAGCTGCAGCTCCAGGGAGGTTCGGGCCTGAACACAGGCTCAGCCCTAAGCTATGTCTATGCCAACCACTTCACGGAAGCTGGCGGCAGCAGGATCCGTGAACACGTGCCGCAGCTCCTGCTTCTGCTCACAGCTGGGCAGTCTGAGGACTCCTATTTGCAAGCTGCCAACGCCTTGACACGCGCGGGCATCCTGACTTTTTGTGTGGGAGCTAGCCAGGCGAATAAGGCAGAGCTTGAGCAGATTGCTTTTAACCCAAGCCTGGTGTATCTCATGGATGATTTCAGCTCCCTGCCAGCTTTGCCTCAGCAGCTGATTCAGCCCCTAACCACATATGTTAGTGGAGGTGTGGAGGAAGTACCACTCGCTCAGCCAGGTAAACCTCCCCTGTTGCCGGGAACTCCCTCTCCTTCCTCAGACACCACCCTGGAGGGTAGTTTGCCAGTCTGAACTCAAGAGCACTGTGGACTGTACAAAGACAATTGGCTCCCTTCCATTGAAATAGTTTGAATGGGGACTTGAGACACTGTACCAGCAAGGCTGGACTCTGTCTAAAGGGTGTTCACGAAGGAAAGTCTAGAACATCCAGCTTATGTTCTGTCCATTTTGCCTCACCCTTTATTCAGAAGGATTTTTTTTCCTCTAATGACTGTGAGGATTCTGGAGTTCGAATCCAGATTTGGGGATCATGGGGTGGAGGGAGACAGAGAGAGATTTTTCTTACATGAATATGCCTTGGGATTATTTAAACGTTGAAATTGTATTTTTACATGATTTTTAAATGTTCAACATCTGCTGTATCTAGAAAATTATTTGTTATAAAACAAACAAAGGGTGCATCTTCATGCAATGGTAAAATGGTTTCTAGGGGAAGGCTAACTTATTATTATTATTGCAAATTATTATGGTGGTAAGATATGGTTGTATCAGATCTACCAGTCTGCTAACATCACACAGATGAATGGCAAGACTAAACCAATTGAAACCTAATCAAAATAGTTCTAAGAACTGTTTTAACTGAGAATGTTATTTACATTACACATTGCGGTGCCATAGGGCCTGTCATCTGTGTTTCCTATTGTCTCATTACAACAGATTGGGAAGCATTGACAAGGAGCCTGACCCACACAGCAGTAATGGGCACTATTGTGGGTCTTGGCCCGTAACCTCAAATTTAATGATTTGATCATTCAATTACAGCAGATTCATGGCAACCCAGTTATCTTTGAGTGGTTGACCCATATCAGCCCCCCCTTTTTTTTTCTAGAGATTGAGATCAATTTTTTTAAGCAAAGGTATATTAAGGGCCATGTTTTCAATACTTTTATTTGTAACAGTTTGAAACTGCTGTCTGTTTTCCTGGAGCGATTGCCACCTGATGTAAGAACACAACCCAGTGGGGCTTTTCCCTGGCTTGCTTTATTGAAGAAGCATGATGCTAGATGGGATAGGCTGTTCTAGTTACTAGCTTTGCAAATATGCACTGATTTGAAATAGGACATTTTCAAGACAAGTGGTATGAATTTGGGTTTTCTCTTCTCTTGCTGGCACAGTGGTCATCAGATGAGTTTCACCAACTCCTGTTGTCAAATGGTGCTGGGCTGAAGTCGCTTTGGTTCCTGTTATGCTCTCGTCCCTCATTGTATCCTAATCTACCTTCATTGCAGAGAGCAAGCGAGACATTCTGTTCCTCTTTGACGGCTCAGCCAATCTTGTGGGCCAGTTCCCTGTTGTCCGTGACTTTCTCTACAAGATTATCGATGAGCTCAATGTGAAGCCAGAGGGGACCCGAATTGCGGTGGCTCAGTACAGCGATGATGTCAAGGTGGAGTCCCGTTTTGATGAGCACCAGAGTAAGCCTGAGATCCTGAATCTTGTGAAGAGAATGAAGATCAAGACGGGCAAAGCCCTCAACCTGGGCTACGCGCTGGACTATGCACAGAGGTACATTTTTGTGAAGTCTGCTGGCAGCCGGATCGAGGATGGAGTGCTTCAGTTCCTGGTGCTGCTGGTCGCAGGAAGGTCATCTGACCGTGTGGATGGGCCAGCAAGTAACCTGAAGCAGAGTGGGGTTGTGCCTTTCATCTTCCAAGCCAAGAACGCAGACCCTGCTGAGTTAGAGCAGATCGTGCTGTCTCCAGCGTTTATCCTGGCTGCAGAGTCGCTTCCCAAGATTGGAGATCTTCATCCACAGATAGTGAATCTCTTAAAATCAGTGCACAACGGAGCACCAGCACCAGGTATGGTAGAGAAATGCTAGTTGCTCTGCCACTCAGTTCTCTAATGCATGAGTTGAGGGTAGGCTGCTGGCCACTGGTCCTTAGATAGAAGCCCTCCTTGAGTTTACAGGAAAGGTGGAAAATTAATCACCTGCTGGTTTCAGCAGGAACAATAGAATATGAGATGTCCCTCCTTACTTTGATTCTCTAGCTGCTCTCTCAGGAGAATGAGGGTGAGTATTTTTAAGGGCATTAGATTATTTCATAGTAAGACATGTTATAAAGATTTAGATATCAGTGGTTAAAATCCTTTTTTAAAAACAGTTTTTATGGTATGCATAATAAAAGCCATATCATATGGTTACATTGTACCTAAAACAGCCTTCATCTTCATATTCACCCAATGCCTTTATATTGTTATAATTCCTTCATTACATTCATTAAAAATTAAAGGAGTAGAAGAGGTAGATAACTTTCCACCATAAACTCTGCATTAAAATCCCCCAACTGCTAATTGACACTGCCATGACTTTTCATTTAACCCCTTTAATTTAGTGATAAAAATGCAGTGAAGAGAGTAATTTCCCCTGTATGCCTTTTGATGAAAAATGAAGACTCCAGAGCCTCTCCTTTGATTACTGGGCCCATTGGCCGTTGGCTTGGGATGGTAACTCCGACATCTGGGTTCCGTTTCCTCCCATTAACCCACTTGTGACTTGCAGCAACTCAATTGAAACCTCCCATCGATAAAATGCTAGTGGTTGTGCAGGTGCTGCCATCTCATGTCTCTCCTCCCATCCCAAGTTTTTTCTTGAATACATCTTTGAAAGCTAACAATACTCTTCAAGCATTGAAAAGTTCCAAAATAAAAGGGGTCCCTATATTGGTGTATTAGTTTCCCATTGCTGTTATAACAAAGTAACACAAATTTAGTGGCCAAAAACAAAACAGGCCGGGTGCGGTGGCTCACACCTGTAATCCCAGCACTCTGGGAGGCCAAGGCGGGCCCATTGCCTGAGGTCAGGAGTTGGAGACCAGCCTGACCAACATGGTGAAACCCTGTCTCTACCAAAAATACAAAAATTAGCTGGGTGTGGTGGCGGGTGCCTGTAATCCCAGCTACTCTGGAGGCTGAGGCAGAAGAATCACTTGAACCCGGGAGGCGGAGGTTGCAGTGAGCTGAGATTGCGCCACTGCACTCTAGCCTGGGCGACAAGAGCGAAATTCTGTCCACCCCCCGACCCCTCCACTGCAAAACAAAAACAAAAACAAAAACAAAAATCCTTATTATCTGACAGTTTTGAAGGCTGGAAATTGGAAACCAGTGTTGCTAAGCTAAAATCAAGGTGTCAACAGGCTGTGTTCTTTCTGCAGGTTCTAAGGGATTCTTCATCTGCTCACCTTTTCCAGCCTCCAGGGGCTGCCTGCATTCCTTGCCTCCTGGCCCCATCCTCCATCCTCATTGCCAGCAGCTTGGCACTTTCTCTCCTCTCTGACTTCTGTTTCCATCCTTACATCTTCTCTCTAACTCTGACCCTCTTACCCCCTCTTATAAGGACACTTGTGATTGATTACATTGGGCCCACCTGGCTAATTCCAGGGTAATCCCCCCATCCCCAAATCCTTACCTGAATCACATCTGCAAAGTCCTTTTCTCAAGTTCGGGGATTTGGACTTGGACATCCCTGTGATGCTCTTATGCAGCCCACCTCGTTGATATGAAATTGCTGCTCTGATGTCCTGTGTGAGTTACCAGGCTGTCCTCCTCCCAGTTTCAGGTGAAAAGGACGTGGTGTTTCTGCTTGATGGCTCTGAGGGCGTCAGGAGCGGCTTCCCTCTGTTGAAAGAGTTTGTCCAGAGAGTGGTGGAAAGCCTGGATGTGGGCCAGGACCGGGTCCGCGTGGCCGTGGTGCAGTACAGCGACCGGACCAGGCCCGAGTTCTACCTGAATTCATACATGAACAAGCAGGACGTCGTCAACGCTGTCCGCCAGCTGACCCTGCTGGGAGGGCCGACCCCCAACACCGGGGCCGCCCTGGAGTTTGTCCTGAGGAACATCCTGGTCAGCTCTGCGGGAAGCAGGATAACAGAAGGTGTGCCCCAGCTGCTGATCGTCCTCACGGCCGACAGGTCTGGGGATGATGTGCGGAACCCCTCCGTGGTCGTGAAGAGGGGTGGGGCTGTGCCCATTGGCATTGGCATCGGGAACGCTGACATCACAGAGATGCAGACCATCTCCTTCATCCCGGACTTTGCCGTGGCCATTCCCACCTTTCGCCAGCTGGGGACCGTCCAACAGGTCATCTCTGAGAGGGTGACCCAGCTCACCCGCGAGGAGCTGAGCAGGCTGCAGCCGGTGTTGCAGCCTCTACCGAGCCCAGGTACGCAGGGAACTCTTTGCATCCTCACTCAGTGTCATTGTCTGGGGCTACTTGTCTGGACTGTGGGCCACAAGGTGTTCTCAATTTTGCTTTTCCTGCCATGTGAAGTGAAAACTAAAATTACAGGAAAATTTAGGAACCCACATGCCCTTTTTGGCCTCGATGGGCAGAAATGGCAGAGGTTCAAGGGGGGAGATGCTAAGATTCATGTTTTGGGGCAAATTAAATTCTCCAAAAGGGACATATGTGCAGCTTGGAATTCAGGACTCCTTAACTTTGCATGAAAGCTTCTGTCTAGATATCCAAAGGGAGGGGCCGTCTAACTGATAACGCCTGTTGCGTATCAGTCCTGCGACCCCTGGTAGGTTTGGTCAGCAGCCTTCTGTGAGGCAGGAAGGAGTCTGACCAGGGACACTCTGCAAGCTGGGACATAGACTCTGAAATATTGGTATCTCCAGAGCCAAGGTGTGAAGATAATTTTGACTTTGCTTGGTGCTGAGAAGTGTCTTAACTGGCAGGAAGGCCACCTGGCTCTTATGACCATAGTTTATTCTATTTTCTTTTTCCTGTTCCCTCTTTCTAGGCCTGGTACAATAAACTAAAAAATGGTGGGAGCCCTGGTGCTGAGAAGGAAGGAGGAAAGATATATCTACCTCTCAATAAATGTCCTCCAAGGGCCACTCTCCCGGGTCACTCGGGTGGGGGGGGTTCACAGTGGCGAAGGAGGCAGATGCGGCCTTGCTCCCTCATATGCACTCACTTGCCTGCTCTTCCAAGAGGAGAGAAAAGAAGGAAAGTTGGGGAGGAGCGGAGGAAGGAGTAAAAGCAAGTGAAAGGAAATCACTGCAGGATACAGTGGGTGATGAGGGAGGTGAGGATGATTATTTGGGTGCAACTGAGAGGGGCTTGGTTTCTCCTCGCTGGTGCCTGGGGAAGAGAGCAGTGTGGCCCACCAGGTTTCTGTGGGATGTTCCTGAGCATTTATGATCAGGTAAATTTGGGCAACAGTGGGATAAACAAAGTGAAAGAGGCTTTCTTTCTTCCTAACTAAGGCGCTTTGTGTGTCTCCAACACAAGAAAGGAAATGCAACATTTCCAAAATGTATCTGCCTGCAGGAGGCCTCTGTGATGCTGTGTCTTGGCCCCAGATTGCCGAGGATGGACTTTGGGAATATTGTCACAGTGCGGGTGCAGCTTCTGTTGTCAGGAACGTACATTTCCACAACGCTGTGGCTCTTTGCCCACTCACTCTCCTGCGCTCCAGAACAGCCTCCCTCTTTCCCCCTTCTCCCCATTCGGAGGCTTCTCTCACACCTCTCCTGACCCACCTGACTCTCAGCTGGTAATCTTGAGTCCTATTTCTCCAAGAAAATGCAAGTAAACCCAAAGAGAGCTGTCCCCGGCCACGTCATCCCGTGGTTCCTTGGGTGGCCTGTCTCCGCTTCCTCAGCTCCCTTTCCTCTCACCTGCTCAGTGGCACCATCTGCAGTTCCCTTTCTTGCTCTTGTGTCACCCTTTCTCCACTGTGCTGGATGGTTCCATCCATGATAAAATGCATTGCTTCTTCTCTCTTAAACACCCTCTCTGATGCGCCACTTCCCCTGCCAGCAGCACCTGTCTCCTAAAGACTTATCTATACTCTAAAGTTCCTTTCCTCCCATCCTCTCTGAGCCCACCCTACTTTGTCATTCACCCTTGCTCCTCCCCCAAGTGCTCCAGTTGAGGTCACTCCATCTGACAAGGTCCCTGTCTCTGGCGAAGCCCAGTGGCTGACCCTCGGGTCCCTGAGCAGCACCTGATGCAGTGCAGGTCACGTCCTTCCCAAGTACCATCCTCGCTGGTGCTGATGAGGCTCTTCTGATTCTGCCTCCGTCGGGTTTTTCATCCTTTGCTCCCCTTCTCTTTGATGTGTAAACACTGAAATGCCCAGGACTCCCACTTCTTGGACTTTTAACAGTGGTGATTGGTGTTAGGATCCCCTGCCTGTGAATCCATGACAAACTGGGCGGTGGCTCATGAACGCTAAGAATTTGGTGACGATGAAGGTGAAGCCATGCTCACATTTGTTTCGCAGGTGTTGGTGGCAAGAGGGACGTGGTCTTTCTCATCGATGGGTCCCAAAGTGCCGGGCCTGAGTTCCAGTACGTTCGCACCCTCATAGAGAGGCTGGTTGACTACCTGGACGTGGGCTTTGACACCACCCGGGTGGCTGTCATCCAGTTCAGCGATGACCCCAAGGTGGAGTTCCTGCTGAACGCCCATTCCAGCAAGGATGAAGTGCAGAACGCGGTGCAGCGGCTGAGGCCCAAGGGAGGGCGGCAGATCAACGTGGGCAATGCCCTGGAGTACGTGTCCAGGAACATCTTCAAGAGGCCCCTGGGGAGCCGCATTGAAGAGGGCGTCCCGCAGTTCCTGGTCCTCATCTCGTCTGGAAAGTCTGACGATGAGGTGGACGACCCGGCGGTGGAGCTCAAGCAGTTTGGCGTGGCCCCTTTCACGATCGCCAGGAACGCAGACCAGGAGGAGCTGGTGAAGATCTCGCTGAGCCCCGAATATGTGTTCTCGGTGAGCACCTTCCGGGAGCTGCCCAGCCTGGAGCAGAAACTGCTGACGCCCATCACGACCCTGACCTCAGAGCAGATCCAGAAGCTCTTAGCCAGCACTCGCTATCCACCTCCAGGTGAGATGGGGGCGTCGGAGGTTCTCCTTGGAGCATTTTCCATATGAAAAATAACAGGCTCAAAGGCCATGGTACTCATAATAAATTAAATTAAAATAAAGGTTGTATGCCCTTACCTTTATGGTTTTTATTTTGAGACAGGGTCTGGCTCTGTCGTCCAGGCTGGAGTGCAGTGGCATGATCATAACTCATTTTAACCTCTGCCTTCTGGGATCCAGCCAACCTCCCACTTCAGCCTCCTCAGTAGCTAGGACTACAGGTTCATACCACCACGCCCGGCTAATTTTTTGTATTTTTTGTGGAGACGGGGTTTCACCATGTTGGCCAGGCTGGTCTCAAGCCCCTGAGCTCAAGTGATCCACCTGCTGCGGCCTCCCAAAGTGCTGGGATTACAGGCCTGAGACACCGCGCCCAGCACCTTTATGTTCTTCATGCCCACCAGCCAGACCCCACCAGGACACACCTGCGACTGAACAAGTTGGGTCTATTGCTCATGGCATCCAGGGAGAATGCATACCGTGGCAAAGCATGAGGGCATCTCCATAGGAGGGTGGCCGGAAGGACTGGGGGGACTTGAGCTAGTGGCAGGTCATTTTGTGGAAGGCTTAAAGAAATGGAACTGTGGCCTGGATTGGATGTTGTCAAGACGTGGAGGTGATTCTGTAGCTGTATCTTAAGTCTTACCTAGAAGCAGGATGGCCTTGGTATAGATTGGTAGAGAAGAGCAGTCACTCTTATTAACCAGGACAGGGAGTGTTTTTGTCCTTTTTGTGGTTTGCACCATGTTTTTCTTTTTGTCTGTGTTCAGATAGGGTTACAATGTGGTCTCATTTTCATCTTGCCCCATTGTGATCACAGAGTAGCCTTGTCTGTTGTGGGGGTCCTGTGAGATCATGTGTGCTCAACAGGAGAACCCCAAGGCCATGTGTGCTGGACCAGCTCCCCAATGCGGGGGCTGATTCTCTCTTTCTTAAACAGCTCCATCACAAGAGCTGCTCAGCTTCCACTATGCTGCATTTACACCGTAAATTGCCCAATTGTGTATGAGGCAAAGGGCAGGTTGAAATGTGTGGAGTAGCAACATACAAGTTTAATAAAATAGCATCTGAGGAGTACCTAAAATTCTAACTAATAGGAAAATGTGGCTCATCTTTCTCAGGATCTTTTGATTAATTTTATTGTTAAAAATGCACTAGGCTGGGCGTGGTGGCTCACGCCTGTAATCCCAGCACTTTGGGAGGCCGAGGTGGGCTGATCATGAGGCCAGGAGTTCGAGACCAGCCTGGTCAATATGGTGAAACCCCATCTCTACTCAAAATACAAAAATTAGCTGGGTGTGGTGGCACACACCTGTAGTCCCAGCTACTCGGGAGGCTGAGGCAGATGAATCACTTGAACCTGGGAGGCAGAGGTTGCAGTGAGCCGAGATTGCGCCACTGCACTCCAGCCTGGGCGACAGAGCAAGACTCCATCTAAAAAAAAAAAAAAAAATTAAACCAGTTATTTAATAGAATTAAATATTTTTAAAAATGCGCTAATGTAAAGAAAATGAGTCAGGGTGGGTGGGGGAAGCTGGGCATGGCGGCTCATGCCTATAATTCTAGCACTTTGGGAGGCTGAGGCAGGAGGATCACTTGGGCCCAGGAGTTCAAGACCAGCCTGGGCAACACAGTGAGACCCTCATCCAAAAAATTAAAAAAAAAAATTTTAATGAAATTTAAAAAATAAAGGCACAGGCATGGTGGTTCATGTCTGTAGTTCCAGCTACTTGGAGGATAAGGAGGGAGGATTGCTTGAGCCTGGGAGGTCAAGGCTGCAGTGAGCTGTGACTGTGCAACTGCACTCCAGCCTGGGAGATAGAAAGAGACCATGTCTCAGAAAAAAAAAAAAGAAAGAAAAGGAAATAGAGGAATAATAGTGAAAAATAAAAACTTCATATAAATGCTAGAGATGTGTGAGCAAAAAGGAAATACGAGGGCACAAATGCCTGGGGAGCATTAATGTGACCCCTTGGATATGGCACTGTGTTATACGTACCCTGCCCCCATGGGCTGAGATTGCGCAGCATGCTGGGATGGTGTTGGGCTCCTCAGGGGTCTCACTTGCTAAGTGATGGCCTTGGACAAGGCGAGAACCTTTGGCCTCAGCTGTTTCTCTTCTTGTACAACAAAGATATAGATCCCAGTGGCCTTGGTCTCTTCTGGTAGCAACAGTTCATGATTCTGTAGATTACGGTAGCCCAAGATTGATTTCTAAATGCTCCTTACATTTTAGAAATCAGTAGTAACCCAGACCACAATGCCAAAATTTAAATAGAGTAAATTCAGAAAGACACGTTTTGGATAACTTCAAATATTTCAAGGAGCAGAAATTGTTTTGGTGTAAAAGGTCCAATTTTTAACGGCTAATTTCAAAAAGCCCGAGATACAAACAACACAGGCATCTTGGGATATAATCTTAAGGTTGATTAGGATTATGGTGCAAGGTGCACACCAAACCTGGGTGAGGGCTACTTACACACTGAATGTTTCCCTTTTTCTTCTTTGATCTGCAGCAGTTGAGAGTGATGCTGCAGACATTGTCTTTCTGATCGACAGCTCTGAGGGAGTTAGGCCAGATGGCTTTGCACATATTCGAGATTTTGTTAGCAGGATTGTTCGAAGACTCAACATCGGCCCCAGTAAAGTGAGAGTTGGGGTCGTGCAGTTCAGCAATGATGTCTTCCCAGAATTCTATCTGAAAACCTACAGATCCCAGGCCCCGGTGCTGGACGCCATACGGCGCCTGAGGCTCAGAGGGGGGTCCCCACTGAACACTGGCAAGGCTCTCGAATTTGTGGCAAGAAACCTCTTTGTTAAGTCTGCGGGGAGTCGCATAGAAGACGGGGTGCCCCAACACCTGGTCCTGGTCCTGGGTGGAAAATCCCAGGACGATGTGTCCAGGTTCGCCCAGGTGATCCGTTCCTCGGGCATTGTGAGTTTAGGGGTAGGAGACCGGAACATCGACAGAACAGAGCTGCAGACCATCACCAATGACCCCAGACTGGTCTTCACAGTGCGAGAGTTCAGAGAGCTTCCCAACATAGAAGAAAGAATCATGAACTCGTTTGGACCCTCCGCAGCCACTCCTGCACCTCCAGGGGTGGACACCCCTCCTCCTTCACGGCCAGGTATGCACCGTGTGACCCATGACTACAGAGTGTGACATCAACATTTTTTTTTTAGTTAAAAAAGTAATCAGTAGTCATTTTTAATAATTTTCTTCTCTCTGGGTTGTTTCTTCAGATAATATTAGAAATTAAATACTGGAAAAGTAGTTCCATTGAAATTGCAGAAGGAAGCATATTATTGATCTTCCATCACTCCTGAGACTAATCATAGCCCCATTGAAAGGTTCTGCAGTGTTGCACTGAGATAATTACAAACTCATTGGCTCTCAGAATAGGATGGCATCTTTGAAATCAGCCAGTCCATGCCCCACTGAATGTGACTTTGAAGTTGGCCCATGCCTACTGGCCAGATGCCCAATATAGTCCAGGTCCCCTCATTCCTTGGCCTGGTGGGACCATCAGGGAGCACCTTCCTGGAAGACTTGCAGTCGTCCACCTCAGCTTCTACCCCGTGCTCCTGGTTCTCGTCTTTGGGGCTGCAAAAGCAAAGTGGATCTCTCCACCAGCCCATATTTTTCTTTGTCCCTCCTCCAAGTAATCGCCATGTAGACATCTGAAGCAAACCATTAGGGTTGGTTCTTCAAAGGGGAGCAGTATGCCTGTTTCCCTAGCTCACTGCTCCCTACCAGGCTGCCTGTGGCACATCTCACATCCCTCACACTGTCTCTCATCCTTTCTCCTCTCTATTCCAGTCTCAGTTGCTTAATTATAATCAAGAAATTACCCTCCACACCACTGATATTCAGCCAGCTCCTACAAAGCTCTCAGACCATCATCCAAAGGTTAAGGGGCCTCTTCCTATTTTCCAATCTGTTTCTCCTAGTCCTTCCTTGCTTTGCACCTCACACACATCTCTTCACTTCCAGGAACTATTTAAAATTCTTGACCACAAAGGAAACTTCTAGTGGCATTTCCTAAAACACTTGAGATCACAAATGTCAAAGCCAGGTCCCTATTGAATTCTTGTCACAATGCCATTTTGCACGGGATAACTGAAGTTCTCTGTCACTGAGTTTTCACAGAGTGTGACATCAAATAATTTTTCTCCTTTCCTTTTTGTTTAGAGGATTTATCATTCATCTTCTTGTATTTAGCATGTTTGGGAGCTGCAAATTCAGGAACTACAGGCTAAAGAGGCATGGATTTGAGTGAAGGTTTCACTGTGAATAAATTATTAGGAATGTCTTATTTCAGTTATTTAATTTTACCTTTTGTGTATTTATGTTCTGGGTCTGGAAACCTAATCTCTCCTTATTTTCACTTTAATCACTTCTAGAGAAGAAGAAAGCAGACATTGTGTTCCTGTTGGATGGTTCCATCAACTTCAGGAGGGACAGTTTCCAGGAAGTGCTTCGTTTTGTGTCTGAAATAGTGGACACAGTTTATGAAGATGGCGACTCCATCCAAGTGGGGCTTGTCCAGTACAACTCTGACCCCACTGACGAATTCTTCCTGAAGGACTTCTCTACCAAGAGGCAGATTATTGACGCCATCAACAAAGTGGTCTACAAAGGGGGAAGACACGCCAACACTAAGGTGGGCCTTGAGCACCTGCGGGTAAACCACTTTGTGCCTGAGGCAGGCAGCCGCCTGGACCAGCGGGTCCCTCAGATTGCCTTTGTGATCACGGGAGGAAAGTCGGTGGAAGATGCACAGGATGTGAGCCTGGCCCTCACCCAGAGGGGGGTCAAAGTGTTTGCTGTTGGAGTGAGGAATATCGACTCGGAGGAGGTTGGAAAGATAGCGTCCAACAGCGCCACAGCGTTCCGCGTGGGCAACGTCCAGGAGCTGTCCGAACTGAGCGAGCAAGTTTTGGAAACTTTGCATGATGCGATGCATGAAACCCTTTGCCCTGGTGTAACTGATGCTGCCAAAGGTAACTCCCATTATGTGCATATTTTCCATCCTTTCCTGTTGACATTTGTGCCTCTTTAGCTGTCTGGTCCCTGGTGCTGACCTCTGGAGTCCTTAGGCATTTGGTTGCTTCATACATTTACTTATACCCACTGGGACTGGTCCTGACACCCACCTCACCACTACCTAGGGCGTTCTTCCAAGACAAGAGTAGAAGTCTATCATATTTTGCTTTTATAAGATTTACTTTTCTCCCCTATTCCTTAATCCCTCAAACAATTCAGATTTATTGATTCCTGTGTCTAATTATAGATTTATTAGATCAAGTATTTGAGATCAGAATATTTGATTTTCAAGTGCTTTTAATTTAAAGCACAAACTTGGGGTGCATCTAAACACCAGTGGTGTATCATCACACCAAAGTTAATTAACACCACCAACAAAGCTGACTTTTTAAAATAGCTTACTATTTGGCACCTAACAGCTACCCTCATTTCTCTCTGTGAGAGGGGTGGATAGAATTGCTTCTCAAAGCTCACACACACAGGATCTCATTTTGCACTTGAGTGCGATGCCCTGGTCCTCTGCCTGGGTTGTCCCTACTGCTGGTATAAGTAGAGTTCGTCTCCTCAGCCCCAGCTGAGAACTCATCACCTGCATTTCTCCTTTCCAGCTTGTAATCTGGATGTGATTCTGGGGTTTGATGGTTCTAGAGACCAGAATGTTTTTGTGGCCCAGAAGGGCTTCGAGTCCAAGGTGGACGCCATCTTGAACAGAATCAGCCAGATGCACAGGGTCAGCTGCAGCGGTGGCCGCTCGCCCACCGTGCGTGTGTCAGTGGTGGCCAACACGCCCTCGGGCCCGGTGGAGGCCTTTGACTTTGACGAGTACCAGCCAGAGATGCTCGAGAAGTTCCGGAACATGCGCAGCCAGCACCCCTACGTCCTCACGGAGGACACCCTGAAGGTCTACCTGAACAAGTTCAGACAGTCCTCGCCGGACAGCGTGAAGGTCTGTGGGGCCAGTTGGTTCAGGTGCTCCCTGGGAAATTTCCAAATTTTTACTGGAAAGGAGGAAGCCCTTCCCCCAAGTTAAATCCTCTTCATGTTTCACTGGATTGTTAGTGTCTATATGGAAAATCCCTTAGTTATTAACTGATCTAATGTCATGTACTGTCTTCCTCATTTTGGTAGTCTTACGTAAGCTCTAAAAGAATCCTGGAAATCAGTAGTTTAACTTGAATGAGTTGAATTTGTGATTGATTTATGTTTAATTATAGTCCAGTCAGGTACGTTCTCCACTTTCATTTCTCTGTGTGTATGTGTGCATGCATGCATGTGTGTATATACATGCATATATATTGTGTAGACACACACACCATGTGAGTTTGCTAGGGATCATCATGAAGTACTACAGCCTGGCGGGCTTTTGGAACAGACATTTATTTTCTCACAGTCTTGGAGGCTTGACATCCTCGAGGTGTCGGCAGGGCTGTTTCTCCTGAGTCTTCTCTGCTTGGCTTGTAGGCAGGGGTCTTCTCCCTGTGTCTCCACATGGCTTTCTCTCTGTGCATGTCTGTGTCCAAATCTCCTCTTCTAAAAGGACATCAGTCATACTAGATTAAGGTTCACTCTAAAGATCTCATTAACCTTAATTACCTCTTTAAAGACCCTATCTCCAAATACAGTCCCATTCTTACGGTACTGGGGTTTAGGACTTAACATACAAATTTTGAGGGGACACAATTTAGCCCATAACACATGCACACATGCACACACGCACACACACCCACAGACATGCACCCACACACATGCACGCACATGCACCCATACACATGCACACACATACGCACCCACACACATGTACACCCACACACCCACACATGCACACACACGTGCACACACATGCACACACAATGCACCCATACACACACATATGTACCCACACACATGCACACACATGCACGCACACATGCATGCACACATATGCATATGATTCGCAGAAACTACATCTTAGAAATATGAGAATGAGATAAAAATTGTTTTTATTGTCATTGCTGCTTGTCTTTTTTAAAATAAATTAAGCACTCAAATATACTCCTCCATTTTAAGTGCAATATCAAAGTCTTGTGAACATGGGTAATCATTCCTCAACTTGGGCCCTCAGTTTCCTTAAGTGTAAAATGAAGGGCTTGAGACAGCGAGTCTCTCAGTTTTCTATCAGCAGTCTGCAACACTCCTTTTTAGTTTTCCTGGGATTTGACAGCTCTCTTATCTGCAGGTGGTCATTCATTTTACTGATGGAGCAGACGGAGATCTGGCTGATTTACACAGAGCATCTGAGAACCTCCGCCAAGAAGGTAGGTGCCAAGGCTTTCTAAATATGAGAAGTAAACCCTGGTGAGGCGGGGTGTACTGCTCTGCTGGAGAGAAACCTCTCTGCTAATGCAGCGCCCCAAGGGAGCAGCGTTGTCTTGGGAGACTCTTCCTCCCAGCGTTGTGGCCCTTCATCACCTGCTTGGAGCTGTGGGATGGAGCTAACAAAAATTCCTTCTGTACTTAGACAGCTTTACTGTTGTGTTGTGGCTGTTCAGGTGGTAGAATGTTCAGAAAGCATGATGCTTTTGCAAAAGATCATGACGTATTGATTCATTTAACTTCATCACATAAACTAGGAATTAGTTACTAATAAAAATACATTGCTCTATTTTTGGTTTGCAGTTATCACAGTTCAACATTTAATAACACTACACCCAAATAATACAAAGAAAATAATGTAAGCAATGACGTACCAAACATAAGGTGACAGCCATGCCTATTATCAGATGTGATCTTTGACTATTCACTTGCTTTGGCGTTTGGTAGCACTGACTATCAGAAAGTGGATGCCATTACAGAAGTGTAATTTATCCTAAGAACTTTCTATTTATTAGCTTACTTTTCCCAAGCAATGGAGATGAGGCTGCTATTATCTGATTTTGGAGGTGTTAGTATTTCAATACTTCCCACAGCATACTCGTGTTACAGAGGGCCTGAGTTTGAGAACTCATGCATGAATACACTTCATGGATGCCACTTCCTATATTTTTAGTAATAGGTTTAGTTATTGACATACCGGAAACAATTATTCAGCAGAGTCCAAAGTTTGAGTATTTCAACAATTCAGAGTAGCCAGTAAACTTGATTAAATATATTTAAGTTAAAAGCTAAATTTTACACTGAAGTTTTCTTTAAAAATGTAGTCAGGAAAAAAGGACATTGCATTTTCCACATGCCTAGGTGAGCTGTATTAAATGTGTCTTTCTTTGCAGGAGTCCGTGCCTTGATCCTGGTGGGCCTTGAACGAGTGGTCAACTTGGAGCGGCTAATGCATCTGGAGTTTGGGCGAGGGTTTATGTATGACAGGCCCCTGAGGCTTAACTTGCTGGACTTGGATTATGAACTAGCGGAGCAGCTTGTGAGTTTTTTTTATGTCTTTATACACAGACCAGTGTAGATACCACACCTTTTGGCATTTCAAGAGAATGAAGTTAATTATCAGCAGGTGAATGGAGGTGGGGGGGGGGCCTTGGTAGATAGTTAAATTTATTTAATTCACTTGGGAACTGCCTTGTTGCCATAACACATGTGAATCTGGAAATGGAGATAGCAAATCGCTGGAAATCCAGCGAGCTGGAAGGGGATCCTGGGCGCGCTGAGGTTGTGGCCTTAGCATTTTCTCTGCTCCCTTAGCAACGGCCTCTTTTAACACCATTGCAGGGATGCAAACCATCGAGATTGTCCATCCTCCAATTGGAAACTGTGTCAAGAGCATCTGAAATCTTGCATGATAAAAACAACATGCAGGAAAAGAAAGGCTGTTTCTGGGTGGAGAAGTGCTTTAATTGCCCTCCCTAGTTTCCCTCTGTGTCAATGAAGCTCCCTCTGAGGCTTCCTCATTCTCCCCAGGGCCAGCCTCTCTCAGCTGGAGGTGTGACCTCCTGGGTTTAGACTGGGGATGGAGCTTTTGGAAGATGTGGGGCTGAGCTGCGAACTCAGAGATTCTTTGATGGTAGCAACAGTGGACTGTGGCTATGAGAATGGGAGGAATGGACCTTCCTTTCTTCCATACTTCTTTGCAGGGTTAGAATCAGGATTTTTTTCCTAGTGGAAGTAGGTTGAGTTAGCTCACAAATCTGGGATATGGGAGAAAGGGAAAGCTCTTGGAAGCTCGTTGGAAGAAAGTGCATGTGCCCACCATTAGTTTAGCAGATGGAAATGTATTTGGGCATGCCCTTTCCCACATAAGGTCAGGGGCCAGATGGGATGAGAATGTAGAGGGTGTCTGTGTGACCTGGAGTTGAGAAGCTTTTGGCTCCGAGGCCAGGACCACTTGTGCCTGCTCCCACCATGGCTGCTCTGGAAGCCTCTTTCTGGGCTGGTACCATATCCCATGACTCTCACCCTGGTTCCAAGGAAGGGTGGTCATGGATATCTGTTCTGGAACCACCTTCAGTCTTGGCCATCTGCCATTTGCTTGGCTTTGCACTTTGGAACTGGAACATATGTAAGTTATAGTTAAGATCTGATGATGGAAACTTCTAGAAATAAGGTCCAGCCTGCAGTGATATTGTGGATAAGATCTATTTTACTTTGGTTGTTCTTTACTTTCCTATTGGTGACCTCCCATCTGCACCCCGACCGCCAGGAGCTGGGCCCTCCTGACTTCGCTGGCAATTTCTATCATATCGTCAGTCGTCCAGCAAATGTCACCTGGAGGGACTTCATCTCACACCGTGAAACCCCCACACATCCGATTTTGACCCTTAAAGCGCATTTATGATTTTCTGCTGGGCATTTCTTGAGATCTGAACATTTGGTTTCTCTTCCTTTCGGTAGGACAACATTGCCGAGAAAGCTTGCTGTGGGGTTCCCTGCAAGTGCTCTGGGCAGAGGGGAGACCGCGGGCCCATCGGCAGCATCGGGCCAAAGGTACGGTGGCTTTACCCTTGCCCACGCCTGAGATGAGGTGTCAGAAGCCCGACATTACTTTGGTGGGGTAATTTCTCTAACAGAAGAGTGTGGAGATGAAGGAGGAGACGAGAGACCATTTCTTATGTTAGAAGGAGGAGCTCTGAGGGGCAGACCTGCGTGCTGTTCTGCTGGGGCCTGTTCCAGTGAAGATGGTTCAGGCGGGACCCTCCTTTTGCACAGGATAAGGGGATCTGTGCTTTAACAGCTTGGTCCTTCATTTCATAAAATAATGTTAAAGGCAGCTGGCGTCCCTGACAGCAGCCTGGCTGCGAATGGCAGCTGGAACTCATAGCATTTGCTCTGAGTCAGTAGGAACTAACAGGCTTTCTTGGCAGAGCAGGAGCCTTAGAGATCCTGATAGAGAGAATCGTGACATGGTGTACTGAGGGGAAAAGCAGTAACAGGGAAAGCCATGCTGAGTTTTAGTGCTGCTCTGCCAAATGAAGGGGGACCACAGGGATTCTTACTGTAGAGCAAAGAAGACCACGGGATTAAACAGAGGACCCGATTACTTTGTTTCAGGGTATTCCTGGAGAAGACGGCTACCGAGGCTATCCTGGTGATGAGGGTGGACCCGTAAGTAAAAATTGTTTTAGTCCCTAAAATTTCACCCCCTCCTTGATCCTTACCCATTGGGATTGCATTGTGGATTTCATCATTTGTTCAGTTGCTGATGGCTTTCCCTTTGGGAGAAAAATTAATTTATACTTTTCTTAACAACTTTGCCTGGATGTCTAAGTACGATAATTGAAGTATGACAAATGTGGGCATGAAGGGTGGGATTTGTTCTTACTCTGTTTCAGAAGGAGGGATTAATTGGTTTCTGAGCCAGAGGGACACCGAATTTGCACACCCAGTATCTACTAGATTAAGACATGCAAGTAGAGATGGGAGTGAGCTGAGGGGCAGGGACACAGCAGGAGACCTCACCAGGGCTTTAGGGGTTACCCCGTTAAGGGTAGTCCCTGGAGGGGATGTTGCTGGATCAGATCATCAGTATCCGAGGGTCTTGGGGATGGACAGACCCCAGTAGCAGGGTCCATGGGAGCAATGCCCAAGACAGACACCTGTCTGGGGAGCTTTGGGACCCTAGATCAAGGTCCAGCCCTGGGATAGGGGACAGAGGGGCTCACGAGGAACAGTGTGGTCACCAGGGCCCAGCCGGCAGGGCTCGGCTAGAGAACTGGGAATCAAGCATCACTTGGAGGAGCTGTCAGCCCGGTGGGTCTTCCCGGGATTCAGCACCCACAGAGACACAGTGCTGGGGGCCACCCACCCTTGCCCCACAGGGCAGTGCTGTCTGCGCTGCTACCCTCCCAGATCTCATTCCCTTCAGGGAAACTGCAGGTTCCAGGCCAGGCCTCATGCAGGGGCCCAAGAGGCTCCCTGGCTCACGTAGCCTCGATCGGCGTTCCCCATGGTGAAATCTGCTTTCTGCTGCATGCTGTTCACAGTACCCTTTACGCTGCTGCAAGCCCGGCAGAGAAAGGGTGATGAAGGGCTCCAGCTTGCAAAATGCCTTTGTCTCTCACAACAGGGTGAGCGTGGTCCGCCTGGTGTGAACGGCACTCAAGGTTTCCAGGGCTGCCCGGGCCAGAGAGGAGTAAAGGTGAGGCGTGGGTGATGGGGTTGCTAGCGTGGGGAGGGGTCAGGTGACTCGCAGTTTCTCCAGATGCTGCCAGGGAGGGAGGCGCTGGTCCAGGCTTCTTGACCTCAGCATTCAGCAGCCCGTGACCTCTCATTGGAAGGCAGTTCTGAGCAGGGTGGGTTCAGGAGCAGGGGCTGCAGCTGGTGGGGAGCCTGAGAATGGAGAAATAGTTTCCTGTGGAAACATGAAGAAGCCAGGAAACCCTCACAAGGAGAGAACATGGGCCAGGGCGGAGGGTAGGCTGGTGCCCACGGCCCCGGCCCTGGACCGTGGGAGCAGTCAGGGAAGGGAGTGGAGTGAGAGGACAGCAGGTGGGTTGAAGGCTGGTGAACTTGCTTCTCTGTTTGCTGAAGTTTGAAGGCAGGTGCTGAAGGGAAGGGCTGCAAAGTTACAAAGTCAGCTCCTTGCCCTGGGTTTTGGGGTCCACCCCCGCCGGCCCAGGGAGCCAAGACCACCCAAGCATTCAGTTCTAGTTTTAGTTTTAAAACATCGCACGTGGTGGTGAGAGAGGAATCCAAAGGGGTAGGACTCTAATATTACATTTTCAGACACTGCAACATTCAAATGGGGTGGAGTGGGGGAACAGCCCTTGGCCTCTTCTGCCCGAGGGACCAGCCCTGCAGGAAAAGCTAATGCTTCCCCTATCGCCTTGCCTTCTAGGGCTCTCGGGGATTCCCAGGAGAGAAGGTATGCAAGCTTGGTTTTGTTTTACAAATGGAAAACTCTCCCAGTATTTCTCATTTCTTCCTTTGCCAGAATAGCTTTCTATACTTACCTGTCCGCCTTATTCCCTCTTAGGGCGAAGTAGGAGAAATTGGACTGGATGGTCTGGATGGTGAAGATGTAAGTGATTTTACTCTAAGTCCAAACTGCTTTTGGTTCTGAAGATTCCAGAAACTAACAACTCAGTCTGTGATAGAAATTGCAGCAGGTGTGACCTTTAATCCTTGTCTTTGGCAGGGAGACAAAGGATTGCCTGGTTCTTCTGGAGAGAAAGGGAATCCTGGAAGAAGGGTAGGTGTATTTCCACGGTGGTGCTATTATGGAAAGAATATCAACATTTCATTTAGGGAATAGTTATTTTCTTTCCTCATATACATCAAGCCCGCTTCCTCCAGGCAGCCTTCCCTGACCTCCCCTGTGAGTGCACCCATTACATCCCCTCTCAGCTCTGACACATTACAGTACATTTTCTTGTTTCGAGATCACATCCCATAGGGCAGGGACTGAGTTTGTTTTGTTATAAATAAATCTCCAGTGCCTGGCACAAAGTGGGTCCCCAATAAATATTCATGGATTTACTAAACGAATGAAAAATATGTGGAAGTGAATTTGCCTTCATGGTGAATGAGTAAATTGTAAACATTGTTCTAGTTAAGATTTATGAGTTGAAGAATGTGATTTTTAGGGTGAGATAAAAATGGAAACATCTAGTTTTTAGCATCCACTTGTGCTTTTTCTTTAGGGTGATAAAGGACCTCGAGGAGAGAAAGGAGAAAGAGGAGATGTTGGGATTCGAGGGGACCCGGTAAAGATTTCTTTATTGACGATTTCAGACCTGAGCCTGGGGAAGAGGGTTGTTGGGAAAGGGGGATGAAAGGAAGAATTCTACTTTTGAAATTGCTTTAAAACACGTTGATAAAATATGTGCTTTGTCTTTTTCTTGCAGTTTGGGGGTTTGGGGAGATGTGTTGGTTCTCTTGCTAACCAGATAATCATTTGCAAGTCCTGTTATACAAATATCTGAGAAGTTTCCAAAAATGTGGTATCAGGGCACTTCAAATTTGCTTTTGGAAAAGAGAAGAGTTTGCAGCTTTTCTCATTTTGTGTCTCTGTAAAACGTTTAAGCAAATGAGCAGTACAAGCTAGCCTCTTCTTCCAGTCCATCCTGCCTCTGTGGCCAAGGATAAGCAGGAGTGAGCCTGGGGCATCCTCCTCCCTGGGGAAGAACGATTGCACCTGTTTGGGGCTAAGAGTGCTTTGCTGATCCCGTGATTGGGTTTCGTAAGACCTGCATGGATGTTACCTGGATGGGTTGTGGCCGAAGGGCTTGTCCCTCGAAGCCTTGCATGCAGGTCCTTGCTAATATTTCCCTGACCATCCAGTCCAGTGGCAGCTGCTTTCCTTCCATATGTGGCTCATTTCCCTTTCCCATGTTGCTTTCAGGGTAACCCAGGACAAGACAGCCAGGAGAGAGGACCCAAAGGAGAAACCGGTGACCTCGGCCCCATGGTAAGGTGCTGCACATTCCTAGACTCTCCCTGTACTGAGGGCAAGAGAAAGGACACACTTCTCGGCTCATCAGCAGCCACAGAGGCCAAAGACGTGGCCTTTAACACTGCAACGTAGCCTAAGATTAGCAGCAGAGTCCCCGTGAAGGAAGTCTCCGTGGGGAACCAGAGTGACCCTTGCCAAGTGGGGCTTCTCAGCAGAATCTGTGCCTCTTAGATATTTACGGAAGGTGCTTGTTAAGCCAAAGGCTTGTAGAGGTGGGAGTGTACTGAAGTCCGGTGCATCCTGCAAAGTGTGCAACTGTCCTGCAGACGGGCTCTTCCTCTGTGAATCGACCCCTTTCCCTGCAATGTCTTGTGCAGCATTTCAGAGCTAGACATTCTTCTCTGCAGATGAGAATCTCATGCTAATTTTCCCCACACCAGGGTGTCCCAGGGAGAGATGGAGTACCTGGAGGACCTGGAGAAACTGGGAAGAATGTGAGTGCCATTAGGGCTTTGGGGGGCTCTGTGACAATTCTTAGTGCCATAAGATCTGCCCAACATGACCTGGTGCATGGTTAGTCCACAGCTCTGCAGTGAGTGAATGTAAAAGGATTTCTGAAACGGTTGTTACTCCAATCTATTTTCATTCTTATAATTTCCCTGGTGCTTCATCTCTTCTCTCTCCCCAATTCTTGCTCTCCCCAAAAACATACTGAACAGATACTTTTAAAAATAATATCTTTGCTACTTTCAAATATCGGGCCAGGTTTGATCCAACTAAATATTTAAGAGACCCAAATGGAAATCCTAATACTGGGGGAGGGAGGGAATAAGGGGCAAGAGGGCTGAGGGAGTTGTGGATTTGTTGTTTTTGTAATTATCTGTGGGTTTTTGGGGGGATGCTGTAAGTGAAATAAAAAAACTAGATTTCTTCTTTTTCTGGCGTATTGCATCTTGCAATTTCAAGACATTTCAGAAATGTCTGTAGCAGAATAGCTCCTTGTATGCCTAATCCTCAGTCTTGTTGAATAAATGCTAAAGTCAAAGTGATGTGAATGATCTTTCTGAAGCCAACCAAAAGCTTCCAAGGTCCTCGGGCACAGACAGCATCTGCCTTGTAGCTGGGAGAAGACCAGTGGTGTAGAAGTTTGTAACCTCTCAGAGGAAATTCAGGATGCTGGTGGGTGCCTAGGGGAGGTCTCTGCTCAGAAATGAACAGAGCACAAAGGCTGCAAGCTGGGGCTGGGTGCTGGGAACTGGGCCCTCAGCCACGCCCTGAGGGGCAGTGGCTCGTTCGGCCCGGCACTTGGGCCAGTAGAGTTCGCTGGGGTGAGGGGCTTTCAAAAGGAGCGACTCACCAAAATCAAATTGATGGACTATGGGCATCATTTTGCTTTGAAAATTCAGAAGAAAATAGAAATTTTGAAAATATCATTTTAAAATGTTTGAGCACTATTTATTTATTTATTTTTAATAAATTGTAAAGACCTGGATCAACTGCTTGGAAGTGAGCATTATTTTTGAATAATGCTATATAATGAAAAAGAAGCTATATAATGAAAAAGAAGAAATACTCATCAAATGTTACAATGGGCTATTACAACTCAGCGTGTGAGCAGAGCCAAAACTTGGTTTCATGAAATGACTTAAAATTGAGTAGTTCATACAATTAATTTCAATTCTACACACAAGGTAGAAACTGGATTTGAATTCGGTTTCAGTCACGGGCTCTTGAGGACTCAGTTCTTCCTTTTGTGGTCTAATGGCCTGCTATCCCTTCCCTTAGGACCACAGTGCCAGGCTCAGGCCAAGCTGAAATGTGTCCCTCCCACTGGGCTTCAGCATGCCTACATCCCCTTTCTAGAGTCTCCGCAGGCGGCCTCTGGCCTGAGCAATGTATCACTGAGTGCTGCTGGACTCTCATGGAACTCTAGCATGTCTCTTTTGGGAGGGGCCAGGCCAGATTGTTGGTTTGTAGAGGAGAACAGTGTCCCCTTGTCTCAAATTTTCCATGGAAGGTGGCCAAGATCTTCCGCTGAAGCAGGTGGCATTACAGCGAATAATGGCAAACTGGTCACCGCAGATCACTGGGCTGGTCCATTGGAAGTGGAGAGTGAGGTTCCTAGGTTGATGTAGCAGATGACTGAGCCCCACAACAGAGCTAGTCGGTCACAGCCTCTGCAACACCAACCCTAACTTTGCAAAGACCGCCTGGGACATTCATAAAGTCCCACCCCAAACCTTTCTACTGCTGAGGAAACAATTTTGAGGTGGAAATTAATGGATTACTTGTGAAGTAAGCCCACATGTTTGAACTAAAGGTCACCTCTGGAGCATCCAGGAAGATGTTGCCAAGTCGTGAGCCCTACCTAAGTACACGAGACGTTTAGGTGCACATGTGTGTGCTTCAGATATTTTACTTAACCGAGTGTGTGTTGTGTTTGGCCGGGATCACTTGGAGAACCTGGGACTCCCTTCCATTATAATTAATGTATTTCATGACTTCTCAGTACAGTTGGGAAGGTGGAAGAAAAATAGACAGGTTGACATTCCCTTTTCACATTCCTCATTTGAAACTGGCTGGGATCGTGCAGCCAAAAGGAGTCATTATTTTGCTTGGCAGGTCTGCAGTAATTCTCAAAACTTCCATTGGGTGATTAACAGGAGCAGCAAGGAAGCAAAACTTCACCCGGATGAGGGTGGAGGAAGGGTGTCTGTGTGTGCGAGTTTCCCCAGGGCTGATGAGGTGTGGTTTCTGGTTCTTGGCACGATGTGGGTGCTTGGGAAGATTCCCCTGAGTAACCGCAGAATAAGAGGGTGAAGTCTGAAAGAGCTCTAGGCCCCATGCCCAGCGTCCCATGCTCCCCCTCACAGTTTGTGGGACTTTTTCTTCCACAGGGTGGCTTTGGCCGAAGGGGACCCCCCGGAGCTAAGGTGAGCCTCATGCAGTGCCCCCTGGAGACTCTCTTCAAACAGCCCAGATGCCGCCCAGCCCAGGAGTGAAAAACACTCTCTCCTGTGAACCCAAAGCTTCGGAGACAGATACCAATCAATTTAGAAAGTTGATTTCGCCAAGGTTAAAGACATGCCCGTGACACAGCCTCAGAAGGCCCTGATGACACCTGCCCAAGGTGTTCGGGGCACAGCTTGGTTTTACACATTTTAGGGAGACATGAGACATCAATCAATATGTGTGAGATGTACATTGGTTCGGTCCAGAAAGGTGGGACAACTCGAGGCAGGGGAGGAGGCTTCCAGGTCATAGGTAGATAAGAGACAAAAGGTTGCATTCTTTTGAGTCTCTGATTAGCCTTTCACTGAATACACAGTTTACCAGAACAGTCACCTATGCCTTAGTTAGGCTTAGTGAAAAACAGGGCGAAGGAAGCAATTGGATATGCCTTTGTCTCCCATGAGCAGAGGGATGACTTTCAGTTCTGTCTGTCCTTTGTCCACAAGGAATTTCCCTGTGGGCAGAATGTGAGGGAGGTATTCAGCTTAAAAAAAAAAAAATCTGGCCAGGACGGTGGCTGATGCCTGTAATCCCAGCACTCTGGGAGGCTGAGACAGGCGGATCACCTGAGGTTGGGAGTTCGAGACTAGCCTGACCAATATGGAGAAACCCCGTCTCTACTAAAAATACAAAATAGCCAGGCGTGGTGGTGCATGCTTGTAAGCTTGTAATTCCAGCTACTCAGGAGCCTGAGGCAAGAGAATCACTTGAACCCGGGAGGCAGAGGTTGCAGTGAGCCAAGATCATGCCATTGCACTCCAGCCTGGGCAACTAGAGTGAAACTCCATCTCAAAAAAAAAAAAAAAAATTCTTTGTAGCTATCTTATTTAAGAATAGAATGGGAGGCAGCTCTGTCTGATGCAGTTCCCAGCTTGACTTTTCCCTTTGGCTTAGCGATTTTGGGGTTCTGAGATTTATTTTTCTTTCATCCTCCTTGGGCTGTTCTGGCTCCCGAGGCTCTGTCAGCCGTCTCCTTAAACAGCCTCTTCTGCAGAGTCTAGAGAAAATGGTGCCCAGTGGGGACTTGGGGTCCAAGTGCAGGAAACATGACTGAGGCAGTAGTGTCCCGGGCGGGCGCCTCTTCCAGAACGTGCTCACCTATCTGGCCATCAGCAACCCGCAACTTCCCGGTGTCTCGGTCCTCTGCTTTAGGTCTAAATGATCCCTGTTTCACAAAGCTGTCCGAGGAGAGGTGAGGCAAGAGTGAGGAACAATTGTAGAAGTGCAGGGAGACAGCTGGCTCCTGTGCTCAGTGTCTCACCTGGGGTTACCGCTTTGATCATCTGTTACCTCTGGAAGAGCTGAGTTTTCCCTGGTTGCTTTCCAAGTCCCTGGCCCAGAAATGACTGTAGAGCAAAGAGCTGACATTGACAGGAACCATCCTGACTCCTCCCTGCATCTTCTCTTATTTCAAAGGGCAACAAGGGCGGTCCTGGCCAGCCGGGCTTTGAGGGAGAGCAGGGGACCAGAGGTGCACAGGTGAGTGCTTCCGTGTGTGACTGTGTGCCCTCTGATATTTCACAAATCATTTAAAAAATGATTGGGTGGCATTTATATCCGGAAAGTTAACCATTTTAAAGTGAACAATCCAGTGGCATTTGGTACTTCCACAATGCTGTGCAATCATCACCTCTATCTAGGTTCAAAACACAGTCTCGAAGGAGACCTGTACCCATTAGCAGTCACTCCCCATCACCCTCCACCCCGAGTCCCTGGAAACCACTAATCTCTCTCTCTTTATGGATTTGCCCACTATGGATATTTTGTATAAATGGAATCATTTACTAGGCAGCTTTGTGTGTGTGGCTTGACGGAGCATCATGTTCTTGAGCTTCATCCACATTGCAGCATGTAGAAGCACTTCATTCCTTTACATGATGGAAGGATACTCTGTTGTGTGGCTACAGCACACTTTGTTTATCCACTCATTGGTTGATGGAGATTTAGGTTGTTGCCATCTTCTGGCAATTGTGAATGATGCTTCTGTGAAGATTCTCCTACACGTTTTTGTCTGAATGCTTGTTGCTTGTATACATTTTAAGCTCACTTGCCTATTCACGATCTGGATTGAGGCAGCTGCTACTGCAGCTAAGACAGGATAATTGTGGGTTTTGGTGGCCGTTTTTGGCCAGCAGAAGTGAGGTTCCAGGCCCTGTGGGATGGGCAGATGCCATGCAGAGGCTTCTCATGGAAAGTCACCTCATTAGCACTCACGATGGTCTTTTCCTTCCTCAGGGCCCAGCTGGTCCTGCTGGTCCTCCAGGGCTGATAGGAGAACAAGGCATTTCTGGACCTCGGGTAAGCCTGTCCTAATACCAGCCCCCTCTCTAGCTGAACAGAGGGCACATTGCCAAGCAGGCTGAGAGAGTTTCTCGGATGATGCTATTGTAGACAGACCTCCCTTTAGCTCTCCTCTTTGGCAACAAAAACCCCAGATTTAACCTCAGGCCTTGCAGTGACTGGCTACTTCACCCCAAGAAAGTAAGAGTTTCCTTTTTTGGTGCTCCATGGGCCTCTAAGTCTCAATTCTGCTCCTTCCAAGTGTCCCTGGGTGGAAATCAGGGGATATGCCTCAGGATGGAATCCTGGAAAATCTAAATCTACCAAAATGCTTAGATTCTGCAAGGTGTTTCCCCTTTGGTCCCTGGAGATAGCCCCTTGTGCTTATGTATTTTGTATAGTGAGTGCCTCAAGTTCACCCATGAGTTCAGCACAGAAGATGGCCCTTAAACTTGCTGTGACTGCAGATGTTATCTTGCAAAGCAGCTATCAGCAATGATGAGCAGAGACACACTGTCATTGCTGGGCTAGGATCAGGTGTCACGGAATTACGTATTCGGGTTTCCCTCATGGCTGAGATGATATTGAGGGAGGCATCCTATCATTTATTACCAAAAAATGACTAATAAACTGGTAACGAGCTCAATATGTTGCTACATAAATGTACAAAAATATTTTATGGTGGAAGCAGGCAAGAACTTGCTTAGAAAGTCCTTCTCTAGCTTGAAAGCTGATAAATACATATCTTTAGACGTTTTTAAAAAACATTTACTTAACTTGTAATTAATCAACAATTTAAGATGGTATAGATGCAAAGCTATTCAAATAGTTATCCAGTAGCTCCAGAAACATTTATTAATTTGCACTTTTTCACCATCTCTTTTATGTTATTTGTGGGTTGCGTAGACTGTACCACATTTTAAGAGTTAATTTCATCCATCAGTTTATTCATTCACCTAACAGGCTTTAACATGCCCATATGTACCAGGTGCTCACTGTGAGGGTGTGAAAAGGGAGGCAGAATAAAGTCACATAAAATCTGGGAGCTTGCCGTCCTGTCAGGAACCTAGGATATGTACATTAATAACTGCAACATGCATTAATTTGTGAAAACTGGCACTGAGAGGTAATACTCATGTTTTAAATTTGTGCATGCCATTTCTGTGCATGTTTATATTTGAGTCCGTAGCCCCGTGCTCAGAGCTGAGTGCTTGGGATTTGCAGGTGGGACAGGTTCCATGCCCCTGGCGGGCTCTGACTTCCATGCAGGGGAGAGTCAGGTTTCAGAGACCAATTTGCCTGGACGGTTGGCCACTTCACTGACACATTCCTCCCCTCCTGCTCCAGGGAAGCGGAGGTGCCGCTGGTGCTCCTGGAGAACGAGGCAGAACCGGTCCACTGGGAAGAAAGGTTTGTCTTTAGAAAGGTAGAGCTTTCCTGAGGACAGGGACCAGCCAGGCACACATGCCCCTCTCCCTCTTTGGTCAGTCTGTCTGTCCCTCCTCTTCAGTACTACTGGTTCCCACTCCAGCCTCCCCTGTTGATCGCGGCTTGGCCAGTGGAATCATTGTCCCCCAACAATCCCCACCATAATTCCCACCACCATCCCTGCCACCAACCATCTCTGCTCAGAGGGCTGGCTTTCTCCTGGCCACAGCCCTCCATCAGCTGCCAGGTTTTCTGCTCCTCTCTTGCTTGGCTTGTGCCAATAGTGCAGCACCCTCTGAGCCATCAGAGCAGCCGGGCAGTGCTTGGTACAGTTTCAGTATAATATGGAACGAGCAGTCTTTAAACATGGGCAGTGCACGCACAGTGGCTCAGCTAATCACATTTAGATCATCCAAGAGCCCCGACCCTGACTGTCCTGGATAACAGCAAGTCTGCTGTATGAAGGCTGCCTGAGAACCTCCTTTCTATCAGCTTTGAGATAAATTACAATTTGTCATAACCAGTCCGAAAAGACTGCATGTTCTCTGTAAAAGAAATGAGTTCCTGTGAATCCACGATGGTCTCTGCCTGGAGAGTGTTTTGGGGTTTTATGCTGGGCTCAATGCCCACCGCCTTCCGTGCCTTCTTCTCCCAGTTGTTACTCTCTCTTCTCATCAGCCCGTCCCCCATGCCACGCTGGTGAAAAGGACAAACAAAACCCTCCTGGATTCTTTTCCAGGAGTTTGCACATGAATGTTGCAATTTAGAAAATCATTCCACCGAAATCTCAAAGGTGAAGTCAGCATGTTGCAGCACCCTTACCTAGAGCAAAAGCATGGCTTGGCATCACACTGTAAGCCAGCCCCAGGCCACAGGGTCTCAGCCATGTTTCTCATGTCTAGGGTGAGCCCGGAGAGCCAGGACCAAAAGGAGGAATCGGGAACCGGGGCCCTCGTGGGGAGACGGTAAGGTCACAGCGCGCTTGGGGTCAGGCTGTCGCTGACTCTTTGCTGGAAGGTGCAGGAAGCCAGGAGAGGGTTCCAAATAAAGATGAGCCTTGCTTCTTGTATTATTGGGGATACGGCTGGAAATACTGAAACTTGCTCATCTGCGGCAAATTAATTTAACAAGTTTTATTTTATTGGCAGGGGTAGAGAGGTGGGGCGGGCCGTGGGGAGAGACATTTTTTCCCCTGTGTTTTTCCTGATACAAGAGAATGTAGAGGCTAATGAAGCTTAAACTACCTTCATCTTAGGTCCCGCAAATGCTTTGCAAGCATAACTAGATGAAGCTTTTCTGCAAAGAAGTAAATGTCATTTGGGTTAAAATGGAATTGGATTTGATTAGGTCTCAGTCCAGATGGAAACAATTTCTTTTGAATGAGACATCTTAGGAATAGAAATTATTACCTCAGTAACTCGTTTTTTAAATGCTATTTAAAAATGCCCCAAAAACTCACCAACAATAATTTTGTGATGTACATTTCTACGTTACAAAAGAATAAAGAAATCTACGGTCCATTGTGACTTTTTCCAAAAGGAGTCATGGCACCTAACACTGTATAAAAGGACCAGGTTGATCTGACTGTTTTAATTCCAAGCATCAAAATATTTTTCTGTCTTTCATTTTTGTCTTTTCAACTAACTGAAGTTTAAAAACGAATCTGTTTGTATTACTTTTAATCTCAGAAGCACAGGGAAAAAATCAGACTTCAAACCATTGAAGGAAATCTCTTCCTGATTCTGTTTCTAGTAATTTGGGTCAACAGATCTCTAGTTGTTGATATCTGTTGAAAACTGTAAATTAACTAAGTGGCAATTCCTACATATGTTAGAGATAGTAATGTACAATTCACACACGTTCTTCTGATTCTTCTGATTCATAATTAATGACGTCCAGTTCTGAATGCTCCTCATGAGAGAGCAACAGGAACAGATCTGAGCATGCTGGGGGGAGGTGTTGGAAAGGAGGGGGTCTAGGGGTGATGACTTGGAAGGAAGGGAAGGGATATGGGGAGGGGGAATATGACCTGGGCCTGAGAGATGGAGTTCAGTGTTTTGGTTTTGAAGTAGAATCAAAGACTTACGGATGCATAGAATCAAAGTAACCATCAAGATTCCTGTCAATTCTAAGATTCTTGGGGTTGACGAGTCTTTGATTCTACATCCAAACAGAATCTTTACCAAAAGCAACCAGCAGTTCTTTCTATGTTAGTCCGCCAGTGCCATTTTGCTACGGGAGTCCTTTGAGCCCACCGCCTACAGAAATGGTCTTGTTCACACTTGGAAGATAGGACAGGAGCAGGAAGTGTGCCTACTCCTGTACCTTAGTCTGCAAACATTTCAGGAGCTCAAGGATCCACTTCTCAGGGGCAGCGGCAGGGCAGAGACGGTGGTTATGGTGTGCCAGGCATGGCGACCTACAGTCACATCTCTTTCCCACTCTTAGGGAGATGACGGGAGAGACGGAGTTGGCAGTGAAGGACGCAGAGGCAAAAAAGTACGTATCTGCTGAGGATTATCCAAGCGTCCTTGCTGCCAGGAGGCTCCAAGGACAACTTCTGATGTGTTGTGTTTTAAAAGAATTATTTCTTTAAAAATTGTCTTTGTATTTGAGTGAGTGTTTTCGTTTGATGACTCAGCAGACATTTCTTTCTTTCAAGGTCAATTTATTTTAGATGAATTTAAATTAGAACCAAGTATTAAATAATCTATTTTTCCTTTATAGGGAGAAAGAGGATTCCCTGGATACCCAGGACCAAAGGTAAATAATCCCTGGTCGGTGAAGCATCATCATGATTTTGGGATGGCTCTGGTATGTCCATGGACTGAGAATCAGAATATCTTGGCATTAGTCTTGGGTCAGCCACTCAGTTAACTGGGCTACCCTGAGAAAGACCCTTCCTTCCCTAAAATACTCTCTCATCTGTCAAGTGGAGGTCATAATACGTACTTGTCCTGGTGTTTATGAGATTTAAATAAAATATGCTGCAATCAAAGTACTCTGTAAGCTGTGAAATGCTATAACCTACATGATAGTATCATTACTGATTAATTAAATTAAGACCATCTGCAAATACCACAAATATAGTAGTAACCCACTGGAAAAGTGAATCAAAACTAACCACTTGGCTGCCCGGGAAAAGTGTGACCCACACGTCTCCTGGATGTCTTACCCCACGGACCCTCAGTGAGATCTTCTGTTCCAAAGCTTACTGTGCCACTTCTCGGCTTTCTTCCCAGGGTAACCCAGGTGAACCTGGGCTAAATGGAACAACAGGACCCAAAGGCATCAGAGGCCGAAGGGTAAGTTTGCGTGGGCCTTGGCTGCAGGTGAGGAATGAGAACGTATGTCTCAATGTGATTAACTGCTGAGGCTTTGACAATTATCCTTCACTTGCACCCTGGCCAGGGATAGCACAGGGTGGAAGGAAGGGAATCCTGAGCCCCAGACCAATGTCCTCAGGGTGCCACCATGGCTGTGGTCCATGGCTCTCCTCCTGTAGGTGTATTCCTCTTCCTCCAACTCACCTCCAGGGTCGCCAGCCCAGCTCACTCCAGGCACAGCACCCACCTGCAGTCTCGAATCTCATTATGGGTGACTGGGAAGTCTGTGCAGTCACTTTGGGCCATGCCCACCCAGACGGCCAGGCAATGGGAGTGAATGAGGCATGGCAACTGCTTCTGAAGCCTCTAGGCTTGCAAGCGAGCCAGGCCAAGGCCATGGGCTCCTCAGACTACTGGTGCTGAGATTCCTCTTCCTTAAGCTACTTTTAGCCCTGATAGCTCTTTTCTTTTTATTCTTTGTGTGTGTGTGTGTGTGACAAGGTCTCACTCTGTTGCCAAGGTCTCAGTCTGTCATCTGGGCGGAGTGCAGTGGTGCCATCTTGGCTCACTGCAACCTCCATCTCCTGGGATCAAGCGATCCTCCCACCTCAGCCTCCCAAAGTGCTGGGATTACATGCATGAGACACCACACCTGGCCAGATTATTCTTCAATGGATGTTTACTCACCCTCTTAAAATGGCAGAGTCTTCAATTAGCAAATTGTGGCCTAGATCTGTGTAAAGGTTGCTAACAGTTATTTTCAGCCTGAAATGTAGTTTAAAAAGAAACATAATTATCTTATTAATTTGATCAGTGAAGACAGTCAAACTAGATCATTTAATATCCCAAAGAGCTTTAAAACATTGGATGATTATCTACACTGAACGCATTAGCTAATTCACTGTCTGTTACCTATTCTCCTGGGAGTCCTTAGTAATCATATTAGTGGTTCTTGGGAAAGCACCTGTCTTACCTTAGCCTGGCAGAGAACACAATATACAACACCTCTATAGTTGGTGGGGGACTCCCATTGGCTTTGTTGAGGTTGCTTGTCCCTAAACTTGAATTTAAGAGACATTTTAGCTCCCTTAAAGTGAGAGATTTTTCGTGGTGATGGAGTCCCTTGGGTTAGATCACTTTTACCGTACCTTCCAACTATAGGAGCCTTAAATTCTCCACTTTCTGACACAGTTGAACAATGTTTGTTCTGCTCCCTCTAGGGAAATTCGGGACCTCCAGGGATAGTTGGACAGAAGGGAGACCCTGGCTACCCAGGACCAGCTGTAAGTATTTATCCAGTTCTGACCCGGCCACCTGGGGCTGGGTGCTTTACACGTGGTCCCTGAAAACTTCCCACCATCTGCTTTGCTCACAAGAAAATGTGCTCTCTTTGTATTTGCTTGGTTGTCAAACCGCCTCTCTGACATCATGATGCAGCAAAGAGATTTTGAATTTTAGAGTAACAAGAAACTTTAAAAAAATAGGTTTCATGGGATATCCTGTCATCTAGGGAGTATTGTAATTTGCCTTTATAGTTTCCTGGCATAGGTGCATTTGAGGTTTGTGTAGAGGAGAAACCAAAGAGGGGAAATCTAAATACCTTTTGCTTGCATCTTGTAGAAGCAGTGTAATTATGCCAGGCCTTGGTTTGACAATGCTTCCTGTGGTCTATGAAATCCCCAAGGGAGCTCCTGATTTGTGGTTAAATCCCACTAGTCATGCTGCCACCAGGAGCCAGGAGGGCATCCTCCCACAGCCCTTCCAAACCTCTTTATTGCTAATACCTTTGTTTTCTTATTTGAATTTCTCCATATATTGTCCCTCAATATTGAAATTGGTGAGTTTCAAAAAATAATGGAAAAGATAATTCAGGAGTTGGAAAATCATTCCTAGAAGGAAAGGTTCAGGGCTTAGTTTGGTTGAATTAGGGAAAAGAAAGCTGGTCAGGTGGGTCTGATTGCTGTCTTTAAGTAGGTGAAGTGTTGGGGGGAGCACATTAAGCCAGTTCCTGCAGAAGACCAAGCAGGCAGAAATAGCCTCCTGGAAAGACAACTAATGGCCCATGAGATGCCTGCTGGGCTGTCAGGGTGGTGAGGTTTAGGCATGGGACACTGAGGGAAGCCACGAGTCAGTCCCTAGAGCTCCTCGGGGTGGAATTCAGCTGGGATGCTTTAGACACGGAGGGAGCCAGGGCAGCTCAATGATCTCTCACTGCCCCTTCGGCAGGGGACAGCGTATCAAGCGTGTGAAAGGGAGCTCTTTTCTCAAGAGAAGCAGAATCTAGACCCAGGTTCACTCGTGGGCTTTACATGGATTGGTGGTGAGCTTCCTGGTTTCAGAACATGAGACTATTTCAAAGGCCAAATGACCTCCCAGGGAAACACATTTGCTCCAGAATCTTCTCTTTTTTGCTTTGCAAGGGATAAGATCAGGTTTAGAGGGAGAGGCTGTAAACAATCAAGGTTATCCAGGGGCCCCTTTGTCTTGCTCTGTGTATTTCTGGGGGCCAAAGCCTGTTTATTCGAATTCCCCATCTGCTGTGCCTCTCACCTTTCGTTCCTTGGTTTTACAGGGTCCCAAGGGCAACAGGGGCGACTCCATCGATGTAAGTTGCATGTGTCCAGAATGACTCATTAACCTCATGAGCCTTTGATTTGCTCTCTTTACATATTCTTTTATTTTCTTTTAAAGCAATGTGCCCTCATCCAAAGCATCAAAGATAAATGCCGTAAGTACATGATTTTCTGTTGTCTCACAATGCATATTTTTACATTCGAAATTCTCACATGGTAGAGTAGTCTCTCACCCTTTCTTCTCTTTGCTTCTTTTCTAGCTTGCTGTTACGGTAAGTTGATTTTGGTGACTTTCTCCTAAGGAAAGGAAGCCTCCCTTTTGTAGTAAGTACAGTTTGTCTTTAACCCTCCACCCTCTACTTTCCACAGGGCCCCTGGAGTGCCCCGTCTTCCCAACAGAACTAGCCTTTGCTTTAGACACCTCTGAGGGAGTCAACCAAGACACTTTCGGCCGGATGCGAGATGTGGTCTTGAGTATTGTGAATGACCTGACCATTGCTGAGAGCAACTGCCCACGGGGGGCCCGGGTGGCTGTGGTCACCTACAACAACGAGGTGACCACGGAGATCCGGTTTGCTGACTCCAAGAGGAAGTCGGTCCTCCTGGACAAGATTAAGAACCTTCAGGTGGCTCTGACATCCAAACAGCAGAGTCTGGAGACTGCCATGTCGTTTGTGGCCAGGAACACATTTAAGCGTGTGAGGAACGGATTCCTAATGAGGAAAGTGGCTGTTTTCTTCAGCAACACACCCACAAGAGCATCCCCACAGCTCAGAGAGGCTGTGCTCAAGCTCTCAGATGCGGGGATCACCCCCTTGTTCCTTACAAGGCAGGAAGACCGGCAGCTCATCAACGCTTTGCAGGTCTGTGCTCTGTGCGTGCTGTTGGCATCTCCCTTTCTTCTGGGGCTCTGAGAAGGTTCTCAGACACGTCCATGCTCCTTTGTGGCTTCATGTCCCATAGCTCCTAAAACGTCCCCAATGAGGCCATCTGCCTGAGAACTTCTCTTGTGAGGTCTCCAGGACAACCTCGTGGCTCCAGCACTACAGGGACGCCTACATGCTTGTAGCACTGCCCCCAGGTCCCTCCTCACATGTTGACAGCTCTTGCCGGTTAGTGATGCTAGTGTTGGTGACACTCTCTATCTACTAACAAGGTGGTGTGACTTGTTTGCTTTATTCATGAGGACCTGGACGTTTGCATCCTTCCTGTCTCCTCCCAAGATGGCCCCCTGTGCACACTCTGAGCTGTGTCTTACTGTGTACTGGGCATTTGCTTCCCATAACTGGCTGGTGAGGTTTGTATCATCAGTCTCACCTCATGGATAGGAAGATCCTGCTGTTAGTGAGGTGCTCGTGAGAGGCTAGGACCCTAGTCCATTAGACTCTGAAACCCATGTGCTGATGATACCCATTCCAGTCTCCACTCTGTCCCAATCGGCCCTGAAGGTGAATATCCAGGGTGGCCCTGGAGGCCTGTAGTCTCTCAGTGAGGTCCCCAAAACTATGCCGACTCAGCACCCCCAATCTACACCACACCACTGTGCAAAGCTTTCTTCAGTGAGGCCCCAAGGGTCAGCCCACGGAGAGGCCAAGTGTCGCTTGTAATTCTATTAAATAACTGGTTTAATTGTGTGTTTTTTTTTTTTTTTTTTTTTTTTTTTTTTTTTTTTTTTTTTTTTTTTTTTTTTTTTTTTTTGAGACAGAGTCTTGCTCTGTCACCCAGGCTGGAGTGCAATGGCGTGATCTCGGCTCACTGCAACCTCCACCTTCCAGTTTTAAGTGATTCTCCTGCTTCAGCCTCCTGAGTAGCTGGGATTACAGGCACTCGCCACCATGCCTGGCTAATTTTTGTATTTTTCTTTCTTTTTTTTTTTTTTAGTAGAGACGGGGGTTTCACCATATTGGTCAGACTGGTCTCGAACTCCTGACCACGTGATCTGCCTGCCTCGGCCTCCCAAAGTGCTGGGGTTACAGGCGTAAGCCACCGCACCCAGACAACTAGTTTAATTCTTACATCAATTAATATTTATTCAGTGCAGTTCTGGCGATACTGTTCAAGACAGATGGGTGATGGGTAGGAAGGAGTCCACCCGGGAGTCAGGAGGCCTTGGCCTGGTTCCACACTCCCCCCACCCATTTAAAGTAATGTGCACGCCACTTAGCGTCCCTGCGTCTCAGATTTTTCACCTGTAAATTGAGACTGGGGCAGGATGATTGCTAATGTCTTTCCTTCCACATTGGATATTCTATGCTTTTACCACAGCCTGTGTCGGCGAAAGACATTGGGTCATCACTGCCATTCCTCAGGGCTTGTTCTGCCGAACACAGGATGATTTGTGCATAGAGCGCTGGGCTTGGGAATTCAGTGTTGAAGTTGGGCTACCGGCCATGTGCTCTTGATGGGGGGATTCATTCACATAAGTCTGTCCTTGTGTGGGCTGAGGGACCCAGAACCACGTGAGTTTCTTAGCATGGTTTCAACGAGATCAAAAAATTGTTCATTCATTAATTATTTGCTCATTCATTCATTCAAACTAGCTATTTGTTAAATGAATAATTACTAATCGTGTGCCAGGTACGGCGATAGACAGGACTCTTTGCACCCACTGGGAGTGATTTTGTTACTTGCTTTAACCACACCTGAGAGGGTGGGGAAGGGATGGAGCTCCCATATTGTTGCTAAAAATAACGATAAGATTAAGTTCCTACTATTTGCCAGAGGATACACCAGTTACTAACATTTATTATCTAATTTAACCCTCCAAATGACACCATTAGGAAGGTATTACCCCCCATTTTACAGCTGAAAAAAACTGAAACCCATTTGAACGGGATATGAACTCCAGCTCACCCTAGTAGAATAAAACCTATGTCTTTCTATTATACTCAGAGCCTAACCCCACCCCCAAATGAGAAGATATTCCCAATACTGCCCTATTGGGAAGTTAATCTATTTTATTGATGTAGCTTTGATTTACTCCTCTGCCATATTTTCAGATATTACTGATCATGTACGCCCCTACCAAAATTGTTCTTTTGTTTAAACCAGATCAATAACACAGCAGTGGGGCATGCGCTTGTCCTGCCTGCAGGGAGAGACCTCACAGACTTCCTGGAGAATGTCCTCACGTGTCATGTTTGCTTGGGTAAGCTGTTTCTCTAACAGGAAGATCTGCTCAGCTGCAATTGCAAAACATAATATCCATGGGAGAGTGAGAGAATAATGATGATCTGTAAAAAGAGCTTGAGTTCAATTGATTCACAAAGCCTCGTATTTACCAGAGTAAATACTACTGCAGCAGTTTCTATATTAAAAATGGACCTCCCAAAACAGAGCTTCTCTTTGATGGCGGATAATTCATTTTATAGGTAACAAAGGAGGAGGCAGTTTCTGCTTAAGTTTTGACATTAGAATCTAGAATGAAAACATTGGCACTAGTGACTTTCTAGAACATATTTCTTCAAAGAGTGGCAGAGAAGTAATATAATTTTTCATTTCTTTTAAAAATGCCAGCACATGGTATGCTACAAAGATTTTAGGTTAGTGATTTGTTTCATCTACTAAGTATTAGGTGATAGAAACTGAAATCTGGCCATAATCAAATCAAGGCAAGATATAAATTGGTTTTGGTTGTGATGTTTTTTTTTTTTTTTTTTTTTTTTTTTTAGACAGAGTCTTGCTCTTGTTGCCCAGGCTGGAGTGCAGTGGCACAATCTTGGCTCACTGCAACCTCTGCTTCCTGGGTTCAAGCGATTCTCCTGCCTCAGCCTCCAGAGTAGCCTAGATTACAGGCATGCGCCATCAGGCCCAGCTAATTTTTGTATTTTTAGTAGAGACAGGGTTTCACCATGTTGGCCAGGATGATCTCGATCTCTTGACCTCGTGATCCACCTGCCTCGGCCTCCCAAAGTGCTGGGATTACAGGCGTGAGCCACCGCTTCCGGCCCGCTTTTGATCTTATGTGATCATTTTAATCGCCCAAGTCTCCCAGCAGATTGATGAGCTGTGTATCCTGCTGTGGGTGTCACAGAACAAATAGGCTGCCATGCTTCTTTCTAGACATCTGCAACATCGACCCATCCTGTGGATTTGGCAGTTGGAGGCCTTCCTTCAGGGACAGGAGAGCGGCAGGGAGCGATGTGGACATCGACATGGCTTTCATCTTAGACAGCGCTGAGACCACCACCCTGTTCCAGTTCAATGAGATGAAGAAGTACATAGCGTACCTGGTCAGACAACTGGACATGAGCCCAGATCCCAAGGCCTCCCAGCACTTCGCCAGAGTGGCAGTTGTGCAGCACGCGCCCTCTGAGTCCGTGGACAATGCCAGCATGCCACCTGTGAAGGTGGAATTCTCCCTGACTGACTATGGCTCCAAGGAGAAGCTGGTGGACTTCCTCAGCAGGGGAATGACACAGTTGCAGGGAACCAGGGCCTTAGGCAGTGCCATTGAATACACCATAGAGAATGTCTTTGAAAGTGCCCCAAACCCACGGGACCTGAAAATTGTGGTCCTGATGCTGACGGGCGAGGTGCCGGAGCAGCAGCTGGAGGAGGCCCAGAGAGTCATCCTGCAGGCCAAATGCAAGGGCTACTTCTTCGTGGTCCTGGGCATTGGCAGGAAGGTGAACATCAAGGAGGTATACACCTTCGCCAGTGAGCCAAACGACGTCTTCTTCAAATTAGTGGACAAGTCCACCGAGCTCAACGAGGAGCCTTTGATGCGCTTCGGGAGGCTGTTGCCATCCTTCGTCAGCAGTAAGTCCTGCGTGGCACAGCATGTGCCCTGGCCTGGCTTTATGCTCGGGCCAGGAGAAGTGTAGGAACAGTCATGGAAAAGACAACCGATGTGTTGACAGGAACTGTTTCATTCATTGAACAGACATATATTGACACCTGCCATATGCCACAAATGCTTTTAGGAGCCAGAGTAAGCAGGGAACATGCAGACAGTATCCTTGTTCTCATTGATTCCTTTATTCCACCACATTTGACCAAGCGCCACCTAGTCATAAGGCACTCTTGGTGTCCTTAACAGTTTACAAATGGGTGGGCAAATGGATCAAATGCACATTTATTACGCATGACATAATAGGCTGGCATGTCGCGAGAGAAGTGATTTCTGTTAGGGGCACCGGGGAAAGCTTCTAGAAAGAGTTGCTTTGATCGGGGCTTAGCCACCAGCCCCGTGCTTGGATACCACTGGGTCTTTGCTCATGGGGCTCCCCCTCCCTGGAATGCTCTCCACCGCACTTCAGCAGCAAACCCATATTCATCTTCAAAGTTCAATTCCAATGGCTTCTGCTCGCCGTGGAAGCTGCTGCTCCCAAGGCCTGCTCATGGTTAATCCGGACACCCTATTTAGGGCATCTATTACCTGGCCTGTTGATCATTTATTTGTGGGTCTGTGGTCCCCTAGACTGCTCTTTGAGGAGGTGCAGCCTATTATAGTTTCCAGAGCCTGTGTACAGTGTGCAGCCCAGGGTCAGTACAGGCAAGGCTTGGAACAGATGAGGGGGATTTATAAAGTATAAATAAACATGTATATGCTAAATGTTTATTATTTAAGGCAATGTTGAGGTCTATGAAAACAGTATTCACATTTGTGAAGGTCTGGCCCCCAAAAGATTCAAAGAAAAATGTGAAGCAAAGGTAATCCCCCAGGTTCACCCACAGGTCACTGTTCCTGTCTTCCAAAGATTAAAAACAAAAGCTTTGTTCAACAAAGCATTGAGAAAATCTGAAAAGCAGTTGCATTATAATCTGATGTCCAAGAGTCTAGAACTTGTTGAACTCTCCACTTGATTTTTCTTCTATCCCTGTCTTCTCTCTCATGTTGGATAAATATATCTTTAACTTAATCACCCAAATATTGCCAAATAGAACATATTGGCTTACCATGTTTTATGGATCCAATGCCATCATACTTTATGTTTAAAATCACTGGACATAGTTTGTCTGATATAGTTAATTCAACAATAATTATGGGCTAAATAAATGTTATGTGATTCATTTAACTTGTTGACAGATTAATTTTAATTTTCATGTTATTAGCATGCGGTTCAATTGTTTTCTTTGTTTTTTTTCTTTAGGTGAAAATGCTTTTTACTTGTCCCCAGATATCAGGAAACAGTGTGATTGGTTCCAAGGGGACCAACCCACAAAGAACCTTGTGAAGTTTGGTCACAAACAAGTGTAAGTGATTATAATTATTGTCTTAAAAATTGTAGCGCTGCAGGGAATGCACAGGTCCTCCAACCACCTCCTGACTTTATGGGATGAGGACCTTGAAATCCAGAAAATGTGACTTCCCAAAGGTAATGTGGGTCATGCTTCTCAAATAATCTGTTTTATCAGTTAGCTTTTGCCATGTAACAAGCTACCCAAAACTTAGTGGCTTAAAACAACAACCACCTATTTATTTTCTTACTTAATTTATTTAGAGACAGAGTCTTGCTGTGTTGCCCAGGCTGGACTGCAGTTGTGCAATCTTGGCTCACTGTAACCTCTGCCTCCTGGATTCAAGCAATTCTCATGCTTCAGCCTCCCGAGTAGCTGGGACTACAGGTGCATGCAGCCATGCCTGGCTAATTTTTGTATTTTTTTTTCAGTAGAGATGGGGTTTCGCCATGTTGTCCAGCCTTGTCTAGAACTCCTGAACTCAAATGATCTGCCTGCCTCAGCCTCCCAAAGTGCTGGGATTATAAGCATGAGCCACTGGGCCTGGCCAACAACCACTTATTTAATTTGCAATTCTGTGGGTTAGCAATTTTTGTTTGGGCTCAACTGGGTGGTTCTTCTGTTTTCTCCTTGGATCCCTTATGTTTGTGGTCAGCTGCTTGTCAGCTATAGAGCTGCTGGTCTAGAGTGGTCTCAGATGGGCTGGCTCATCTCTGCTCCATGTGGTCTCTCATTCTCAGCAGGCTAGCTTGGGTTTGTTCACCAGGTGACCTGGCAGGGTTCCCTGAGAGAAGACAAGTGTGCAAGGCCTCTTGTGACCTAGGTTAGAACTGGCACACTGTTACTTCTGCCACGTTCTATTGACCAAAGCATGTCCAAAGGCTAACCTAGATTTAAGAATGGAAAACTAGGCTTGATGGAAGGACTTGCCACATTACATTGAAAGGGCATGGGCAGAGAGAAGGTAGATAATTGAGACCATAGTTCCAAACAATTTACCGTATCTGGTGTGAAATGATTACGTAAAAGAAGGATTGGATACATCAAAAAATAGACTCCATGTCTTCTTAAAATTATTAATGCTGTGATAACATGTAATGATGGTAATAATAGGAAGTCATGTGCATGTTCTATGAAGACTGACGGGAGGGGTGGGAGTGGGCAGGACTGTGGCACCCATGCCGATGCTGCTGCCTGGCCCATGTGCCGTGTTTCATGCCCTGCTCCATCTCGGGTGCCAACCCTAGGAGCAAAGAGGGCAGTGGGGGCATGTAACAGAGGGCTAGCTGGGGTGATGTGGCTGCAAGAACTGAGCCCCTGCAGCGTGTCAGCAATGTGTGCTCCTTAAGAGAATGTCACAGTGTGTCATGCTTTGGAGGGAAGTGCAGATTCTGCAGATTCTGAACTTCGTACACAGATGAGATGTGAACGCAAATGATCCTTGAAAAATGACTATCTGGCTTACGACTAGCTGACTCTCAAGATGGGGAAAGAGAGCCCATCTCTTCCTACTGCAGACCCTTCTGTCTATCACCACTTAAGTCCTTCAGCTCTTTCTTTTGACCTCAGAAGGAGTGGCTTTAAATCTCAGCATAGCAAGAATGAATATCATTGCTAAGGCCACTAGGACCCTTATCGTGGCACTGGATGCTTCATTTAGCTTTGTAGCCTCCATTTTTCTAGGCTCTAATGATTCGTATTTTTTCTCTGAAACCTTCCCTGAAATTGGCTCAACCTTTTTATCTTTAGGAAAACAGAATGAATGAAGTAACCTAGTATTTGAAGTCTTATGATATTAACTTGAAAATATATTAATACTTCCTAGGACAAGTAGCAAGATATGACTATAAAATAATATATTTTCTTCTAAGATCAAGAAAGCTATGAAGTGTGGGTCCTTGTTGTTATGTCTGTTTGATTAGGCTGCTATTCTCTCTAGATATTGGTAATAGATCAAGAAATTGTAAAAAAAAATACACATACACAAAAATTAAGAGAAATAAAAAATATATATACTCCCAGTAATAAGCCCTGGGAGCAAAATAGTACATGCTAACTTTATAATTTTCCAGCTCAACATAGCATTTGATTGAGTGGATATTTTCTTATAATGTAAGTAGCTAACTACTGATTTCATTTAATTTTTGGTGTATGTTTTGGTTGGTTAATTGCTATAATGAGAACATTGTTGGATATTATTCATTATTGTCTCTTATTTTCTCTCTGCCTTTATTTTAGAAATTGAAAGATGTTTTTGTAGAACAATATAAGCTTCATTTTTAATGGTTCTATTTTTCAATATGCTGTTCCATATCTTTTTTTAGGGAGGCACAGATCCTTAAAAGAAGGAATTTAATATATGCACTGCTATACATAATCTATAAAAACTATTGCATGCATTTTGCTAAAACAAATTTAATGTAGCTCATGGGGTTATGTCTTTATTTATTTTAGATAGCAGGTAAAAGTAGAGGTAATATTTAATTTGTCTTAACAGAAATGTTCCGAATAACGTTACTTCAAGTCCTACATCCAACCCAGTGACGACAACGAAGCCGGTGACTACGACGAAGCCGGTGACCACCACAACAAAGCCTGTAACCACCACAACAAAGCCTGTGACTATTATAAATCAGCCATCTGTGAAGCCAGCCGCTGCAAAGCCGGCCCCTGCGAAACCTGTGGCTGCCAAGCCTGTGGCCACAAAGATGGCCACTGTTAGACCCCCAGTGGCGGTGAAGCCAGCAACGGCAGCGAAGCCTGTAGCAGCAAAGCCAGCAGCTGTAAGACCCCCCGCTGCTGCTGCTGCAAAACCAGTGGCGACCAAGCCTGAGGTCCCTAGGCCACAGGCAGCCAAACCAGCTGCCACCAAGCCAGCCACCACTAAGCCCATGGGTAAGAAAGCCCTTGCTAGGGCTGCCATCTTGTGACATCCTCATTTCCTGCTCCAGGGTGTGTTCCTCAAAGCCTGCATGTAACACACTCAGAATACAGTCCTTGATCTGGGCTTGTACACCTGGATGATGTATTTTAAGAGGTGTTGGTTAGGGATTCCAGCCTCCCACTCCCCATCCTGTGCCCTCAATCCTGTCTTGCGATAGGGATGGGAAGCTCTCATTCTCTCTGGAATGTCAGTGGGGGCACAGTTCACCTCACCTGAAAATTGAGTTGTCTTAAACTAAAGGGAAAAGTTTCCGTGTTGAAATAAGGTTTTAGCTCCTATTTAGGGAGTGAGAGAGACAGAAAGAAAAACGCTGCAGTTGGTTCTTAGGCAGCAAGGCAGATGTTTCTGGGCTGGTGTATGGAGCCGGACTCGCCTACCTTAGAACATGCCTTGAAAAGGTCTGGGGGAGCCCTTTGCAACTGCAAACTTTGTCTCTGCCTCATACCCACAGAAAAGGGGCCCTAAGCTGTGTGCTGTGGCAATACTGGGTGTTCAGTCCAGCAGCTTGAAAAGTCAGAGCCTGGACCATCAGTCATTCCCCAAGGCTCAAATCTATGCTCATGCTGACCATGAGAAAAATATTGAAAGCAATGGCAAAAACCACAATGACTCTGCACCAACTTAATATATTTCAGACTGAATTAGATACAAAAGGTAGATGGCTTTAATGAGACCAAGAGTATGTTATTTTATCATTTTCCTAAAGAAGATACTGGAAGACACTACCGAATGTCACAAGCTGTAAAGGAAGGCTCATGATAAAATGGAAATTATCTTCATTTGATGAACAGTATGAGAGAGAAAGCAGAATTCCTTTAAAAGAATTTCATGTCATACCCTAAAATTTTATGACTTAATATATTTTAAATTATGGGGCTCATTTTGTAGCAAACACAACTTAGGATTAGTATGCTGCATTTCCAAAGTATCTTCTTAACAGGCGAGATTTTTAATAGAAAAAAAAGTTGATGAATAATGAGATTTTTCATTACTGTGAATTTCACATTTCATGTATGCTGATAGATTATAAGAGCAATGTTTTTTAGGGGCTTGAACAAGAAATTAGTTCCCCGCCTCAGCTAAATTTCAAGTCAATTTGTCTGTTAACACATCCCTTTCAGATTTCCTCTCTCGCTCATGCACTACAGTCATGGAGGATTTTATTTTTTATCTTCACGCTCTGATCTATCTTTCAGTTAAGATGTCCCGTGAAGTCCAGGTGTTTGAGATAACAGAGAACAGCGCCAAACTCCACTGGGAGAGGGCTGAGCCCCCCGGTCCTTATTTTTATGACCTCACCGTCACCTCAGCCCATGATCAGTCCCTGGTTCTGAAGCAGAACCTCACGGTCACGGACCGCGTCATTGGAGGCCTGCTCGCTGGGCAGACATACCATGTGGCTGTGGTCTGCTACCTGAGGTCTCAGGTCAGAGCCACCTACCACGGAAGTTTCAGTACAAGTAAGTACATGATCAGTACAAGTCGGTACCTGATTTCTATGTAGAGTATCAAATAGGACACAAAGGAGACACTTACTTATTGAATCTATTCTGAAATAACCACAAATTCAAAAAACAACAACAGCAACAACAACAAAACAACTCAGCCTGGGTGCTTTGGTGGCAGCCTAAGCTTATAAAACACAGAATGGAAATGGGATTCCATGTGGGATGCAGTCCTGCCCTCTGGGTCCTGGGCTACTTTTTGGAGGAAGCCAGATCCACGTCGCCTGAGCACAGCCCTTTCCAACATTGCACCCGGGAAAGATGGCCACGTCTCCCGGTGAGGGCTCCTGGTTGCCCACCACCCCGTCCAGGTTTCCATGTTCAGGAAAACACCAGCCAGTCACTGGCTCCTTAGGGAGTAATGGAGGTGTCCCTGAAGTCTCACCGCCCCGGGGGTGGAGGATGTCGATAGCTGAGTCTCCCTGCCCTGATCTCACCATAGTTGGGCTCTGCCCTTGGCTGGCTGTTGTCCCCAGGGGCCCCCCCATTTCACTGAGGCCTGCACTTGAGTGCTGTCACAGCTTTTCTTAATTATTCATGGTCCCCTCTCTCATCTTTCTAAATTCTTCTGGGTTCCCCCCTCCCATTCTTCTTGACCCCCACTGCTCCAGGAATGTGAAGGGAAGGCTCCTCTTTTCTTCAGGCCAATGCTATTCAGATCAAGGAACCAGCTTGAGGAAAGGGAATTCCCACCAGTGCCATGGATTAGGCCCATAGAGATATGAGTCCAAAGACCCAGTCAACCCTAGGGCTCTATTTTCCTGGACAGCAGCAGAAGAGGCTGTCTGGGAAGTGAGAGGATTTGTTCAGAAGTTCAGGGATCCCCTCCCGTCGCTTATTAGCTCATGGATCCAACTTGTAGCCCACAGCATAAGTCGTGGATGTAGAGGTGTCTTGGATCTGTGTCTTTCAATCACCACTCCCCAACATAAGACATTAATCACAGCAGGCAACCTTATATCAGTCACTAAGGATTCCCAAGCCCTCCTGTTTCTGATTTACCTACGAGTTGCATATATTTTTCTTTTATAGAGAAATCTCAGCCCCCACCTCCACAGCCAGCAAGGTCAGCTTCTAGTTCAACCATCAATCTAATGGTGAGCACAGAACCATTGGCTCTCACTGAAACAGGTGAGTTGTGAAACTATTAGGTCCATTAATGGCACTAAGAAAATACCCATCTTGATTCCAATTTAACTTCCTGGGTTCTAAGTCTTAGCCCAGGCATGACTTCTATGGGGGAAAAGGTCCACGTCAGCTCTGTGCAGCCCAACATCATCTTATTCTGCATAATCCCAGGTGTAAATGGAGTCTTACTTTACCTGTGATCAGACTCAGTGAAAATTTGATGGGAGGTGCTTTTGGGGCTATCACTAGAATTCACGTATCCATTAGACATTTCTCCTGTGCCTCATACTGGGACTCGAGTTGATTTGTGGTCTGTGATGCTGTGAAGATTGGCGTTTCATTTACTCAGTGATTTAATCTAATAAAAAAACTGCTTAGAAGAACACAAGACAAATTTGGCTGGAATCCATGAAATGCATGGGTTTGGATCTGACCCATGGGGTGTTCTGGTCCGGACATCCTAAGCACACACCCCAGCTTAGTGTGTGAGTCTGTGATACTGTCTCTCATGTGCTTGAACCCCAGAGTGTGTGCATAGTCTATGCTAAGTTAGTGACTGGTTAGGTGTAATTCAGGAACTGACAGCTGTTACTTGCTTTTGTTCTTGGGCAGTGAAACTCTGAGAGACCTGGAATCTCTCATTCAGCAGAATGTGGACTTGGCTTGTTCATCGGTGAGAAACTGATTATTAAAATAGTTGATAGGCTTTGCTTAAGAGTGTTCAGCAAAGAATGATGGTACTAACATAAAAAATGGAAATGCCATGGGAATTTAGATATAATACTGTTTTATACACCTGAAGCAAAAGCTTTCTGCTAACTAGGGGACAATTCATTATTTTTTGGTGTATCGTCTACTGTCAGGAGGAGGAAAGCATTTCTCTTCACAATGCTCATTTCTGTAATTGATTTTAAAGGTGTTTGTTGAGTGAGCCTGTTAGGCGACCCCACCATGGTGCTTGAGCTCAAAGAGAAGCCACAAAGAACACAGTAGATTTTCCCCAAAGGTGTGGGTCAGGACAGATTCAACTCTAACTTCAAAGTTGCTGAAATCTGTGTATGTCATTTCTCACTCATTGGTTAACTTCTCCCTGAATACAGTGTGGGAAATAGAAAAATTTTAGCCAATTTAGTGCTTCATTGAGAGAAAAAGACTTGGAGTAAACTAGAGATCAGAGATCAATAATGAGTAAACTAGACAGCAAGATTTGGGGATGTTTTTGATTCTCTTATGTGTGGTCCAAAAGGGACAAGATTGTATAAACAGTGCCTAATTCATATAAACAACAATGTCTTTCAGCAAGGGTCTGGCTGGGCTGTTTTGTTTTTCTTTTCATATATATATATATATATATATATATATATATATATATATATATATATGTAGAGAGAGAGAGAGAGATGGGGGGAGAGAGTTGTGAGGTTCAGAATTAAGAAGGTGCTTTTGATCCAGACCTTTAACACTGAGATCGCCTGTCTACCTGTGATAAAGAGAAAAGAGCTTTTGAAATTGGGGCTTGTGTTTCTTTCAAGGCTGCAAGTAGTTGATACAGATGAATCTAAATAAAACCTTTCTCCTTCATACTAATTGGGGCATAACCCTCAGACCCAGGATGTGAATGTCCTCTCACCATTTCATGTGTGTGTGTCTGTGTATGTATGTGTGTACACATGCATATGTGTGTTTTCCTTCCCAGGGTGAAGACATAAATTACCTTTTTTTTTTTTTAAAAAAAGAACAAGGCCCTGCATAATTGATCTCTGATCTCTTAAACTTAATGACTTCATAGTAACAAACAAGCACTTAACCTGCCTTGGCCTGATGAATATATGTTGGTGTACACACAGTTATGGCATTTTTGAGAGCTCTTTTTGAATTACTAGGTTGGTGCGAAAGCAATTGCAGTTTTGCCACTGACAGTAATGGCAACAACTGGAATTACTTTCGCACCGACCTAATAAATGGGACATTTACTTAAAAATGTCTAAAATTCAAAATGGATAACCAGAATTAGGAGAGGAATCCTTATCCTCCCCACCCCTACCAACCTCTCTCCCTCCCCTCCTCACCTTCTCCTATAATTGTCATTTTAACTATTTCCCCTGGGGTGGGGGGAAAATTTTTTAATGGTTTTTATATATTTGGATATAGGAAAAGGAGTGACAATGAACCACTCTTTATTAAATAACTAAAAAAAGATAATAACTGCATGCTTACTCAGTAGTTGCATGTATATTTTGCATCCAAATTCCAATGACCACGATATGCATTATTTCTCCAAATATACATTTTCTAGACCATTCAGGCAAAATGAAGTTTTAAAAATATATTTTTTATATTTACATGTGTCCATTTTCATTCCTCTTACTTTCTGCAGCATCCATTAATTAGAAACATGTTTACAGAGATGGGTCCCTTTCTTAGTATTAAATAGTAGATGCTACTGTTTGCTTTTTTACTTCTGTGAATAAAAGATGCTGTCTTAAGAATCTGTATTTTTCATAGTTTATCATGTTAGATTCTGGGAACCTGGTGACCTGTGTTTGAATCTGTGAAGGAATTTGTAGGTAGAAACACTCTGAAATGAAAAGGTTCCTAGTCCTGGGCACCTAAGGCAGGGGAAGAGGAGAGGACCAGTGTTACCATTGGTTTTCGTTTGCATATGTTAATGTTTGCCCATTTTGACAGTCACATTGAATAGATGCTTGTTTATCAGGAATGTGAGTCAGGCATGTAATGCGAGGGCAGTCTGGTTGGGGCATTTTTTGTCCTCCATAAGATCTGGCCCTGTTTGGTATGTGGCAGGGAGACTCTCGCCTTTGAGATGAAGGTTGATTCTGTTAACAGGCCTTGATTCCATTAATATACCTAGGGCATCGTTAGCAACCACTCAGGATTCCAGCTTTACAATATTACATGATTTGATTTTCAGTGGTTAATATTTGTATTTTTTTAAATAAAACCAAATGAACCCCCACAAAAACATCTCACTCCACTTTTTGCTTTGCTCGGCATCTAAAAGAATTATGCTCCAGCCACTTTTCTGTCACACATCTGCTGCCTGTAAATGGCAGTGAGCAGCAGTGGATCTTTCATTCGTTACCGTGGCCTCCTGAAAGCATGGGTGTGCTGGGCCTTTCTGCCACCTGCTTTGTCGCTGCTGATTTTGACAGTGCTACGTAGTTGCTAATTTTGGTTTCAGGCTTTTGTTACCACCTCCCTCTTCTCCCTTCTCATTTTTAGCTAAGGAAGCTTTGGATAGATATTTTCTATGCATATTACTATTAAAGCTAAGACTGTCTAGAATTTCTAAACAACAACAACAACAACAAAAATCTAACTTAAAATTTACTTTTTGCAGTATTGCAAAATGAATCCTAAATTATTGGCTTAATCACCTGTGTTAAAGAAGTTTCAATGCAGAAACTAGACAAAACAACTAACAAAATCACCATGTCCTTTATTATTTATTCTTGAAATTAGCAATCTGTAGAACTGATCACATTTTGTCCGAGTAGACATGACTGGGCCAATTGTATAGCCCTGAAGGAACCATCATTTTGTGTTTACTAACGTTTTACTTATTGATTCTAAGATGCACAATTTTCTTCTCATTGGGACACTTCTGAAACTGAAATGTGACTTAGAATTGACAATATATCATGGTTTATTGGTAGCATTTTGTGTTACTTAGTGGAACATAAAATAATGGTGCATCATAAAATTAAGAGCTCTTATATTGGATACAATACAGTATTTGGTTGGCCATGTTCCATGTGAATATATATCATCAATTAGCATAAAATGGTATATTTGGGGGAAATACCTGACTTTATGTTAATAATAATTTAAAGAACAAACTAATCCCACAGCTGAAGTAAGTTAAATAGCTACAGGGATTTAGGAAATGGTCCTCTCCAGGCTGTCTGTTGTTCATCGCTGTGTGAGGATGTTTTCTGGTTAGTTGTCATGTGTGGGTTATGATGAGCCCAAAGGAGTGTTTTTTATCTTGAAGTCTTAAAAAATAGAAGTCTGTTGGTCAAGATCTGAAAGAGTAAAATTTAACCACAGCTACATTTTAAAATAAAGTTAAAAATTGGCCGGGTGTGATGGCTCATGCCTATAATCCCTGCACTTTGGGAGGCTGAGGCAGGAGGATCACTTGAGGTCAGGAGTTCGAGACCAGCCTGGCCAACATGGTGAAACCCTGTCTCTACTAAAAATGCAAAAATTAGCCAAGCATGATGGCTCATGCCTGTAATCCAGCTACTGAGGAGGCTGAGGCAGGAGAGTCACTTGAACCTGGGAGGCAGAGGTTGCAGTGAGCTGAGATCATACCTCTTCATTCCAGCCTGGGCAACAGAGTGAGACTCAGTATCTAAATAAGTAAATAAATTAAGTAAGTTAAAAATTTGGTAAGTTTCCTTGGTACCCTTTGAACTGACCAATGCTCAAAATGTAGACGGCGGAAAGTGTTTTCATTCAGGCAAATCATACCTGCATCCAAGGTATGGAAGTACTTTATACTGTAACAACAATGCCGAGTGAGAAGGTGATTGAATTTTCTTGTTTTGGGGACCATTAAACTGATGAGGAACATGTTGATGATTGCAGCATAAACACCTCTCAGTCTGTCTTCCTTCAGTTTGCTCAAGGAAGTACTTACATCGTGATTTGGAAATCAATATGTTTGGGAAATGTCAAAGCTGATGCCTTTAAAAATGCATTGAAACACTATGGGAATATCAAACTATGAAAAAGACAAGATTTTCCAATCAATATGTTTTCCACTTTGAAGAATACATATATTTTTTGCTGATTATAAAGTTAACAGATATGCATTGTCAAGCATTCAGGAGGTACAGAGAAATATATTACACGATTCTCATTGTGACAGCATTGCTGGCTTTTGATGAAAACCAATAGTGACCCGATGCATAGCCTTCCTATTTTTTTCTATGAATATTATTGCTTGTGGGAAGGTGCATGCATCGCACATGCACATCCACTCCTGCACATCATTATTACAAAAATGGACTGTGGGGCTTAGGGTGCCTTGCGCCCCAGTGTTTTTGAATGGTTGTTTTTAGGATGTTCTAGGTAGGCACCTGTGGCTTCTGGGAACAGGTGGGATTCCCAGAACAGGGTTTTAACCTAACATTGTGCTTGCCTCCATTTCCTCTCTTCTATTTGGTTACTTTCCTGAAGCCCAGTGACCAATAGTAAGGAAGTTTCAGCAGACAGTGGTCTGAGTCAGGCAGCCTTTCCCCTCTCTGTTTTCCAAGCAAACTTAGTTACATTGGTATTCTAGGTTAGGAAGCCGGGGAAGGTTGTGGATAATTTTCAGTCCCCATTGTCTTTTAGGCTCCCACTAGGTTCTCAATAATAAAGAAGAGCAAATTAAGGAAGACTCAGCCATGCGCTCCTCTCACATAAAGAGAAGGCTCTAGCTTCCTACAGGTTATACCTGGGGGGCAGACTGATTTCAGAGGGAAAAGATGAACAACTATTGCATCCAAAGACGTGTCGTTCTAGGGAAAAGTCCAGGTTAAGTTCAACGAGGGCCAGCCATCTCCCTTGGTACTCCAGGACATTTAAATACTTTTTTTTTTTTTTGCTTTAAAACAGTTGCTTTAACATATGCACTCATAGCTGAGTAGAGTCCAGCCAAAACGACATGTCTCAGAAGTCAAGATTATGTGGAGTTTGCATTAGAAGCCTTCTTAAGAACATAAAATCCTCCGTTTTCATGCTTCAGAAGTAGAGAAGTACAGGTTTTTGTCTTTGAATAGTGCCGGGTTCTCACCTCACTAATATATTTCTCTTGGTTTTCCAAATATCTTCTTGTCCACAGTAACAGTGTCCTTATTTTCCACTAGTAAATCTTACAGGGTCTCAGTAGTGACTCTCACTGAAATAAGGGCAGAAAACACCAGTGCCGTGGTGTGGAACTGGAGGGCTAGGGTGGAGGGCCAAGGAAGCTGGAGAAGCCAATCAGACGGGGAGTGGAGTGTGCTGCTGTGAGGCCACTCATGGGCTGGGTGTCCGTGGCTCTGGGCAGACCTCTCGTGACTGGTTCAGCAGAGCCCAGGGGACTGGGAATTGAACAGCTAAACACAGATGGTCAGGACTGAAGTGCACTTGAAACAAATAAAATAGAGCAAATAGGGTCCATTGGCCAACGCTCTGGGAAGGAAGGAAGAATAGGGAGATCATTTGACGCCGGCCTCACGCTAACAGGGAAGCCACCAGTAAATGAGGAATAAATTTTGATGGTTAAATTACCTTGCCTTGTCAGTTCTCTCCAGGACCTTCCTTGACAGCCAGGCATTTTCCTTCAGTTATTGGCATATTTGAGAGAAAGAAGGTTGTTTTTGTAAATTGTCTTCATTTTATTCTGACTTCCTGGAGTCTTCAAAGGCTCTCGTGGGGACCACTGGCTTTCTGGGCCCTGAGAGCGTCTGCAACTAGGAGGTGTTGTAACTGTGGAGCCACCAGCCACCAGCCTGGAATTTGGGTGACAGCAGCAACCAGGAAATGTTTTAGACCAATTCTGAGCCTCAGTCCTGTGCACCTTTGAGTCTGGTCCATCGTGGGTGATCCAAGCTATGATTATCCACTGAAGACTTAGGTTTTCCTTGTCCTTTTTGGTATCTATCTGAAGCACAGATGCTCACCACCTCCGCAGCTGTGAGCAGCCTGCCTCGCTGGGGACAAAGGAGATGGAGAAGCATCTCTTTGTAGGGGAGAGCTGGATAATTCCAGCCTGTTAGCTACTCACAGGAACATGCAGAATTATTGGCTCCAGGGAGTTTTGGAGAAAGAAGGTTTACGTTTTCAAACTTACAGATAACAGTTGACATCAATGCTTCTCTTTCCCAGAACAATCTGGAGTTTGCCAGAAAACTCTGTAAACAGGAGTCGTGCTGTGTGTGAACTGTAAACTCTTCTCTCCAGGCGTCGAGGGGACCTTTGCTTTACTTTGCAGCTGGGCTACATCAGACGTGTGCATTGGAAACATAAACTTCCTTAACTGGGAAAAGAATGCTTCTCTGTCTTCAAAATAGTTCTGCTATGTGACATTTTTGCCATCATGAATTTTACATCAGTGCTAGCTCTTTGTTTTACGTGTTTCATTTGGCAGGTCACAAAGGCTCTTGGCTACCACACATACGTGCATACACACACACACACACACACACACACACTCATAAAGGATTTTCTTTTCTGCTTTACCTTTAATTTTCAGTCTACTTGGCTTGTAATGAAAGGTAGAGCCTTATTTTTGAACTATATCCCAACAGAATCGAATTTCCATTTTGCCAAGAATTATAAAACCCTGAGGTTTTAAAATTCAGTTTCTTTTCTGGGGATTTAACATGGAAGGACTTGGAGGGCAAATGGCCCAGTGATTGGAAAGGGGAAAAACAATTCATTTCATTTAAAATTATTCAATAACCATTGCCAGCATTTGGGATTCTGAGTGCTGTTTATGAAGCCCTTTCATTGATATAATTTCATCTATCTCTCACAAGGCTGTAAGCAATTCCTATGTCCATATGGCAGTGAGGAAATGGAGATTTGAGCAGGTTAAGGGAGTTTTCACCTGGAAGCTCTTCTTTTTTTTCCTTCTGCCACAGTAGGGTCATCAGACTGTCAGCCCCAGCACTGGGAGCCGAGTAACACGCATGTTCTCATTAATATCCTTTTCTCATGTTTTTATTAAAGATATATGCAAGTTGCCGAAAGACGAAGGAACTTGCAGGGATTTCATATTAAAATGGTACTATGATCCAAACACCAAAAGCTGTGCAAGATTCTGGTATGGAGGTTGTGGTGGAAACGAAAACAAATTTGGATCACAGAAAGAATGTGAAAAGGTTTGCGCTCCTGGTAAGTGATTCTTCCTTGTGTTTATGGCTTCTGCAAATAAGAGATTCAGGTCAATAAGTCACCTTGAAAAATATTAGAAGTGCAATGATTATGATACATGTGAAAAAGAAGATAAAGTGTATCCTCAGATAAGGAAGACGTTCAAATACAACCCATGAAATGTCTTTTTGAATTCCTATTTTGGGTTTCTAAAAACATATTGTCCCTTGTCATTCTTCAGAAATGTTACTAAGTTGCTGTTATTTGTAAAATATTGCACCAAAAATGATTCCTGGGAAGATAATATAATGAACAACTACAGATAACGCCAAAGATAAACAACCCCCACAAATTTATCTTTTAAATAGTTTTGCTTCCTATAAATAACAATGTTGTCACTGGGGCCATCCAGTATCTCCATTATATTGTGCAGTTCAACTGGTAATAAAATAAACACTTTGAACAGAGCCTGGGGTCAGTGCCAGAATGGGGAGAGTTCAGTTCGTATAAAGGCCTGGTAGATGGTGCAGGGCAAAAGAATGGGATCAGATTTCCCAGACATCCCTGGGCCCCGGGGCCCCAGGCCAAGAACGTCACAGAGGGCCTTTGATGGTACTGAGTAGAAAAGTGGGACAGGTGATGGAAACCAGAGGCTGCGGGACTGTGTCATGATAATGACAGTGCCCTTTTGGGTCAGTAATGTGGCTTTTCCTCTCTTCTCTCGGCTCCTCACCTCACCCCACCCACCCCCTCTCTCGACGCTCAGTGCTCGCCAAACCCGGAGTCATCAGTGTGATGGGAACCTAAGCGTGGGTGGCCAACATCATATACCTCTTGAAGAAGAAGGAGTCAGCCATCGCCAACTTGTCTCTGTAGAAGCTCCGGGTGTAGATTCCCTTGCACTGTATCATTTCATGCTTTGATTTACACTCGAACTCGGGAGGGAACATCCTGCTGCATGACCTATCAGTATGGTGCTAATGTGTCTGTGGACCCTCGCTCTCTGTCTCCAGGCAGTTCTCTCGAATACTTTGAATGTTGTGTAACAGTTAGCCACTGCTGGTGTTTATGTGAACATTCCTATCAATCCAAATTCCCTCTGGAGTTTCATGTTATGCCTGTTGCAGGCAAATGTAAAGTCTAGAAAATAATGCAAATGTCACGGCTACTCTATATACTTTTGCTTGGTTCATTTTTTTTCCCTTTTAGTTAAGCATGACTTTAGATGGGAAGCCTGTGTATCGTGGAGAAACAAGAGACCAACTTTTTCATTCCCTGCCCCCAATTTCCCAGACTAGATTTCAAGCTAATTTTCTTTTTCTGAAGCCTCTAACAAATGATCTAGTTCAGAAGGAAGCAAAATCCCTTAATCTATGTGCACCGTTGGGACCAATGCCTTAATTAAAGAATTTAAAAAAGTTGTAATAGAGAATATTTTTGGCATTCCTCTAATGTTGTGTGTTTTTTTTTTGTGTGTGCTGGAGGGAGGGGATTTAATTTTAATTTTAAAATGTTTAGGAAATTTATACAAAGAAACTTTTTAATAAAGTATATTGAAAGTTTCCTGGGTGTGACGTTCTTGGCAGTCTTGTTTCCATAGCAGCGATTGTCAGAATCACCCCTAGGCTGGGGAAACTGGGTTTGGTTCTGGCCCCATGGAGCTGTGCAACAGCCTTTCGTTTCCAGTGGAGGAGGCAAAAGAGCTTTATCAGCCAGTGTGCAAAGAGACCGGCTGGAGACAAGCATCCCCCGCTTTGTGGATTCAGCCCCACATGCTCCAGTGCTCCATGGCCGAGCGGAAGGTGTTCCTGCTGTTGGGTCCCGGCAGTGTTTCTGATTTTCAGAGTCAGGCTGGCTTCTATCTTTTCCTCTGACTCTTGGTTGGCCCTCAGAGCCTCAGCCTCCTCCTGTCTTCCTCTCCACAGTGATCCTTTCCCAGGGGGTTGATTTGCTTCCTCTCACAATGGCTGAGAGATTCAGTGTTGCCCCACGACCCCCAACCCCTTTTCTGGAGTCTCAAAGCACAAGGTCTTTCATTTTTTTGTTTTTCTTAAAGACTGTTTTTTTCTCTCTTCAGAAATAATACAAGAAACCAACAAATACATATTCAGGTGGCACTTGAGTTCCACTTACAAAGGAAACAACTTATTGGATAAAATACATATGTCCTGACAAGTGCTGAGGGTAGAATTACAGGAATCTTGGGTGTCAGCAGAAATGTTTTATGTAAAATCGGGATGAATTTGCCAGTTGGTCTATTGGGAAAGGAGAGAGGAGTGTGGCCCTCTTCAGAAGCGCCACTTAGTCCCCACAAGGTCGCCATGACCTCCTCCCCAGTCCTCTTCTATCTCGGCAGCTACCATGGGGTGCTCAGGTCAGTGTGCTCTGAGCTGTGACCCTTGGTGACCAACCCTGGGATCTGCCAGGCACCCAACACCAGCCTCTTGCAGGAACTTGCGGAGCAGAGAGCTGTGGGCCCAGCTCCCATAGCGGTGGGCTGAGTGCTCCACTTCCCAAGGGATCCCTGCCCCCGCCACCCCCATTGACTTGATCTGCTATGGACCTAAAATGAGCATCACAATCTGGTTTTACTTTTTGGGTTCCTCCGGAAGCAGCCCTTAGGACTAAGGATATGGGTGTGAGTAGTTTATTTGGGAGGTGAAGGAAGTCACTGAGTGGCTGAGAAGTGGGGAGTGAGACAAGCAAAGGGAGAGCACTGTTAAGAGGTGTATAGTCAGCGTCCACTGTGGGTGCCCAGAGCCCAATCCCTCGGGGAAACCCTGGGAGGTGCACCTGTGGCACTGCACCTCGTAGGCCAGCAGAGGGCTGAAGGAGTTTGGGTAGTCATACACCTGTTTCCACGGGTCACTGAGGCATTCATGCTCTGGTCCTCTTGGCTTGCAGGCACACTGGCAAAGGGGCCTTCTGTAGTGTAAGAAAATGTTCTTGGCAAAGACCTGCAGATACTCCCATGTGGAACTTGGGGGAGTAGTCAGGCCCAAGGTACAGGAGTAGGACACCAATATTTGTAACATACCTAGATGGTCTGCTCAAGGTGTGTTACAATAGACTGGGGCAGGGCCCATCACTAGGAGACTCACTTCCAAGGGCTCCAGAACCCTCTCTCCCTTTCCACCTCCTGTTGCCAGCATGCCCATCCCTGCCATTCTTGGTTCACTCTATCTATGCATTGCTTCTCTGTGTGTGTCCCTTGGCTGCTCAAGGTTGCTGGGACAATCACACCCACCATCTCACCTGACTCAGGAGAAGCAGGAAGTGATGTAAGTCCAGGTGAGTGGCTGGTTAAGCTGTGTGTGCTGCTAACTTAGGGTAAGGCAAGGTGCTCAGGTGGTGGATGGGCAGTTTCTCCCATTTATTCCCACAGAGCAAATAAAACAAAATCCTTTGTTACATTGTCTGTCCTAACTTAGGGTTCAGCAAAACATGATCTGAGCTGCAGGATTCCTGACCCCTTGACAGCTCGTGGATTTCTCTTCCCAAGACATTCTTCTGCCAGACTATGCCAAGGACTCTGTGTCCTTTCTTGAACCCTGACATGTCCCTGACCCTCATATCCACTCAGCTCTCTCTGGGGAAGCCTCCAGCCTGGCCCGTGGAAGGTGGCCTGCCAATAAAGAAAACCTGTTTTGGATTTTGTGACTAAGAAATAAACTTCTATTGAAGTAAGAGACTGAGGTCTTGGGCTGTTCTAGCAGCTGGTGTGACCGTAACGAACACAGCGCACCTTTATCCAGAAGCCTTTGTGGGTCAGGTGCTGTACTAGGTGTTTCACACACATCTTAGGTGGTGCCGTTCAGTAGCGGTCATTGTTCCAGTTTTAAAGATGATGAAACAGAGGGTCAGAGTGGTCCTTTTCACCCAGCTATGTTCTAATGGAGGATCTGGGCAAGTTATGGTGACCCAGAAGCCCTCTCAGAGTTCCAAGGTTGGCTCCTGTGGGACGCTCACTGCCATTCTCTAGATGTTTCTGGCTCTTTCTCTGGAAGTCAGATCTAAGCCATGTGTCTTTTCCCAGAACAAAGCATGCCCTCCACATGACCCTCCCCAAGACCTTCCGTCACTCTTTCTCAGACAGCAAGTCTCTATCCTTCTCCTTCCTTTCATTGTAGTCTTTTCCATCTCTTCTCATTATCCTGAGCTGCTCTGGCTTAGGAAAGAACTTGGAGAAGCTGGGGGCTCTGGCACGCATTGAGGGCTTGCGCAGAAGGTGGCCTGGGCTGAGTATGGCCTGCCTGGGCTCCAAGGCCGAGTCACGAGGACGTCTATTTGTGCTCAACTGTGAGCACATCTCAATCCTTTCAACAGCAGCTTTGCTGGATTTTTAAATACAAGTGCTTTATACTTTCATTCCCTCAACGATTTTCTGCATAATTAAAAAGAAATCACAGCACTTATGAATGGGTGCCAGGCTTTTTGTAGAAAGCCAATGTTTTGAACCCTCAAGAACCATTTTAAATTTCTTTCCCCATGGTGGTTCATTTTTAGGAGATGGTTCGTATTTTCCTGCCAAATTTCCATTGTTGTCAGATTTCCAGCTGGACCTAGCTGCTCTTCATGAGCCAGGCTCTCAGGGTTCCACCTATCTGGGTGTGGCTTCCGGAGAAGTTGGGGACTGCTGACACTGCCAGGCCAGGGGGCCCAGTCCAGAGGCTGCCCTCTGCCATACCCCTCCTCGGTTTAGTTTGGGTCTGAGCTTTGCCGCTGCCTGTGCCTCCCCTTCCCTGGGAGATGAATACTGATGGTGAGCTGCTGTAAGAGCCATGGGATTCCTGGGGTCTTCCTGCTTTCTTGGAATCATGCTCTCCAGCTTTGGGCCACCCCTCAGCATTCCTGAGATCCCATGCAGAGCCAGTTCAGAAATCCTTTTCCGTGGTATTCCCTAGTCTTCCACCCAACTTTATGGTGGGTATAAATCTGCTAAAGACCAAAACACCAAAGAAGTAGTATTTTGGAATCTAGTAGTCAAAGCTTGAAGGCATTTGGTCATGAGTGATGGGAAAAGGCCAGTGATTCAAGGGCCTCTGTGCATGATGGTGACACCACCCAAGTATCGCTCAACCTGGAAAACTGATATTGTTTTCCTGCCTATGTCAGATGTCTCTGTGAAAACCATGCTGCTGTTGCAAAAAGTCATCTAAGAGAAGGCATTTGGGCATCTGCAAAGGGAGCTAGCTATGCATGTTTGATTTCAAGAGACTAGTAAATTCCCAGCATTTACATGAATTTTATAAGAGATGTTAGAAACAGAAATAGCACAATAAAAAGAAATTGTCAGAACTTGTATATCTGGGAAAGAATATTTGTTTTGAAAGACCCCATTTAAAACAGTTACATTTGATAGGAGTTGTAGTTGAAGAAGCTGACTGGTCATTCATAAACCAGTCTTATGTTGAGTTCCCCGAAAGCAGATCCTGACCAAGTTTTGGCTGCAGTCATTTGTTTCGGAAGGTGTGTGGGAAGCACAAATGAGGCCACTGAGAAGCAAGACAAAGAAGTTGGCAAGTCAAGGGATGGTGCATTAACTAAAAGCATGTTACCCTTGAGAGCAACTGGGGCTCAGTCTCCCTGGAAACCCACTGAGAAAGTGGGGAGAATGCTACGAGGAACAGAAAGCTGGACGTTTATGGACTGACCCTCATCTCTCTTTGGTTGGAGGTTGTAGTAGTCACCATTATCTAGAGGGACAGGACTAATAGGATAGACATATATATGAAAGGGAGTTTATTAAGGAGTATTGACTTACACGATCACAAGATGAAGTCCCACAATAGGCCGTCTGCAAGCTGAGGAGCAAGGAAGCCAGTCTGAGTCCCAAAACCTCAAAAGTGGGGAAGCTGGCAGTGCAGTCTTCAGTGTGTGACCGAAGGCCCGAGAGCCCCTGGCAAACCATTGGTGTAAGTCCAAGAGTCCAAAAGCCGACGAACTTGGAGTCTGATGTATCAGGGCAGGAAGCATCCAGCACGGGAGAAAGACGAAGGCGGGAAGACTCAGCCAGTCTAGTCCTTCCACGTTTTTCTGCCTGCTTTTTTCTGGCTGCACTGGCATCAGATTAGATAGTGCCCAAACAGACTGAGGTGGGTCTGCCTCTCCCAGTCCACTGACTCAAATGTTAATCTCCCTTGGCAACACCCTCACAGACACACCCAGGAACAATACTTTGTATCCTTCAATCCGGTCAAGTTGACACTCACAGGGGTTGACCTGGGGGCGTTACACGCCAGCATTTTGAGGCTGCCCTGCACACACTGTTGCTAGAAAAGTAAAGCAGAGAAGAAGAGGGATGTGGGCCACTGAGGTGGAGTGCTGTCAGCACACCTGGAAGCAGCCAGCACAGCTGCAGGGGAGCACAGAGGCGGGCCGAGGAGCAAGGTATAAACAGCATCAGCAATCAGCCAGTTTGAACATGAACCTATAGAAATTGAAGTGTCTTTAACATGAAGTTGATTAGAGAGGGTTGCCTAGATGAGGATGATAATAGAGACATATTGTCCACTCCTGATTACTCTGATGGAAAGAAATGAGGTGATTTATGGATTAAGCACAGCTTCTGAGCTCTTAAACTGTAGCCCACGGTATGCCCAGCCCTCTACCAGATGGGGGTCAGCAAACTTCTGGTAAAGGACCCCACCAGCGTCCAGTGGTTTTGGGGCTCCAGCAAGAGCCATCGAGCCTGTGCTGTGTCTGTGAATTTCAGTGGTGGCTCGGGCTGCCCAACTCCCTTGTTCCTTTCCATTTGTGGAACTGAACCTGATTTGCTAGCCTTCCCATTGTTGCTATAAACTACTCAATATTTTTCCAATAATTCAATTTTCTTCATATGTTAACCAGAGTAAGTTTCTGTCCCTTGCTGCCTAGAGCCTGGACAGGTACACAGTCTTTCATTCAATCACTTATTCAACAAACATTTGCTGAGCACCTAACATGTGTCAGGTATTAGACAAGGCACTGGGGATGCAGGGGTGGGGTGGACAGCACACATGTCTTCCTCTTGTGTTCCTTACACGGCAAGGGAAGTAGGTGGCAAACACACAAAACCCTCGGTAAATAAGGACGTGTGAGCTGCAGTGGAGGCTGTCTGATGAGGTACTGCATGTTTAAGGCAAGCCTTTCTGAAGAGTTGATTTATGAGCTAAAAAAAAAAAAAAAAAAAAAAAACCAAGAGAGGCCAGCACGGTGGTTCACGTCTGTAATCCCAGCACCAAGGGAGACCGAGGCAGGTGGATCACTTAGGAGTTCAGGACCAGCCTAGCCAACATGGTGAAACCTCTCTACTAAAAATACAACAACAACAACAAAATTAGCTGGGCATGGTGGCACATGCTTGTAATCCTAGCTAGTAGGGAGGCTGAGGCAGGAGAATTGCTTGAACCTGGGAGACAGAGGTTGCAGTGAGCCGAGATCGCACCACTGCACTCCAGCCTGGTAACAGAACAAGACTCTGTCTCAAGAAACAAAAAACAAACAACAAAAAATCCCAAGACAGCCACCTTTGGGAAGACCTGAAGGAAGATTCCAGATCCAGAGAGGGCCTGGATCTGAGATCCTGGGTAGAGAAATGACTGTGACATGTTTGAGAAACAGCAAGATGGCCAGTGTGGCTGGAGTCAAACAAATAAGCGGATAAATTTTTGGAGTTGAAGTCTGAGAGAGAATGGCCAAGTCAGGCCCCAAAACTCTTTCATAACTAACGAGTTGTGGATTGTACTTTAATGTGATGGAAAGCCATTGGGAGCTTTAAGCCGGGCAGTCCTGGGTGTGACATGTGATTCTTTGAGGAGGCGGGGTAGTCAATCAAAAATTCTGCCATGCGTATTAGAACTTAGGATGCTATTGAACTTTGAAGCGGTGATATGAGGAAGACAGTTGAAGTTCAGAGGAGAGGGTGGGGCTAAGGATATACATTCAGCAGTTTGGAAATATACCATATTCGAAGCCTAGATTTATGGTGCGATTTCATTGCTTGAGAGTATAGATGAAGAGGGACAGGGAGTCAGGAGAGGCCTGTCTGTGCCCTGGCGGTTAGAGGTTGAGCAGAGAAGACAGGCTTGGTGAAAGAGGCTGAGGAGGAGTGTTTGTAGAAATAAGAAGAGAATCAGTAGAGACAGGTGTCATGCAAGGACAGCGTTGGCAGAAGCTGTGTCAAAATGAACAGAGCAGTCACCTGTGCTGAATGCTGCTCATGGTTTAGAAAACAGAGAGCAGGAAGGAGAGAGTATTCTTGGGGCTGTGGTATGTAGTGAGTTAGGATGCTCTCAGCAGCCAGGAACTGAAACCCCATCTCGCATTGGCTTAGATCACGAAGTCACTGGTTGTCCCCATTTCACAGAAATCCAGAGCACAGGCTGTGGGAGGAGTCAAAGATGCCATCAAGGACCCAGGTTTTCCCATCTCTCTGGACTATTTTCAGCTTGGGCCCCACTCTTAGGCTAGTAACAAGTCTCATGTGGACACAATGATATTTAAAGGAAGAAGGAAGACCATCCTTTCTGTGGCTTTTCTCCAGAAAGCTCCCTGGCAGATGTCCCCTGGCAGTCCATTGGTTGGAAATGGGTTGCATGCCTCTAAGCCAATGTTGGGAATAAGAATAGAATCCGTGGATCACCTGAGGTCAGGAGTTTGAGACCAGCCTGGCCAACATTGTGAAATCCCGTCTACTAAAAATACAAAAATTAGCCATGCATGCGTGGTGGTGCATGCCTATAATCCCAGCTATTTGGGAGGCTGAGGCAGGAGAATCACTTGAACCCAGGAGGTGGAGATTGCAGTGAGCCCAGATCATGTCACTACACTCCAGCCTGGGTGACAGAGCAAGACTTCGTCAAAAAAACAAAAAACAAAAAACAAAAACAACCGGAACCCCTGTTAGGTTAATTAAGCCCACCCCTGTGGAGAGACGCGGGAACCTGAGGGCTGTGGTGGGGAGGATATGGGAGGACTGCGTTCATCACTGCTCCCGTATAAGTTCATGTGTATGCAGCCATGACACACAGTCATCAGTGACATTTAAGAGTCTGTAGTTCACCCTATATAGGCATAGGTATAGGCATCACCTTCCCTACTAACTCCCTTGACAGTTTCCAAAAGAGGCAAAACAACAGAAACAAAGCTTTCTAGTTTTTGTTTAAGGGAAGCACTTAAAGTAATAAGACTTAATGACACGTAAAGTCTATTGTGGTTTCCTCACTGTGGGACAGGAAAACTGGGTCCTTATGTGACTGTCAACCTGACTGCCTCAACTAGACATGACTTTGCTGACTGTCTAGATTTGAATGTTGGGGGTCTGTGCCCATCATCCTAACCACACTTTTTTCCTGTCTTCTTCATTTGCTGGTGGCCTTCATTAATTCCTGGGCCAGGTCTAATGCTTGTGACCTAAGACAGTGATTTGGAAAACAGTACGAAGATTGAGTACAAGTTTAGGGCTGTGCAGAAGGACCTCAAGAGTGTCTCTATCTTTGTTTTTCTGTGAGGCAAAAGAGGACTTTGGCAATAGATTGCCTGGCCCTTATCTATACACAATGAGTCGTTTGTTGAATTTCCCACCTCATGGGGCGGGGGAACGAATGCTACTCAGTGTAAGATGCAACTTCAGGATAAGAAAGATAAATATTAACCGTTTCCAGAAAAAACTTATGCGTGTTTAATGATATTCAGAATAAAGGTCTCAAATTAGAATATATTCTAATTCTGTTTTATTCTATTCTATTCTAGTCTGTTTTAGAATATATTCAGAAAACTGTTTCTTTCCACGAGGTTGCCCTGGGAGAAGCTTGAGCTGAGGCCTGAGTCTGCTTAACATCAGGCTGTAACCAGCTGGCCAAACAGCTTTGATTTGTGAAGTCAGTGTCTGAGGGGAATTTATATGAGTGGCTCTAGGGTCTCTGCCACAAATAAATCACACAGGGACCTCTTTTCCTGAGACGACCGGAATGCAATGGAACAATCGGCTCAAATCCCTGTACTTATTTGAATTTCAATATAAAAATCCATTTTCACCTACAGCACGTTCATAAGCAGATCTCTGTTAGTTCACTTGCCCCTGAAGAGCTCTCTAGGATGGAAATCCGTTCCTGTCCCAGGATCCATGCTCCTGTCCCTGTGGCCATGTGATCTGAATTTCTCTTGCCTTTTAAGGAAACAGGCTCTGCTGCTGGCCTTGGTTCAGCCGCTGCATTCCAGCCTGCACACATGGAACGCATTGCCTGCCACTGAGCAGGACAGCCTCGCCAGCGTGGCAGAGAGCAGCACTAAAAATAGCGGGGTGCAGCTCAGCAGGCTCTGCCGCGCAGCCTGGCTGTCTTCTGTGGAAGTGGAGGCACTGTCTGCGGAGCCTCATCAGGACTCAGCTGATTCCCTTGTTTGGCTGAAGTTGTTACTCAAACCCCAACCCAAATTAATTGTTGATGTACAGAGAAAGGGCACCATTCTGGAGCCTCTCGGGGTCACTCCCTTTGTGACCTCCCTGAGCACAAGGCTTAGGCCTCCTTAGGCTCCAGGAGCAGGAGTGGGATTCTCACTAGACAATTTCAAAGTGGGTTGAATGTGTGATAACAGGGGATGTATTGGCAGCCAGGGCAGCCACTGCGATGGTGGCTCAGAGACCCCCCTCAGCCTCAGTCCCTTGGGGTCCTTTTGGAGCTCACGGAGCATACTTGGTCTAGGTGGAGTCACAGTCTTGTGTCTTCAAGGGCTGGGTGGGTCTCTTGGGCAGAGGAGGAGCAAAGCACTAGGGACTGCTGGGGCTTGAGGCAAATAAGGAAGAGGTGTCCATTCTAAAGGCATTGGGGTTTGAAGACTTGAATACACTCCTGCCAAATAAACGTCTTCTGGGCAACTCTGGCCCTTGAGCCACCAGCTTGCAATCTCTGGTTTAGAGGCACTGAGTTAAATGCACCTCTAAGTACATGTTTCTGTGTCTGGTCTTCTGTAGAGTGCTGCGCAAAGCTTCATCTGGCCTGGGAATGAATGCCCTTGCCCTTGACCAAAAGATCATTGAATGTGACCCCAACAGAAAGACTGTACAGATGACAGACCTAGGTTTTATAGTGAATGCATAGGTGTTTCGGCGTGAGAGTGGCCGGAGTTGTCTGAAGGTCCGGTTGTGTTAAGTAGCCTGTTTCTATGAAGAATAAGCAGAGTTCTTGACACAATGCAGATGCGCGTTCTGGATGTGCTGCTGAACCAGTGCCATGAGGAAAGAGGAGACCAAGCTTTATTAGGCACCAGATGCCGAGGAAGCTTCCATAAATGGAGAGCCTGAAGAAAGGAGCTTCTAGAAGGAATGCTTCAGACCAGGTCCTCCAGCTCCAACTGGCCTTGGAGATTTGGCCTATACTGGTCATCATCCTATCTGGTAATTAAAAAATCCAAGCAGATCCAAGAACAATCATGCTGGCACGGGCGTACGTGTAAGTTTTAATGTCTGGTAACCATTTTGGTGTGTAGTTAGCAAGCAATGGTCTGTGCTATGGGATGTGCATCCACAAGGATGAATGCATTAGAGTTTCTGTCTCTCTGGCCTAGCAGGGGAAACAGATGTATAAACAATGACTGCTGTGCAAAATGATAGGAGCTTTGATGAAGGCATGCGTGCCATCAAGAGACCCTCTGTGAACCACGCACTGTGAAAAGCAGTGGGGATAAGAAAATGAAAAATCTTGGCCCTTGCTCTTAAATAGCATTGAGAGACAGATGCACAGGCAAGTAAAGACAAGATAATATTTGTTCCAATTGAGGTGAGGGTGAAGCCTGGGAGTTGAGGAGAAACACATTCACGTCTACTCAACAGCACCTGGGGAGACTGAGTAGCAGGGCTGGCATTTCAGTAGGGCTGAAAGGATGAGACGTTTCTGCACGGTGAGTGCTTGTGCACGTGCAAACACTTGACGTCTCTGGAGAGAGGGGATTATTTAGGGGGCATGAGCTTTGTCATTGGGGCCCTTCCTGGGATAGTGGAGATCTGGCAGGGCTGATAGCTGACAAATAGGTCTTGAAGGGCCCTGTCTGTCATACAAAGGAGTTTATGTTTAAGACAGCACAGAGGGAGGAACATTGACTAAGTGTTTAAGGAAGCAGAGGACATGATTGCATTTCAGTATCCAGGACAATCTACTCTCCATTTTCCCTTATAATGAACTATTAGGTTTATGTCAAGTGGAGCAGGGAGGACGTGAACAGTCTAGAGAGAGAGATGTGAAGGCTTTCCTGAGGACTGTAGCCCTGGGCAAGGGAAGGGGTGGGGGATTGAAGAGATGGGAAGGAGACAATGAGGGGATCCGGGCTGGTGGCTGGCTGGATGTGTCTGGTGAGGAGAGGGCTGAGCGACAAGGGTGCCCAACTGTCTGGGTGCATGGTGGAACCGTTCTTGAGACAGGGAACACATGATGAGCTATGCAATGGTCAAGAAAATTAATGCATCCTGCTTTTGAGTCCTTATGGGGTACAAGCTAATTAGCCAGCAGTTAGATCTATTCATCCAAGCATGGCAAGGAAGCCTTGGATTCAAATGCTGTCACCCAGAGAGAATGTATAGTGAGCAAAGAGAGGCAAGGGCCACTGAGGAGCATCTGCCTTTCGGGATGGACACAGGGATGGGGCCTTCCGCAGGTTTCAAGGGGAATGGAAGAGAGGAAGAAGGAGGTGGGAGGGTGGATTCTGGAAACTGAGTGAGGGTGGGAGAGAACATCAAGGAGAAGAATGTGGCCAGCAGTGTCCAGTATTCGGCGGTCCTTCCTAATGAGATCACGGTTGTGTTTCTCGTGACTGAGTATGATTCTGCAGCTTGGTTTTCATAAACTCCTGATCTTTCATAGGTATGCGTGTACCACTGTCACGCCGTCTCATTTTCTTGGACACCTATGTCGTTTCTACTTTTTCACTCCACAGTGATGGCACACTTTTATCACAACATAGCGATGAGTAACATTTGCATAGCTATTTACCCAGTTCTCTTTTTGTTACTTCAGGACAAATTGCAAGAAATGAAATATGTGTGTCCAAGATGGCTCATGTTTTAAAGTCTTTTGGGATGCATCATCAAACTGCCCGCTAGAGAAGCTACACCAACTTATACGCCCACTAATGGTCTTTTATTGTATTGTATTGTATTTTATATTTTGTTTTTGTTTTTGAAACAGAGTCTCACCCTGCCATCCAGGCTAGAGTGCAGTGGTGTGATCTCAGCTCACTGCAACCTCTGCCTCCCAGGTTCAAGTGATTCTCGTGCCTCAGATTCCCGAGTAGCTGAGATTACAGATGCCCACCAGCATGCCCGGCTAATTTTTTGTATTTTTAGTAGAGACAGGGTTTTGCCATATTGGCCAGGCTGGTCGGTCTGGAACTCCTGGCCTCAGGTGATCCACCCACCTTAGCTTCCCAAAGTGCTGGGAATACAGCCGTGAGCCAATGCACCCAACCCACTAATGGTCTTTTAAATGTCTCATCTCTCATCTAAAAATATGTTCATTTTTACTAAATCTTTGTTGCTAATTTGATTTGTGAAATTGATGTTGCATTATTTTGATTGGTTAAAATTACTAGTGAAGTTAAAATTTTAAACAATTTATTCTAAACAACAACAGTGAAAACAAACAAACCAACCAACCAAACTAACAGCAACAGAAACAATAGCTCCTCTGGGATGGAGGGGATTGAGGGATTGAGCTCCATGCCTGGCTCACAGTGTCACGTTTAATTATTCCCACATTGATGGGAGCTTTGCATTTTGTAGATGGGCAACAGAGGCTCAGAGAGGTTTTGTAATTGCTCTTAGTCACACAGCTGCTTTTGAATTCAACCCAGTCTGAAAGTCAGACAAAGAGCTTGGGCCCCCTCTTTTTTTTTGTCTTTTCTTTTTCTTTTTCTTTTTTTTTTTTTTTTTTGAGATGGAGTCCCACTCTGTCACCCAGGCTGGAGTACAGTGGCGCAATCTAGGCTCACCACAACCCCTCCTCCCGGGTTCAAGCAATTCTCCCGCCTCAGCCTCCCGAGTAGCTGGGATTACAGTCACCTGCCACCATGCCTAGCTAATTTTTGTATTTTTAGTAGAGACGAGGTTTCATCATGCTGGCTAGGCTGGTCTGGAACTCCTGACCTCAGGTGATCCACCAGCCTCGGCCTCCCAAAGTGCTGGGATTACAGGTGTGAGCCACCGTGCCCAGACTGTTTTTCTTTTGGCCTATTTATTGTTCTACTTTAAATATTTCTTTACTGATTGAATTACTTTCACAAATATTGCTAATTTTAAAGTATTTATCATTTTCTTTTTATTTATATGGTTTTAAATTTTTCTGAACTCATACCTTTTAATTTTTTTTTTTCCTTACAAAGTTCATCTCTGCTGCTGTGCTTATAAATGCCATCTTTAATTCCAGGTTAAAAAACACTAGAGTGAATGCGGTTTGGGCGTCTGCTCAGCCCCTGGTTCCCCTTCTCTGAGAATGGCCCCCTGACATCCCGCCCCACTTCCCTAATAATGTGGGCTCCAGGAGCCAGGTTTTGCTCAATGAACCACAGCAGAGGACAACATCCGAGGGTTAACTCTGCTTTCTAGGAGCAAACTGAATCTCAATAGTTATATTAGGCAGTCGGGCTTAGGAGTGGCTGACGCTCAGAGATGTCAGGCTGTGACTCATACATGGATATCACAACCTGAAATTGAGAGGCAGCTCACCAGGGTTCCGCTGCCAGGGAAACCTCAGGTGGGGAGCTGAGGACCCAGGGCTCTCAGCACTCAGGTCATCCTTGGGTTCAAAAACCAGTGGGCCAACCGCAGCTCTAAGTGGCCTGCCAAGGAGAAAAAGAGAGGCTGCCAAATATCCCAAACATCAGGGCGCAGCACCACCATGGCGTAACAGCGCCCCTCACGGCGGGATGCCCAGACAGGAGCGTTTGCCCCTCTTACCTTGTGAGGGGCGTGGGAGAAGTGGCCATTGGTGTCCACCCAAGAGTTTAGGCTTCTTTTCTTTTTGTTAGGGTCTCGAAGAGTGCCTTATTTGGTTGAAACATGCAGGGACTAGGAGATCTAATAAGGCTGCTTGTGAGTTATACAAGCAGCCCAGAAGCTGTGCAGCAGAAGTCCTGGACTTACTGTGAGGTTGATGAAAAGGGAAGGGGAAGCGAGAGCAAAGCCATCTTCATTTCCCAAAACACTCCAGGTCTTATTCAGTCCCATGCGGGCCTTTAGTAGAAAGAGCAATGATAGTATATCATAAATTATAATGAATTCACTTTCTACATCATTTAGGTTGAAACCTTTTCTGTTACTTATAACCACATAGTAAACCATAAGAAATTGTCACCCATATTTTCTCCTAGTATTTTTAAATTTAAATTTTATTTAATTTTAAATTTAAATATCTGAGATGTGGATTTTTTTGGAGGGAGGTTTAATGTAGGAATTTTATTTTTTTTCCAAATTATCAATCAATTGTCCCAGCACCATCTGTTGGTATACTATCATATCATTTTGCTATAAATAGTATTTTGATATTAATTTCCAACATTTGTAGCTCTTATTTTTCTTATTTTATTAAACTTCCTAGTACTTACACATCATGGTGTGGTATTAAGCATTTCTATCTTCACTGAGAATGTCTCATTCATTGTTTTCTGGTATTAGGTTCTGAATTTAGACGTTAAGCAATCATGTTATATACTATGTTATATATATTTATGTTAAATATTTTTCTCTTTTAATGTATTGTTTTTTACAATTAGGAATAAATGTTGAATTTTGTCAAAAGTATTTTTTTTAGATTAGAAGTTCAGAAATGTTCTTCTTTATTTCTTTGACAATTTATTCTAACCTGTTCCTAACTTCTCCTCAAGGCAGAACAATCCTGCTGTGCAATTATTGTTTTGAAATATCTAGTGGGTCAGGCTAAGGCTACACTTCACGTGAGACCACGATATTGCATGATAAGTATGAAACATTCTCTCATTTGACTTTCTGGCAAGTTCGTGAAGAGAGTCACACTTGTCAAAATGCTCCAGGGATTTAATCATCTTTCCAAGGCCTCTCTTAATCCCTTAGATGTTTTGGGATTAAGTCTTGTTGCGAGTCACTGATAATGTCACCAATTTTGTTAACTTTTCCCTTTTCAGTGATAACTGTTCTACCAGACTTTGTGATTCCAGAAGTCCTCTAGTATGACTGTCACCTGCTACACAAAATCTTACATTCTTTGAAGAAGTTTGCAGTTAATTTGCATTGTATTTCTGTTGTATTAATAGCCTCCTCCAATCAGGAAGAGAATGGCTGCGCCTGACATGGTTTGACTGTGTTATGGCAGCTGCAGTGTTAAGCAGGGAGAGGGGAAGGCATGGAGGCTAATTTGGCAAGTGGTCAGCTCTTCAGTGAATGTTTTCTGGTTGAGAACAATTTTTGCTTCCCCCTGCCAACTGCTTGCTGAGAACACTCTGATACTTAGAGTTCACTCAGAAATGAGGAGGGAATTGTGTGTTTTTCGGTAGCAATTGGTATAAATATTTATACAAGGAGAGACCAGGAGAAACACCACTATGCTAAGAAGGACGCTGAATATTAATAGATGAATGGATAAACAAAATGTGGTCTATCCACACGGTGGAGTATTATTCAGCCTTAAAAAAGTAGGGGATTCTGACCCATGTTACCTACAACCTGGCTGAACGTTGAAGAGAAGAAAGCAAAATAAGCCGGTCAGAAAGGGACAAATACCGCACTATTCCTCTTATGGGAGCAACCTGAAATAGTCCAATTCATAGGGATAGGAAATAGAATGGTGGTTTCCAAGGGCTGAAAATAAAGGGTTAATGGGGAGTTCGTGTTTAATGGTCATGAAGTTTCAGTCTGGGGAGATGAACAAACTTCTGGGAATGGATGAAGGTGGCGGTTACACAGCAATGTGAATGTGTAAATGTACTTAATGCCACTGAACTGGGCACTTCGAGTTAAGATCTTCACCCCTGCAACCCCCGCCAACACACACGCAAGTGTGACCCTGGGGTGCTCGGCAAGTACAGAGAGAAAGCCACGAAGGACCAGGGAGGCCGGGTGGAGTGGGTGCTGTGGTGCACTGTCCAGACCCTCCTTCAGGATGGGACACTCATTTCTCTCACTGCCAGGAGTGGTGGCTGCTGGTGGCTTCCAGCTGACTCCCTCTCTGAGCGTTACCCTTGGTCCCAGGTCTTACCCAAGATTGTGCCCCTTCTTTGGGGGCAGCCTGTGTCCAGTGACTGGTCATGAGTGGGTTCCAAGTCATGGTCCCTCAATTGAGCCAACTCTGAAGCCCTTCCATTTTCAGGACTTCGTCTGAGATCAGCTGAGGCTCCATTTGACTGCACCATAGCCCACCTGTTCTCTGGGCCTAGCTCACTTCTTTCTCCCCATCAGTGGCATTGATGCCATGAGCACATCTCAAGGATTCCATGCCAATCTCCACACTGGCTCAGTGAGCCCAACTGCAGCAGTAAGAAGCACTTAGTGGTGGGAGCCAGACAGCACTGTGGTGAGTGGGCGGCTGGTGGGGGCTTTTCCAGTGATGTGTGGCACATGTAAGGCATTGCTTCCTGTGCGCCCATACAGTTTGAGTAAAACTACAATAAGGGGGCACAGTGTGAAATCAATGAGTTCAAAGTTGACTGGGACCAAAACAACAACATCCCATGCAAATGGGAGATCAAGACTGGAGGCTAGTGGGGTGGAGAAAGCAGACATTTGGGTTTCAGCCATTTTTGCACATAACTGTTATTCCTTATTATTCCTTGATGTCTTTGAGAGCAGGGTTTGGGTTAGCTTGCGCGTGCAGCCCTCACAGACCCAGAGAGCCTCTTGCCGAGCACATGTGCACGGCATGGGGAGAGAAGGGGCAGCTGCTGCTGCCTGCTGGACAGTGCAGGGCATTAGGGTGTCTCTAGGGATAGTTGCGGTTCTGAGCCAAAGTCCTGCAGAGGGCAAACTTGCCTCCACTGTAAAGACCACCACTTCCATGTCCTAGCTTGAGCAAGGCCAGAAGCCAAGTGTGTGATTTAATGCCAACTTGATGTCGCCCGGTCTCCTACTACACAGGAAGTCACAGGGGCCATTGCAACCATTCAGAGGGTGCTTTTAGTCTTTGTCAAGTAGGAACTGGAATCAAAATTGTCATCTTATTGTATCCCTGCCTTTCAGTTCTTTTTGGCTTTATTCCATAATCATAAGCCTCGACATTATTTTTGTTTTATTTCTCTTGAATCCTTGAGAAATTTTATTTTTATAACCTTTGGATCCTTTTTAATAGCTTCTCTTGTCCGTACCCTCGGTTCATGCTACGGAATTTCACTTTCTAAATTTAAAAGCTTTTTAGGTTGCTTAATTGTTGTTTTCATTTCCTTAAAAATTAACTTTGTAAACTTCAGACTTTATATTCTTTTTTAAATTTGTTACTGCTATTCCCTTGTTTTCCTTAAAGATTTTGTAGTTTATTATAAGACACACACATGAAATTAGCACATGGGGACCTGCTGTGGGTCCCATACATGTCTCTGAGATCCAGCGCACCGAACCCTTCTCAAATTCTTCATGGATGTGAGGAAGCTGGGTGAAACCTATGACAAATCATGACTGGTGGGGTCAAGGCAGAGTTCCTCAGGATTTTGGAGCTAATCCACATTTCCTTGAGCATGCAGGACTCTCCTTTAGGAAACAGCTCCTGACATGCACGACAGGCCACACCATCTAGGTTACCAGTCACAAGCCAGATGTGACCCAGCCCACCTAGTCACAAGTCAGGTGTGCCAGCATCACTCCACCATTCAGTGGAGTGAAGGCAAGACTTGCCAACACCATGTGACAACTGAAAGATGCCATGTTAAGCCCTTGCTCGGGATATCCTGAAGGACAGCAGAGAAGGAAAGGAGCTCCCAAAGGCAGAACATTGAGCAAGCATCTGTCCACTTGGTATGCAGTAATCCTAATGGGGAGGAAAATAACAACGAAGGGTCACATGCTAGGTACCCCGCCCTTCTCACATTTACTGCTTCTGTGGTAACCAGGGGTAAAGAAATGGCAGCAGGTGAGGATCTATGCAGATTTATGGGCTATGACACAGGAGTCAGGGACTCAAAAACAGTAGGACAGGGGGGTTAGAGAGGAGGTTTGGGGAAAATGGCCGGTCCTTTTGAAATGAGCCCAAAGCCGAGGATATTTGTACTACATCTGAAAGCTATAGGGGGTTCTTTCAATAAACAGTGGGTTGGGATGACTCAGCCTGGGATCTTTGTCAGCGTCTTTTCTCCAGTGATCATGGGCTCAAAATACCATGTGACCTTGCACTTAGGATGATGCCTGTGAGTGGGACCTGTGATACGGACTCCACTTCATCACAGCTGGTGTCACCTTTGCTGCTGCTGTATGAGTGATTTGCCAGCAACCATGACCACCCTGACCTCCTGACCTGGCACAGTGGGACTGACCAATGACCCCATAGGAGTTGATAGCACTGAACTTAGGCCACTACAAGAGAGCAATGATTTGTTTTACTTGGAGTGGACACAGTCTGAATGTGGATTTGCTTCTCCTGGTTACCATGCTGTCTGGACCTCCATCCATGGACTTACTGAATGGCTTATCCACTGTCCTGGGATGTCACACAGCATTGCTTCTAATTGAGGGAATCACTTTCCAGTAAATGAAGTCCCATTGATCTTATCCTGTCCCATGGCCCAGGAGCAACTGACCTTGTAGAAGAAATAGTGAATCAGTTACAATGGGTTGGGTTATGATGAAGTAATAAGTAACCCCAAACACAACAAAGGTTTATTTCTCACTCACCCTTCAGGTCCAACCCAGCCTGCACTCAGGCTGATGGAGGCTTTGCCTTGACAAATGCTTCCACAGTTACTAAGAAAGGGGAAAAAAGATATGGCAGTTCCTACCCCAGTGTGAGTTAGCATGTACCCTTACATGTCATTGGCCAAGTCATCACAAGGATGAAATTAGCTTCCAGGGTGTGATGAAGGAGAACCAAATATATATATATGTGACCTCCTAATGACTAACATAAATGGCTTACTAAAAACTCAGGTCTGCACCAGCTGGGGAACAGCACCGTGTGATTTTGTAGCATTGTCCTGTAGGCTGTGCCTATATTCTCTTAGCCAAAGACCAATATACTGGTGCTGGTTCTTCCATAACTAATAACTGTGGGTCTAAACACAATGAGATGGAAGGAGACATGGAATTTCCCAGAGGGTTATTGCTGATAATCCAGTTATAGTTTTGTTTTTCTTCTTGTTCCCAAGACACTGGAATCTTAGAGATTTTAGTATCTCTAAGATACTAAAGGGAGGACTGCTTCTACTAGGTCTTACAATAATGGTTCCATTCATTGATTAGGAAGCGATACTGCTACTTGGCCATTCAGGGTTCATTCTGCTACTAAACCAATCAGCAAAGAAGTGGGTTATGGGGGGCTTGCATGATTGATCCTGACCCTCAAGGGCAAATAAGCAATTTGCTTCAAATTGGGTAGAGAGGAGTATAGCTGGAGCCCACAGGATTTCCTGTTATGCCTCCCTGAACCACCAAGCACAGTAATTAAGGCTAATTGAAGACTATTACAATTCCATAGAGGCAGAATCACCAATGACTCATACCCCTTGGCCATGAAGGTTAAGGCTCCTCCCTGGCTGGGAACCAACCAACTTAGGTGCCAAGTCAGGAAAGTGGGACTCCAGAACAGACAGTAGAGGAGGAAAGTCCTGGCCATTAGCTGTCACCTCATGATCAGAGATGAGGACTGAAGCATTTTCCAGTATCTTTTTTTTTCTGTGCCATGCATTTACCTGCATGTTATAATTAATTTTTATTTCCTATCCTCTTATTTTCTTCCAATATTTTATATGAAGTGTATTAGTCTGTTCTCACCCTGCTTATAAAGACATACCAGAGACTGCGCAATTTACTAAACAAAGAGATTTAATTGGACTTAGAGTTCCACATGGCTGGGGAGGCCTCAGAATCATGGTGGGAGGAGAAAGGCACTTCTTACATGGTGGTGGCAAGAGAACATGAGGAAGAAGGAAAAGCGGAAACCCCTGATAAACTAATCAGATCTCATGAGACTTATTCACTATCACAAGAATAACACAGGAAAGACCAGCTCCCATGATTCAATTACCTCCCACTAGGTCCCTCCCACAACATGCGAGACTTCTGGGAGATACAATTCAAGTTGAGATTTGGGTAGGGACACAGCCAAATCATATCATTCTGCCCCTGGCCCCTCCTAAATCTCATGTCCTCACATTTCAAAACCAATTATGCCTTCTCAACAGTCCCCCAAAGTCTCAGCTCATTTCAACATTAACCCAAAAGTCCAAGTCCAAAGTCCCATCTGAGACAAGGCAAGCCCCTTCTGCCTATGAGCCTGTAAAATCAAAAGAAAGTTAGTTACTTCCTAGATACAATGAGAGTACAGGCATTGGGTAAATACAGGCATTCCAAATGGGAGAAACTGGGCAAACCAAAGGGGCTATAGGCCCCATGCAAATCTGAAATCCAGCAGGGCAGTTAAATCTTAAAGTTCCAAAATGATCTTTGACTCCATGTCTCACATCCACATGGTCTTGGGCAGCTCCATGCCTGTGGCTTTGCAGGGTACAGCCTCCCTCCCAGCTGCTTTCATGGGCTGGCATTGAGTGTCTTTGGCTTCTCCAGGCACATAGTGAAAGCTATCAGTGAATCTATCATTTTGGGGTCTGGGGGACAGTGGCTCTCTTCTCACAGCTCTGCTAGGCAGCACCTCAGTAGGGACTCTGTGTGGAGGCTCGACCCCACATTTCCCTTCTGCACTGCCCTAGCAGAGGTTTTGCATGAGCACCTGGCCCCTGCAGCAAACTTCTGCCTGGGCATCCAAGTGTTTCCATACATCTTCTGAAATCTAGGAGGATGTTCCCAAACCTCAGTTCTTGACTTCTGTGCACCCACAGGTTCAACACCACATGGAAGCTGCCAAGGCTTGAGGCCTGCACCCTCTGAAGCCATGGCCCAAGCTCTATGTTGGCTCCTTTCAGCCATGGCTGGAGAAGCTGGGACACAGGGCACTAAGTCACTTGGCTGCACACAGCACAGGGACCCTTGGCCCTCTGGCTCATGAAACCACTTTTTCCTCCTGGGCCTCTAGGCCTGTGATGGGAGGGGCTGCCATGAAGGTCCCTGACATGGCCTGGAAACATTTTCCCCACGGTCTTGGGGATTAACATTAGGTTCCTTGCTACTTATGCAAATTTCTGCAGCTGGCTTGAATTTCTCCCCAGAAAATGGGTTTTTCTTTTCTATCATAGTCAGGTTGCAAATTTTCCAACTTTTGTGCTCTGCTTCCCTTATAAAATGGAATGCCTTAACAGCATCCAAGTCACCTCTTGAATGTTTTGCTGCTTAGAAATTTCTTCTGCCAAATACCTTAAATCATCTCTCTCAAGTTCAAAGTTCCACAAATTTCTAGGGCAGGAGCAAAATGCCATCAGTCTCTTTGCTAAAATATAGCAAGAGTCACTTTTACTCCAGTTCCCAACAAGTTCTTCATCTCCATCTGAGACCACCTTAGCCTGGACTTTATTGTCCATATCATTATCAACATTTTGGTTGAAGCCATTCAACAGGTCTCTAGGGAGTGCCAAACTTTCCCACATTTTTTTGTCTTCTTCTGAGCCCTCCAAACTATTCCAACCTCTGCCTGTTACCCAGTTCCAAAGTTGCTTCTGCATTTTCAGGTATCTTTTCAGCAATGCCCCACTCTACTGGTACAAATTTACTGTATTAGTAAGTTTTCATGCTGCTGATAAAGACATACCTGAGACTGGGGAATTTACAAAAGAAAGAGGTGTAATTGGACTTACAGTTCCACATGGCTGGGGAGACCTCAGAATCATGGCGGGAGGCAAAAGGCACTTCTTACATGGTGGCGGCAAGAGAAAATGAGAAAGAAGCAAAAGTGGAAACCCCTGATAAACCCATCAGATCTTGTGAGACTTACTCACTATCACAAGAATAGCACAGGAAAGACCAAGCGCCATGATTAAATTACCTCCCACCGGGTCCCTCCCACAACACATGGGAATTCTGGGAGATACAATTCACGTTGAGATTTGAGTGGGGACATAGCCAAACCATATGATGAAGTATGTTGATGGAGACTAAACTACCTTTAGTGCATAGTTTGTATAATATTGAGGTGGAGTTATATTAATAGAACCGTAGAAACACTTGGCACACAGGTATCCCAGACCTGTAGCTGGGTTTAGTGCCCAATGAGATTTGGACCTCTCCTTTTTGGAGGAAGTGAACACGTTTTCAATTGCAAGGGATTTAGTTACATTGAGTTAGACTGGCCATTTTTGGGCCTAAAGGCATCTCTCACTTAAGTGAATGATTCATTCCTGAAAATCAGATATTCTGAATGAAAATGGTAACAAGGGGGCCTATTTATCATCGTTTTAAGTAGAAAAAAAAATGATGCATTAGATGTCAACACAAACCCCCCAATTTCCTGAAATACACTAAAAACATGGTAAAACACCCACATATAAGTAACAGACTATCACCTGCTTGAAGACTATATTGGGAAGAGCTCTCTTGTGGCCATGCAATGAGAGCAAGAAGTGTAGTTAGCTGTAGTAAGTTTTCAGGGTTAGAAGCATCAACTGCTGCTCAACCCAACCAACAAAATACAAAACCAAGAACATTTTTGAGTGGTAAACGTTGATTGAAATGTGACTGTGAACCAAGGACCAAGGATAGCGCCATCACCCTCATTGTACCTTCACATATATGCAGATAAATGTGTATTAAAAGCAGGAAAGAAGAACTTATCACAGTAGTGCCCCCCACCGCCTTATAGAAAAGTAGGTGATATTTTCTTCTTCCCTGTATCTTTTTGTTGCCAGATCCTGTTTTATTTTAATATTTTCAGATTTTGTTGTATTTATCTTGATTTTTAAAATATTGCATTAAAATGTTACTCATCTTGATTGCTAAGTTTTTTTTGTGTCCCCTTAAATTTTATGCCTAAGATGAGTAATTCACTTGCCTTACCCTAGTCCCACTGTCCCTCTGCCCATCACTGATATCCTCTCACAGCGTATACACCTTTGTGATGGTGTCGGTTCTTCATTCACTGTCATATAAGCTACCTAATATGGCCCCTGGTATCTTGTAGGAACTCAAAGCATCCTGGTTGATAAATGGACATACAATTATTTAATAGTAATGATAACAGAGCACAGGGGACGTGTCAGTGTCCTTGCTCATTGGCTTGTGGGCCCTGACTTGTACCTCTGCCAGATGTCCAACTCCTGCCTCACCAACATCTGGTATGACCTACTCGATGTGACAGAGCCCTTTCTGCCTGGTGCTGCCATTCAACCTGAGACTCCAGCTCAGCCTGATCCCTAGTCTCCTGGCTGAGCCCTGATCCCTGCCTGACGCCTGCTCCCACTGGGAGTGCTGGGTCTGGTTCTTCTGCTGCTCCAGTCCCTGTCTGCAGATCTCCTGAGCCACATCGTCTGAGGACATCAGCTCCTCCCATCCTGAGTGTGAGCTGATCTACTTCCAAGCTGACCCGATGGCTCTTCCTCGAGAGCTCATTTGTCTGGACCTGTCTGAATGTGATTTCCCCATTTGGACACTTGGCATGGGTCTTCCTGCCTTCCTTCAGTCTTGTCTGATTTCTCCCTGTAGCCTGTGTGATTTAGATCCTAGCCATGCTAGCCTAGTGTGCCTTGTGCCCAAGTCCTCTTGATAGTAACCAAAAAGGGAAACAGCAGTGGCGTGGGCTCAGGGAGGCATTTTCAGTAATACAGAAGAAAATGGCAAGAGGTGAGTTTAGAAATTGGCAGCAACTTGGCGTGCTGCAAACAGTCTGAATTGAGTGGGAAAAGGCAGGGGATTTTGAGTCAGACAGATTGGGTTTGAATCTCAACTTGGGCGTTGAAAATCTGTGTAGCGCCGAGGAAACTGCTTAACCTCTCTAAGTTTCAGTTTTCTCATTTGAAAAGGGGTTCATTGAGCCAATGTATGAGAAATGTTCTTCATAAACTACATAGTTCAATATAATTTGAACTTTTAAATATCTACTGAATATTTGCTTTTACTGCTGAAGAACACTGTATTTCCTCATTATCAAAAGGTATTATATATATTAACATTAAAGCTAGAAGCTACTGTGCTTTTGTTATTTATAACTTTAGTTAAGTGTGAGTGTTCTCACTGCACTCTGCTTTTGAATGACTTCTTATCTTAGGTTTGGGAACTTTGTTATTGCAAATCCAGACAGAGTCAGTTCATTTTCATGGATATATATTATGTAAGTGCATATGCATCATAGAGGGTTTTATTTTAAGAAGTAGATCTACTAGGGATTTAATGACTGGATATCTGACACCATGACAAATGTTAAGCTCCAGATCAAAGGCAGCTCCATCCATCCGCAGAAGCCGGTCTTGCATGAATTAGCCATGATTCATCTCAAGAACAACATCTGTTGCTGTATTAGGAAAAATCCTGTGGTGTATCCTAGCAATTTCATATGCATTATTTCACTTAACTTTCTTAGGAGACCTATGAAGAAAGTACAATGATGAAGAGCGCACAGTGGTGAACTGGTACAACAAACCCACTTTACAGTTGAGGAAATTAAGCTCTGAGGCTTGGCGTGCCTAAGTCATTGGTGCGTGAGGAGTACTGGTCTTCTCCCATCACCATATTTTCAATATGTCCTATGACCTGTGTGTGTTCAGGTGGGAGGCTGAGAAGCACAACCTCATCCTCTGTGTTGGTCATCTCTTTGGTTATAGGGTGGCACTGAGTAGTGGTGTGACTGGACATGTAGAAGTTCTCCTGACAGATCTTTCTGGGATCAGGGATGATGCTTTAGTGTATCCCTAGCCCTGAGCACAGGCACATACAGGAATTAAGTGATAAAAGCCAGAAAAAGAGCTGGCTAACTCTTTTCTTTGGCGGACCATTCAAAAGATGGTAGGGCTATGGCTTAAGCACTTTCATAAGTACAAATTGGCTTGTGGAGTATGAAACTTGTTTTATTAAAACAAAGCAGGATTAACATTTTCTTGGGATTAGTATTGTTATTGTTTTTGGTCCTATGAATTGTCCTTAACCTCAAAACTGTCCATATGTGGTAGGTGCGCGGTGTTTTTTCTTTTGTTTGTTCGTTTTTTGATGGAGTTTCGCTTTTGTTACCCAGGCTGCAGTGCAGTGGTGCAATCTCGGCTCACTGCAACCTCTGCCTCCTGGGTTCAAGCGATCCTCCTGCCTCAGCCTCTTGAATAACTGGGATTACAGGCACCTGCCACCACACCCCACTAATTTTTTGCACTTTTGGTAAAGACGGGGTTTCACCATGTTGGCCAGGCTGGTCTCGAACTCCTGACCTCAGGTAGGTGATCGACCCGCCTTGGCCTCCCAAAGTGCTGGGATTACAGACATGAGCCACCATGCCCGGAGAGGTGGGTTTTTAAGGAAGTTTTTGCAGCTAGAATTTCCCTGAGGTTTTCACCCAGATGCATGGCATTCCTGAGCCGGTTGAGGATTCTGAAGTGCCATAAAAAGTATTACTGGACCATGCCACGATTGCCTCACATTCGTAGCACTGGAGGGTGTGTGTGTGGTTTTCAAGCACATGTGCATGACCTCAGCTAAACTGATAAACATCATGAGTCAGAGAGGCAGGTAGAGACAGGTTCATTTCATTGACAGGAAACCGAGGCAGCTTGGGGCCATATCCAAAGGCATATGAAGTGGACATGTTGCAGGACTCTATGCTTCTGGTTCTGTATTTCCCCCAGCACTGCGGGACAACATTGTTGTTTGGGGTGAGCTGCCTACTTTGAGATCATTCCTATCACTGCGTTCCACTCAGCGGAGGATCTGAGGAAAATAAGTAGAGCTAAGTCTAGCTGCCACTACCCACCCATCTCACTCCTTTCTTTCACAGCAGTAGCCCTGGGAAATGCAGTGGACACAGCGCGTCTGTTCTTCATCAAGGCACTTGACAAGCTTTTTATGATCTACTTGTGGACACACTGCAGAAATGTGGGGTAGAGGCTGGGATAATTAGGAGGATTACTAACTGGCTAATGGTGTCCAAAGGAATCATTGACTCAGTAACCCAAAGGCTTTTGATCTTGTTTTCTAGGACTCTGTCCCTGATTCTAGACTGTTCAGCATTTTTATTAGTGCCATGAACAGAAATACAGAAGTTGCCATTTCCTCAATTACAAGGGTCATGGTAGTGGGAGGGAGAGTGGAGAGACCTTGATTGAAGCAGTCTGAATCAATAAAAGTACATTTTAATATGCATAAGTATAAATGCTTTTATTTGCATCCACCTACCCCAAATCCCACAAACTACTTCCCAATATAGGACAAAGTAATAGTTATTTAGTGGTAGCATGTTGCAAATATCTTAACAGTTTCAATCCATGTCAAATCAGTTAAATCTGAAATTAACTTGCACTATGATGCACCCACTGAGAAGCTAGTGTGATCTCACACGAGTTTATACAAATATGGTACTTAAGGGCAGGTTTGATTCGAGCACAACTGGGGAATTTCCACTCTTTAGGAACTGTAGGATGCACAGGGCGGTGTGCTGAGAGTGTGGAGGAAGTGCCAGTCCCTGGCCTGTGAAGATGGCTGAAGGAACAAAGTTTTTCCTCCTGGCAAAGAGAAGATGTGAAGGTGAGAGGTCACTGGTCATTTCCTTCATATTTGTGAAAGGCTTTCCTAGAGAAGCAAGATGATTCTTACCGAAAACCAGGTGGGTAGATGATAGAAAATGAGGTGGCTCTGCAGCACTGGGGGTGGTTCTCCATTCCAGATGCATTTGAGTCCAGACTGTGTAAGCACTGGGGAGGGAAGGCTCCACAGGGGCTGATGACCACATGACTTTGATGTTCACAGGAGAGTTTACTCAGGAAATGCTCCATGGCAGAGATGAAAGTCACGCCAAGCTTTGAAGAATGAGGCTTGGATGCAGGGATGCTTGAAGTGTCTCTAGAAGTCATTCAAGCGGCAGAAAAAGCAGCCTGGTAATGAGTTGAGAGGCAGGAGAATGTGAGGGCTATGCATATGAATATTCTAGTTAAAATTGTATTTGAATCCAAACTCTGCCACTGGCTAACTTGGCAACCTTGGGGCTGTAACTAGAATAATGTCCCCATGAAGACATCCGCATGCGGATCCCTGGAATCTGTGAATATGGTACATTACATAGCAAAAAGGAATTGAGGTTTAATGAAATTAAATTTGCTAAACAGCAGAGAGATTTTTCTTGGATTATCTGGCAGGCCCCATGTAATAACATGGGCCCTTAAAGGTGGGAGAGGAGACAGATGAGAACAAGAGGGGCTCAGGGAGCAAGGTGTGAGGCTCAGAGAGAAGCAAACCCAGAGAGAGGCTCTGTTGCTGGCTCTGAAGGTGGAGGAAGGGGCAGTGAGGGAAGGAATGTGTCAGCCTCTAGAAGGAAAAGACACGGAGGAAACTCTCTCCTAGAGCTTCCAGGAAGAAGAGCAGTCCTGCTCCACCCTGATCCCCACTCATTGAGGCCATTCCAGACTTCTGACTTCCAAAACTGTAAAGTAGTAAATCTGTGCTATTTTAAGCACTAAGTTTGTGAAATTTGTTAACCGTCAAGAAAAAAAAAAAAAACTAATGCATTTGGGTTAGTTTGACCTTTGTGAGTCAGTTTTTACATGTGTAAAGTAGAGATAGAAATAATATCTACTTCCCAGGATTCTTGCAAGTAAAGTAACTAATACCCTATTTGACATATTATATATATTCAGTAAAAAGATAGTCATCATTATTTCTATCAAGACAGTTTTATTTGTGAGGTTCCCCTCAGCATCATTTAGCTGCCATAAAAAAACTGCAACAGCAATTAACATATTCCTCCCCCACCTTGTGGGACCTCCTAATACTTTGCTTTCTTTCCTTGAATAAGGAAACGTCACCACTAGGATAGAGATCCACAGCTACCTGACTCCTTCATTCCAATTTCTGGGGAAACACTGACTGGCCCAGCTGCCCAGTGTGGGTCAAATCCCAACTCACCCTAACCAGATTACTGCATGGATAACAGGAAAGGACAATCCTAGAGAAGTGATGCTGGTCAAGCTGTCTGGTCTAGTCTAGAGTCCACTGCTGGGCTGCCTAGTACACACATAGGTGTACACACTCACACACACACACACTCATGCACATATAGACAGACACACACACACACACACCAGTCATTGCATCTGGAGGTAATATCACGGAAACACACACACACACCAATCATTGCATCTGGAGGTAATATCACGGAGCGGCTGCAGCTGTCTACGTACAGGATGGTATATAGTACCAAAATGTAAAAACCAAAATGGTAAAAACCATTTCTCCCCAGACACAGTCTTGATACAGTCCAGATGTAGCTCCTTACAGCCTGCAACCTGGGCATAACTGTCCATCACATCTGGTGTGAACTGGTAGAGAAAAGCAAGGTGGAAATGTTACCCGCACTGTACATCGGTCGAAGGTCCCGAGCACAGGCTGTTTTCTTCTGGACAGAAAAAGTGACACACGCGTCCTTGTTGACATGTTGCCCTGGATGTGAACTGAACTCCTTAATAAGTCTGTCTGGTGGGCACAGCTTCTGCCTGATTGAATGACTTCTGTGTTCCAGTGTGCTTCTGGGCCAGGCTTAAGAGAGAAAAAGAAGTGTTTTCATGTGATGTGTATGTATTTGTGCGCTACTCATCTTGGAGAGTGATGGAAAAATCTCAAGACCCTCTTAGCTAAGCTTGGGAGTTTTCTGGTGACATAACTACCTTTAATATTACTAAAATTCCTTTCTCTTCTATGTGTGAAGAATACGTTTATAAGTTTTCAATGCCAGAATTGTTGGATAAGTATGATTTTTATTCACCATGACCCACTAAAGTAAACTGTCCAGAGCTTTGGGGCATTTTAATTTCTTTAGTTCTAAATTTAATAATCTGCAGGAGGTTTGTGTGGTGAAAAATAAACAGAAGTGAGAGTATAGTTGAATCTGTCCCTAACGTGCCCTGGACTGTAGTCCCAGCCTTCTCAGGCTACATTCAAATCAAATTTTCTTATGTCCATTTTTTCAACTTCATTTAACATGAACTTATTGAATGTCTACTACGTTTCAGGCATTGCTGTAGGCATTGTAAATATAACAAAACAGACAAGTTTCTGCTTTCAAGTAGCTTACCTTTTAGTGGAAGGACACTGAATAGAAAGGGCAAGCTGTTCAGCAAAATCCAGTCTCCTCTACTTTGGACACACACCAAAACTCTATTTCCCAATATTTCTTAAAGTTATGTATGATCAAATTACCAAGCCCTTTCCAACCCAACGAGCAAAAGTGATGTGTTCCGGACCTGGACAATGAACACCTCCATGTATATCCCTTCATGACTATTAGCTTCTGCTTACTGGATTCAGAAATGATGGAGCCACAGAATGGAAGGAGTGTGGATCCCTGAATGACTGCATGGAGGAGAACCAACCTGCCAACTTCAGTATCTACCTAGGACTACTAGGTGAGCAGGAAACAAAGCTTACTGTATTGAGACATTACATGCTTGAATCTATTTGGTATAACATCAGTTTAACCTACTCTGAATAATATACAGAGATGGGCAAAGAAATATATTCTGTGTTGAGTGGTGATAAGTCTAGGCATAAAAATATAGCAGAGCAGGAGAAGTGAGAGTAATGTGCATGTTCATGTGTGTTTGTGTTTTATAAATGGTGCTGAGGAAGACCTTCCTGGAAATAAATCATTTGAACAGACAATTGAAGGAAGCGAAGATATGAGTCAGCCCTGAAAATCTTAGGCAGAGGAGAGAGGTGCTGAAGATGAAGGAAGAACCCAGGTAGGAGCCCCACAAACACTAAGGCTCTGAGATGGCTGTGTTTGATTGGGGCCCAGTGGAGCTATTAATAGCATCCTGAATTCCTCTGACTCTTCCTAGAGAGCCTTATTCTAATGACAAGGATCTCTTATTTTACTTGTTGGTACTTCAACTTTAGCTTTAGAAATGGTTAAGTTTTGCAAATGGCCTATTTATCTGAAACTTAGCAGTATTATATTGCTGGAAATCAGGAGAAAGGACTTCCCTTAATAAATAATATACTTGCCCTGCTGTTATTTCTCTCCCCCTCTCTCTTTTTCTTTCATTTTTGCTTCCAGGCAGTAACCTTGGATCAAAGCTCGTATTCTCATTTAGATTCTTACTAAAGGCAGTAAGAGGCAGTCAACACATCTTGATTCTATGACATTTGCCAAAAAATATTCTAAAGCATTGGCCTCAGTAGGCTGTTGGTTTAACAGGAATTACCAGCTTTCTTCCCAGGATGGAGGAATCTTGAGAACTATCATCACCCTCCTCCCTGCAAATTCAGCCAATTCCATATGTTTGGGTCAGCTACTTGCAATTAATTTCTGATTTTTCTTAGTTATAAATATTTTGCCTACAAGTAATAGAAACCACTAAGCAATAGGGGAATGTTTTTGACAATTACTCAGTTAGCTTATGAATTTAAACATGAGATGCATAGACTAAACACCATCTGGGGCTGTTTTCCTGTATAAATAGATAAATAGGTAAGTTTCTGTTTATTCTTCATGCACTTGCTTCACCGTGATATATGCATCCAACTGGGACACAGTAAATGTGGCATAAATTATATTAAGGAAATCAAATCAATGAAAAGGATATTTGCAAACTAAGAGAAAGACTGAGGAAAGGAAGAGCAGGGTAGCAAGAACAACCAAGTTTTGAGACATGCGCTGGAGATAAGGAGGGGGTAACATTGATGTCAATGATATATAAAAAACGCACAAAACCTTTTGCATCACTGTTTTCACACTGCATGGGATAATTGTTGAGAATATTGCATACAAGTTAATGCCACTGGCTTTGGGGTCCAATTGGCTAGTGTTCTAGTGCCAGATTTGCCACTTACGGGCTGTGCATCACTGAGCAAATCACTTCACTTCATAGGGTTGTTGTAAGGATTCAAAATGCTTTAAAAATACATGCCAAGGACTAGAATTTAGTAAGCTTCTGATAAGCAATATATTTTAATTACAATATAGTTCAGAATCAATATCTCTATCCAATTATCCCTCATTGAATATCTGTCTTTTAACTGTCACTGTTCCTAAAGGCTTTGTATTCTCTTACTTCAACTCTAGGGAGTGGAGAGTTGATGAGGCTAGGAAGTAAGCTTGATATTTCCCTTTTTCTGAGCCTTAGTTTCATTTCTGTGAACCCACAGTGGGATTCACCAGCTCCCACGAATATTCCATTCATATTGCAGGTAGTGGGTCTGGACAATGAATTCTGGCCAAGGACAAAAGATGAGTGTTCTTTCTTGTTGAGTTCATAAAAAGCCATGCTATTTTCTTCAGTCTCTCTATGCAGGCCCCATGTTTTTGATGGTTTAGGTACAAAACTGTAGAGGCATAATCACCTTGATCCTTGAGTGACTGTGTGGAGTAGAGGCCTCTGCTGTCCTATATAGGACTGGTAATGTGAGTGAAAAAATAAATTTGGCTGGATTAACCTACTGAGATTTTGGAGTTGTTGGTTACTGCAGCACAACCTAGCCCCCTTTCCCAACCCACCCCAATAACATACCAGTTGGAAAATGATGGTGACAGATCAGCTGATCCTTCACATTCAAAGAAACTGCATTTCTACAAAATGCTGTAATTGACAAGAATGTCATTCCAACCCTTATGTACTACCACTGCAGTGTCACTCTTTGCAGGAAGATAAATTACTTAATGTGTCTCTTTTCTCCCAGCAGCTGGCATGGTGTTTATCACTGAATAAACATGGAAAATGGTCACTGAGTATTCTTTATATTAATTATTTCCCAAAAATATGACTCAGAAATTAGAACAGCACTCAGTGCCCTTTATCTTATTTTATGTTTCCATTTTCATCGTTAAATTCCTCTGAAGTCATTGGCATTATGACCATAGGAAAAATATCTGATTTACTCCGTTCTTAGGTAAAAACATTTTGACATTCATTTTATTTCTCTTATAAATCATTTAAGAGAAATCTATGCAAGTCACATGCTTCTGTGAAAAATGGAAAAATTAAAGTAGTTTTTGGAAACCTTAATGACACATAGAGGAATTTTTAAACTTCTTGGGAGTTTACTGTAAACACACGCAGTACAGCACTAAAACACATTGGAAGTACTAAGGAAAGAGACAGTTTGGAAATATTTGAAAATAGCTGTTACAGCTTCATTTGCTTAACTTTTGGAGCCTCAGTTTCCCCATCTGTGAAATGGAAATGATTTTACAGTTGAAGAAACGAAGAAGCAGTTGAATCAGCTGCTTGAGAGAGCAGAAGCTCTGGTGCCAGACTGGGTCCTTGTCAGAGGATCGTCATTTACTAGCAGATGGGCACGTTATTAGTAGTTATGTTTTCTGTGCCTCAGTTTCCTCATCTGTAAAATAAGGTTAATAGCACCTATAGTGTAGAGTTGCCGTGAGCATTCAGTTAACATTTCAAGTGTTACCTGGCACATAGCTATGATTATGTGTTAACTCCCTCTACTTCTGCAAAGTTTACTTAAAATATCAAATATCATATGTTCTTACCACAATATGTATGTACTTCCGAATTTCTCGCCACTTTTATTAGAATAAACTCTTATGTTTGACCCAGCTGTACGTTTGATACAGCTCATTTAAATGCCTTATCACAGTGAATTCCTCTCTTGTCTGCTTTTCAAAGATAAAAATGGGGAAAATGATCAACGTAGAAGATGGCAGCCAGACTTGAAACGACACAGAAGGGAAGCAGTTCTTCTGAAAAAGGAGACGTGCTGAGTAAACAGTCCCTGAAGTGCTCCTGGCTGGGCTCCAGATGAGTAATGATTTATGAACGGGAAATCTGGGTCGGCCGGGCTTCAGTCCCGCGGCGCAGGGAGATGGAAACCAGATGCGGAGGCTTCATCCAGAGGCCCAGGAGCGGCAGCAAGGAGGGGGTGAGGGTGCAGAGAGGGACACAGAACCACGAAGGGCACATGTGGCGCGGGGAACACACAGAGAGGGGAGGAGGAGAAGACAGAAAAGAGGAGGGAGAGGAGAGAATCAACCAAGCCGTCACTCTTGGAAATAAAACACCCTTCAGAGTTAACTCAGAAAACGTTTCCTCAGCCAGAAAACCTGGTGCTTCCTCAGAATATACGTTTTGTTTTCATCTACGTTCCCATGGAAACCAGCTAAAAAAGTTCAGACACATTTGTTGACTTCAACTACTTGGAGTACAGAGACCGTGTCTGTGTGTGTGTCTCAATATACACAACGTGTTTCCAAATATGTTTCAATGAAATGCTGGTTCTCTTCCAATTAAATCTCTGCGAGAGTTCAGTTTCCTAAAAGCTAAAAAGAATTGATTTTTAATGCAATTCTGCCAAAGAGAAGAAAATTTAAGTGTGTATTCTTCCTATTGCCAAACTGTCCAATACAAAGCAAATCAGACATCTAGAACAGGGATCAGCAAACTATGGCCAGTGGGCAAATTTTGGCCCACAAACTCTTTCTGTATAGTCCACAGGTTAAGAGTGGGTTATTTATTTATTTATTTTTGGTTGTTGTTGCTTTGCATTTTTTAAAAGTTGTAACAAAAAACGAGAAGATTATAAAACAGGATTGTGTGTGGCCCACAAAGCTGAAAATATTCACTCTCTGGTCCTTTACAGAAAAGTTTGCTAAGCCCCGATCTAGAATATGATGCTTTTGCCAGTGAAGCTGTTGTACATGATAACAGGTCAGCTGGGTAATAATTTCTATAAATGAAACGATTCTTAGAAATATTGATATAGACCCATAGAGTGCTTTGGTGTAAACACTCATTTGATCACTTCACGCTAAGCCACTGAGCTCCGCCCTCGAAGTGGGGAAAGCTGGCGAGTAGCACGCGGGGGTAGACGAGCTCTCCCTGGCCACGCCGAGGGGAAAGCACATGACGTTCTGGGTCTGTGCAGAGCTGCAGCGGCTCCCAAATACAGTGCTGGCACTCATCTCTCAAACCTCGTAAAGGAGCATGAGCAATGGACAGTGAAAAGTCACAGAAGAATGTATCCTGGGCTTTGGAGAGACCCAAAGAATAAGGCACTCATGGAGAAGCAACAGATTGTACCCTGGCTTTGATCAAAGTGACCCTGACCAAATAATGATGAGAATAATAAACAAAAACAATAGCTAATGGTGACTAAAATTTATTGGGTGTTTATGGTGTGCCAGGCATCATGCTGAGCACTTTCCTTGATTTACCTTATTTAATCCCCATAATGACCTTCTGAAAGCGGAGGAACAGACTCAGAGGTAAAACAACTCTTTCAGAGTGAAATAGCTGTTAAGAGGCAGAGCCATGGTCTGAGAACAGATTCTTTTTTTAAATTTTTTTAGAAAAATCTTTTATTAAACTCCCGTAATCTAGAAAAATAGACTTCTTTTTTTAATAATTAATAGACTTTATTCAGAATTCAGCATGTCCTTTTCCCATCTTATCATCAAATGCAGTGTACTACAATATATTTAATCTTTGTCTCTTTATTTAATTCCTATGGCAATTCCCCCCCACACTGTTTTATTTATTTATTTATTGTTTTATTATTATACTTCTTAAGCACTGCCTTGATGGCTTCTTGTTTAGAAAGACTCATGGGGAAGTGTTATCAATATAAATATGCAGGGTACAAATGGAATTGAAAAACAGGTCTTTATGACCCATATTTATCTCCCCTTTACTTTCAAACCCCACAATAATAAAAGTCCATGCACCGAGGTATCACAACATTTCATTCTCGATGTTATTTTCCATAGAGTCTGAACTGTGCGATATGAGGCCGACCTCGGCATTTGGAGCTCTTTGGAGGCCTCGTCTTCCTGGGTACTCTGATTTTGATATTTTCTGGCTTGTTCCTTGGTCCCTAGGTCAGCTGACTCTATAATATATCTTCACTTGATTCAGCTTGGAAATCAAATTGATGTATCAATATGTGCATTTTTCTTCTGAAACGGCTTCAGCATGATCAATGGTTCCTTATCAAATAAGGGTAACAAAGTCCAAACGTGCAGAGGCACCGCAGGGGAGAGTCACACTGTGCTTGAGTTGGGGCAGGTGTGGTCCCTTGGCCACAGCCATGAGACAGCTTGACACGCCAAGCTTTGCTCAAACAAGGAGGACGGGAGTCAGCTGGGGCAGTCAGGAGTCACGCTCTCTCTCTCTCTGAAATTTAGTTTACATGGTTTTTCATAAGGAGTCTCCTATAAATTCTTACCGTTGTGCTTATGTTGGTAATGTGTTGGAGTACTTTCAAGATCTTTGTCTTTGTTTTTAAGAAGTTCATGCATAACGTATTGAGGGGTGTTTTTCTGCCCCTCAGTGTTCATCTGTCTCGTTTCTGGTTCCGCAAGTTTCACAGATCTGTGATCTAACATCTTTCACTGTTTTGATAAATTCTTGTCCACTATCTCTTCAAATATTTCTGTTTCTTCTCTCTCTCTCTTTCCTTTCAGGAATCTCGATTACACTTATGTTTGACTTTTTGCTAATGTCCCATGGCTTTTCATTTCCTGCTCTATTTTTCCCTCTCTTTTATTCTCTTTGTGTTTTATTTTGGTGATTTCCATTGAGTCACCTGTAAGTTCAATGATTCATTGCCTGTGTTGAGTCTAGTGATAAGCCTGATAAAGGCTTTCTAATTTTTAATTTAAATTTTATTTATTTACAATAAATAAATAAATATTTGGGGGTACAAGTGGTTTTTGGTTACATGGATGAATTGCATAGTGGTGAAGTCTGAGCTTTTAACATACCCATCACCCAAATAGTGTACATTGTACCCAACAGGTGACTTTTCATCCCTTGCCTCACTCCCATCCTTTCCCTTCTGAGTCTTCAATGTCCATTTCACCACTCTGCTTGCCTTTGTGTGCCCATAGCTTAGCCCTGCCTTATGAATGAAAGCATGCAGTATTTGGTTTTCTGTTCCTGAGTTAGTTAAGATAATGGCCTCCAGTTGTATTCAAGTTGATGCAAAAGACATTCTTTCATTCTTTTTTATGGTTAAGTAGTATTCCATGGTGCATATATATACCACATTTGTTTTCTTCATAACTATTTTATTTCCAGCATTTCCATTGGATGCTTTTTTATAGTTTCCCTCTCTCTGCTGAAAGTTGTCATCTGCTCATGCATGTTGTCCACCTTTTCCACTAGTCTTTAATATATTAATCACTATTATTTTTAATTTTTTGTCTGATAGTATGGACGTCTGGCTATCTGTGAGTCTGGTTCTATTTCTGCCTCTTGGCAGTGGGTTATTTTTGTCTTGTTTTTTTTTTCTGTCTCATAATTTTTGATCTAATGCCAGACATCATGTATAGAACAGAAAAGTCTGAGGTCAATAGAATTTATTCCTTGAGATGAAAATACTTTTTCTTTTGATAAGCTGTTAGTGTGAAGTTTGAGTCAGTCTTGTCAGGAGTTAACCTACAAACTGATGTTGCTGTTGCTAGGGTTATCACCACCAGCTGTGCACCACCAGCTTCAAATTCTTCTAATGTCCCCCTGTGCTTTGACTGGGTGTTTCTCAATATTCTGCTCTGCTTTTACCTTCTGTGTGAGATTGATCCTGAGATGGGCTCTCTAACTATGGTTTTGGCCCTCTCTAAACTGCAATTGCTTATTTCTCAGTGCTTTCTAGCTTAATGGAGGAGGGGATGGGGGGTTCTCTGTCCTCTGTTGTGCCTCACTCTTAGGCAGACCCTATGTGCTTGGGTCTGGAGGAAGGGTCTCTTTCAGTGATCCTTCCCCTCCTCCTCATGGCAGCCAAGCCACCTTGTACCCTTTTCCAGCAGCCGGCAGCACCAACCAACATTGCTATAGAATCCTGGGCCCAGGACTCTTTTTGTTTGTTTGTTTTTGCAATGGAGTCTCACTCTGTCACCCGGGCTGGAGTGCCATGGCGCAATCTCAGCTCACTGCAACCTCCGCCTCCCAGGTTCAAGAGATTCTCCTGCCTCAGCCTCCTGAGTAGCTGGGATTACAGGCATCTGCCACCACACCCAGCTAATTTTTTGTATTTTTAGTAGAGATGGGGTTTCACCATGTTTGCCAGGCTGATCTTGACCTCCCAACCTCAGGTGATCCACCTGCCTCGGCCTCCCAAAGTGCTTGGATTACAGGCGTGAGCCACCACACCTGGTGTGGACTCTTTCTTGACCTTCCCCCATGGATAGATGAGTTTTCCTCTCACTCTTCCCAAATGTACAATGGGGTTTCACTTATGCCCTGGGGGAGTGACAGGGCTTTCTGCCTTTCCCAAAGGAGCCTGAGGCTTTTGTTCCATATGCTAGACCTTCCTCTGTCCCCACCCAAATCTCATCTTGAATTGTAGTCCCCATGTGTCATGGGAGGGACCCAGTGGGAAGTGATTGGATCATAGATTGGTTTCCCTCATGCTGTTCTCATGATAGTGAGTGAGTTCTTATGAGATCTGATAGTTTTATAAGTGTCTAGCATTTTCCCTGCTCTTACTCACTCTCTCTCCTGCTGCCTTGTGAAGAAGGTGCGCCTGCTTCACTTTCCACCATGATTGTAAGTTTCCTGAGGCCTCCCAAGCCATGCAGAACGGTGAGTCAATTAAACCTTTTTTCTTTATAAATTACCCAGTCTCAGGTATTTCTTTATAGCAGCGTGAGAACAGACTAATATAGTCCTGTACTATCCATGAAGCTCTCTCTCTGATCTTCAACCCCACCCCCAACCCACTAATAAGCACCAGATGAGGGTCCATGGAGAAGAGTTCTCAAGTGGGTGCAACCTCCCTTTGTATCTGGGAATCCAGGTACTGCCATGCTAGCCAACACTAGGCCCTCAGAAGGTTATTACAAAATTTAGCTTAATTTCTCTCACCTACTTGTATGGTGTCTGGAATGTCTTTCTCCTGTGTTCGCATTATCTCTCGTGAGGATTTATAGCAAGAGAACCTCTCATTCATTGCTGGTGGGAATACAAAATGGCACAGCTACATTGAAGACAGTTGGTCAGTTTCCTAAAAAAATGAAACATGGGTGCCATATTGTACCAGTCAGGGTTCTCCAGAGGGACAGAACCAACAGGATATATGTATATATAAAAGGGAGTTTATTAGGGAGAACTGTCTCGCACGGTCACAAGGTTAAGTTCCACGATAGGCCATCAGCAAGCTGGGGATAGAGAGAAGCCAGTAGTGGCTCAGTCCAAGTCTGAAAGTGTCAAAACCAGGGAAGCCAACAGTGCAGCCTTCAGTCTAAAGCCAAAGGCTCAAGAGTTCTCGGAAAGCTGCTGGTGCAAGTCCCAGAGTCCAAAGGCTGAAAAACTTGGAGTCTGATGTCCAAGAGCAGGAGGAATGGAAGCAAGAGTCCAACACTGGAAGAAGAAGACGACCCAGGACTCAGCACCCCACTTATCCCACCTTTTTCCACCAGCTTCGTTCTAGCTGTGCTGGCAGCAGATTGAATGGTGCCCACCCACATTGAGGGTGGGTCTTCCTTTCCTAGTCCACCGATTCACATGCCAATCTTCTCTGGCAACAACCTCACAGACACTCCTAGAAATAATTCTTTACCAGCCATTTAGGCATCCTGCAATCCAATTCAGCTGACGCCTAATATTAACCATCACACTTATGATTGCATAATGGGCTCCTTGTTTTTTACCCAAAGGAGTTAAAAACTTATGACCACACAAAAACCTACATGCAAATGTTTATAGCAGCTTTATTCAAAATTGCCAAAATTTAGAACCCACCAAGATGTCCTTCAGTAGGTGAGTGGATAAATAAATGCAGTATATCTACACAAAGGAATATTAGTCAGCAATAAAAATAAATTCGTTTTCAAGCCATTGAAAAGACATGGAGGGAACTTAAATGTATATTACTATGCATTGTAAGATTGAAAGAAGCCAATCTGAAAAGGCTAAATGTTACATAATTTCAACTATATGTCGGTCTGGAAATAGCAGAACCATAGAGACAGGAACAAGACCAGTGGTTGCCAAGGGTTAGGGGGATGGAGGGATGGATAAGTGGCGCACAGAGAACATTTAGAGCAGTAAGACTACTCTCTGTATGACACTGTAGTGGTGGATACATGTCCTTATACATTTGTCTAAATCCATAGAATGCACAACACCAAGAGTGAACCCTAAAGTAAACTATGGACTCCAGATGATAATGATGTATCCATCTAGTTCATCAATTGTAATACATATACTTTCTGTTAGAGGATGTTGATAATGAGGAGGACTATGTGGAGAAAGGAGGTATATGACAAATCTCCATATCTTCTGTTCCATTTTGCTGTGAACCTAAAACTAATATAAAAAAGTCAATAAAAAAGGATTGAGAGCAACCTAGAATGTCTGGAGTGGAGAGAGTGGTGGTGGGAGCTGATGGAGAAAGCTGGGCCTGGGGGTGAACTTATGTACCATACTGAGAATTTTGGCCTCTATCCTGAGAGTGGAGTAGAACCCACTGAGATTCCATGTTGGAAAGTGACATGGATTGATTTGCATTTCATAAAGATGATTATGGATGTGATGGGTAGAATGGATTGACAAGGGGACAAACATAGCTGCATGGGGACCAGTGAGGAGGCAATCAGAGAAGTTTCACAGCACAGACAATTATGAGTATAGGGGAGAGAATGTGCAATATTGAAGAAATTCATAAAAGTGATGCTATATTGGACACGGAGAGAAAAGTCACAGATACCTTCAGATTTGAGTCTTGAGCAAGAGGCTGTATGATGATTGCATTCACCAACATGGTGCCTCAGGAGAGAAGCAGGGTTTCTCTGGCAACTGGAGTGGAAGATGAGCTCATGCTTTAAGCACATTGAGTTTGAGGTACCACTTAGTTACCTATGTGGAGCTGTCAATAAGATAGTGGGATTTTGTGAGTCTGGCTCTCAGAAAGAGGTGTGGACTAGAGATGGAGATTTTAGGATATTCAGTTCATAGATGGTCTCTAAAGTCATGACACAGATGGGATTGCACAGGCAGAGTTTAGTGTGAAGAACAGGATGAGGTGGTCCTCAGGGACCACATTTAGGGTTAGGAGAGGTGGAGGTGGAAAAGGAGACAGGGGCTATCGAGGAGCTGAGAAGACAATGTTGGGAGTGTGTGTCCTGCAAGCTGAGGTGTCCTGAGAGAGCAGACAGGGGCTCTGATAACCTGTCTTGGGGGTGGGGAGAAGAAATCAGCTTAAAGGGAATGAGGGAGTTGCACCAACGAAGAAGCATGACCGAGGCAGGGGCAATAGCAGGTATGACGCAAAGACATAAGAATGAGCAGGGATTGATACTGGCCATTGCAGATTAGTAAGAACCATGGGAGAGTAGGGTGCCGCATGAGGAGAGGCAAGAGTTGAGGCTACAAAAGAGGGGTGCAGGGCAGCTCCTAAACAGCTCTCTGCTCTATTTTAGTTAAGTGTGGATTCTGCTGAAATCTGCTGTGCTACGTTTGCGTAGGGACACAGCGGATCCCATTTGCAGGGACAGGAATTGCAGAGATATTTAAGAAACAGCACTGACAGGAATTACAGTTAGATATCTAATACCTTAAAAAGTTTAAAATTTTAAATTTCCATCAGGAAAGCATTACTCTTAGAGAAATAGATTATTAAAACTCATTGGTGATAGTCCAGATATGATTCATCAAAGTGGAAATGTCATTCCTTTAAAGATGTGAGTCATAGACATTGTTATAAGTTGGTGACACTGCAGCTGTTTTTGGAAACCACCATGTGTCTATATCCATTTTATGCATTTCACATACTACAGTATATCCAAAATTATTGGACGTTTTTCCTCAGCCACTGGGCACACACTACCTTATCTGTCATAATACCATTAGAAGTGGGTTGTCATTGAATACAAATGCCTTCGTGATATGAAAATTTACTAAAAAAAAATTATCTTTCCAAATGGAAAACACCAATCAGAATTACAAAAAAAAGAAAAAAAGAAAAAAGTACAAGCCATCAATGCTTCTAGATGGGTCATCTTAATACAGCCCAATTCCATTTCAAAAATGTAAATATCCAGCCTGATTGCACAAGTAGCTCACTACTTGGGTATAATGAAGTTGTTCCCACTGCATGGTGGAATTTGCTAAGGCCGTAGAGCAAAAATGTGATCACTTGCCAGCATGTGCTACAATTAATTATGTGAAATTTCCTGATATAAGAGCAAACACTATTGGATTACTTCAAACACTAAACAGGATCACTTTTAGGTTGAGCAAAAAAAAAGTGAAATGAGAATGGTGGGGCGTTGGTTGTGATTGTCAATCTCATCTCAGCCTGGATTGTTAGAAAAGGGCCAGACAGAAAGCTTCTCTTTTCTGAGGTCTTCACCTAGGATCCAGACAGACGGGGGAGGCTTTGGGCTGAAACTAAAAACCTAGGAACACCCAGTCATCATCAGAGGCTCTACCACTTATCCCAACTCTGCTCTGGGGTAGACAGACAGACACTGTCTCCTCCACCTACACAACTCAGTCACAGCTGCAGAGTTAATGCAGTGCTTCCCAAATGAATAAAGCTCTTGGCATTTCTGCTCCTCCATGTAGATGCACATGAGTAAATGGGACATTTCCATCCTTCCCTTCCCCTCCCCTCCCCTCCCTTCCCTTCCCACCCTTCCCCTCACCTCCCCTCCCTTCCTCTCCTCTCTCCTTCCCTTCCTCTTCTCCTTCCCCTTCCCCTTCTCCTTCCCCTTCCCCTCCCCCTTCCCCTTCTCCTTCCCCTTCCCCTCCCCCTTCTCTCCCCTCCCCTCCCTCCCCTCTCCTTCCTTCCTTCTTCCCTTCCTTCCTTGTTTTCTTCCTGCTTCTCTCCCTCCCTCTCCTATCCTTCCTTCTTCTTCCTTCTTCTCTCCTTTCTTTTTTTCCTGCTACAAATATTTGAACATCCTATTTTGTCCCAAATGCTGGGGACACACCAGTAAACAAATGGACAAAAATCCCTATCCTCATGGAATTCGTCTTCTAGTATGGAAGGTAATTTAACATGATTATCAGGCAGATTACATTTGCTTTGAAGTAAAGCCTGAAGACTTGAGTTGTAATCTTTTCCGTAGTCACTTGCTGTAGGATTTAAGTCGTTTCATGTCTCCAAGCCTTAGTTTACAAAATACCTAGGAGGATTAAGTGTTTGTCAGTTACTCAGTGCTCCATAAGTGCTCCATAAGTCAGTGTGATGAAACGTGCAGACATAACTGAAGCTGCAGATCTAGTAAGCTTTATGGCATTTAAACAATGGTTGGATTTGTAAATCCTATAATCCAATATTCTGTGTGTGGGCTCCTTTGTCCTTAAGATGAGACATGATTTCCAAATTGAGGTTGAAGAACTTTGAAATTCATTTCCTGGCATTATGCCCAAACCAGCCTGTCTTTGAGAAATCCTACCATCTAGAAGTGGCTGAGTTTCTGACTAGGTTGTGGTCACTGTGGCCTCCAGTTCTATTCAATTTGCCCTCTTGGGAAATGTGCCAGAGACTCCACCAGAGGCTCATCGCTTCCATCACTGCTGGTGTTCTCAATGCCACAGATCATTTTGGACGCAAAATGACAAGCATTTTACAGCAAAGCCTTATTAGCAAAAGGGAATTAAGTAAGAAGCTAAGGCAGGACTCATTTTACGTGCACATTAGGGCAAGGCTTTTGTCCTTTGCTTCCAGTTGCTTCCAAGTTACAATAATTTCCCTAATTTGACAGTATGTTAGAAGATGCAGATAATTTCCTTTAGGCCTCTAAAATTTGCTCACCTAGGAATCCCTCCCTGTCCTGGACTTTTCTTTACTTCATCCTAAACACAAACTTTCTCTTGCCTAGACAAACCTTGACGTCCGGTTCCCTGCCCACTCTTGCCAACAGCACCCAAGTCCTACCAAAGCCAGTGAGAGCCTCTGAGTTTTCCAACTGTGGTGTGGGTTGTTTGGATCTGTTGATTTTTAAAATGTTTTAATTCACTTTGTGCTTTGATTTTATGTAGACAGGGAGATGGTCATTCTCCGAATATTCTGATTTTCCATTTGAAAATAATTACTATTGTGCAAAGATGGTAAAGCTAAATTATTTCAACAAACCAATTAGAATATCCATTTTATGAACTGTTCTCTATTTTGGAAGAAAAATGAATTAAAACAAGACTAACATCAGGAAACTTTTCACATAACACATATTTATTACACACCCTCTGAACGAAGACGTTGTATTGGGCCCCAAGGCTCCCAGCCACTGAGCTCGTCGTGGCCTGTGGGGGCTGATTTGTCATCCAAGCCAAGATAGACATGGTTCCTGTCGTCATGGAGCTTGTCTCAGAGGAGAGGCATTGATCAGAAATGAAGTGGATTCATTAAGGGGGCCAATATTCGTTCAGGGTTAGCTCCACTCATTCCTGCCTGACCCCTGAGCCAGGAGGGGCTGAGAGATGCCCCAGATGGTGTTACCGAAGTAAAAAGGCGAACAAACATTTTAGGAAGCTTTTAACATGGGTTGAAACAAATTCAGTTAACCAGAAACCCATTCCCAATTTAATCCAGTTAATTGAGGTGTTATACAAACCCAAATATGCTTTTTGGGGAACGTCTGTATTTGCAAAGACGTCAGTGGTATATTTCCTTTGACCTGAAAACCTGGTGAGGTTGGTAACACAAGAATTGTTGGTCCTTATTTTACCATTAAGTAGAAACATGGCTTCTGAGTATTTCCTGTGTGCAGAGCCCTGTTTTCCCTGCGATGGGGTTTTTAAAAAATTGACATGAAAATGATTGGCCTTGATTACAACGTTAAAATGAAGAAGTTTCAGTAAATTCAAGTGCACAGGATGTACATTTTCCAGAGGGAGGTCCTCAGAGCCGAGACAGATCTAAGCAGCCTCAAGTGGCCACTGGGCTCAGCGTGGCCTGTGGGGGCTTATTTGTCATCCAAACCAGCGGTGTGGGTGGCTGAAGAAATTCCCACAAGCTGCAGACCACGGTTGACTCTCATGGTTTTTATTCGGTACTACGGAAGGCATTTCCTCCGAGATGATTCACTGGGGAAATTTGATATACTGTGGGGTGATGGGGCTGGTCTCTGACATTTTCATTACTGTATTAATTTTGTGTCCTCCCGACTCCTATCGGCTCCCACACGTACACAGCTGGCTATTGTTTCCCTTCATTCCAAACATGTATAACGTTTATTTTAAAAAAAACTCCAGAGCAGAAATTTACATCAATCCCTTTAAAATTCCATTCCGTTCGTTTTGGCCCGCTCTTCCAGTTTCCCACTCTGTGAATGAGCGACTTTGAGGGTGAAGGCCTTTGCAGTCCAGACTCTGCAGCTCTGTGTCACTGGGGTCCCACCATGTCACGAGCTTCTTTGCAGGTGCCCACGCGAAATGCAGACAAGACTCCGCCCAAGGTTCCAACAGACCGTCAATGAGTGGGGACAGCAGAAATCACAGGGACAAAGTTCACTTCTTATTTTTTTCTGCAATGTGTAGTGAAGTTTTTGTCTGAGAACAGATGACCATGTGGACAGCCAGCCCTGTACGGACTCCAAAGCTGGTGTTTGGAATGAGGGGCTTTGGCTTGCTGGCTTCCGTTGTGTCCTCTGTCCCCAACAAGCCATAGACCTTTTGTCTCTTTCCATGGATCCCCTTTCACCTGGCAGCGGAGTCCCTGCTGCCACCAAATGCAGACCCCCAACCTGTGTTCTGCGTCTCCCTCTGTCTCCTAAGCACCTTGACTCTACAAGTGTCTCCGTCTTTTGTAGCATCAGCATCTGTCTTCTGTGTCCTTCCCATCAGCCACATACTCCTTCATAGCTTTCGTCCTAAAACAAACAAACACCACCACCAGCAAGCTTCTTGAACTCCACAGATTACCCAGCTCCCTCTCGTTTCTCAGCTCTATGTCTCAGCCAAACCCCTCCTTCTAGCCTCTCTATAAACTGCTGTCATCAGGCTCTGACCCCACGGAAATGTCCTTTTGCCCCACCATCAGTATGCTCCATGCTGTGACTCTGTCCTCATCTTACCTAAGCTACCCTTGGTGGGCTTTAGTACCCTTGGCCTCCTCTAAAACCTTTCTTCTCCCAGCGTCCATGACTCCATGCTCTCCCGGTTTTCCCCAGAGTGGGAAGCCTTCCATCCTATTCACAGCAAAGCCCTGCCAGCTCTAGTCCAGGTCCGTCTCTGCTCTCACCTCCCTCTCCCCATCCTGCCTGGTGTCCCCTGACTTGGAGGGAGCACATGTGCTTGTTGCTATGGTGCAGGGTGGACTGCCAGGGAGGTAATGGTGGAGCCCAAAGAGCCTTCACATCTGAGATGCAGCAGGAGATAAAATGAGAGTGTTCCCCAGCTCCAATCTAAAGTAAAAATGTTACAGCAAAGGGCCTGGGATTTAGGTATGCCAATACAGGTTACAAATGTAATATGTGCTATGAAGCGAAGGCTCTTTCCATATTTAAATACACTACAAAACAATTCTGAAAGAATGTGACTAGGTTATATTCAAAACGATAGTGCAGGAGGCATCCCTCTTTCTTTAAAATTGCTTGCTTGAAGGTAGGTCATAAAATGAATCACTGGTCAGCATTTTGGCAGCCATGCTGGGGCTATGCTCCCGGGCACTGGCCTCATTTGCCTCCTTTGGAAACGAGTTGCAACTTAACTCAAGCCGAGCCAGGCAGCCTGTTAGCAATTATAATGCAATACTACAAGATTCATATCCTGTTAAGGGACTTTAAAAATCAGATCATCACTCAGAAAGCCTAGCAGTCAAGTCAGAGTTGTCAGAGCAAAATGGAACAATCAAAACCCCAGAGCGAAGCTTTGTAATTTTGTAGCAGGACAAGCCGCAGACAAATCCCCTCAGACACGGAGTTAAAGAAGGAAGGGCTTCATTTGGCCGGGAGCTTCCGCAAAACTCACGTCTCCAAAAACCGAGCTCCGCAAGTGAGCAATTCCTGTCCCTTTTAAGGGCTTAGAACTCTAAGGGGGTCCACGCGAGAGGGTTGTGATTGATTGAGCAAGCAGTGGGTATGTGACTGGGGGCTGCATGCACCGGTAATCAGAACGGAATGGAACAGAACAGGACAGGGATTTTCACAGTGCTTTTCCATACAATGTCTGGAGTCTATAGATAACATAACCGATTAGGTCAGGGGTCGATCTTTAACCAGGCCCAGGGCTCGGCGCCGGGCTGTCTGCCTGTGGATTCCATTTCTGCCTTTTAGTTTTTACTTCTTCTTTCTTTGGAGGCAGAAATTGGGCATAAGACAATATGAGGGGTGGTTTCCTCCCTTAATTTAGTTCACTGAACAAACTGGAAAAAGTGAGCCCGTTTCAACAGATACGATGAATTTGTTAAGTTTGTATTACTCTCACCTTTAACAATAAAAATCTTCAGCTTTTTACTAAAAATGTATGGAGAGAATATTCTAGATTCTATCACACGTTAGGACTGACAGATGAGAGATCTACAGCACCACACGGTTATTAAAATGATGAATGTGAGTAGAAAGCCACCATTACCCTAAACACAGCACAATGGTGGCAGTTTTCCTCTTGCTTAGGCATTTGGTAGATGGAGAAAATGAAAAGCTGGGTCAAAGTGTACATTTTTTTTTCTGTCAACATACATGCTTTTTATTGTGGCAAAGAATATTATACATGGCATAAAATTTACCACTTTAACCACTTTTGAGTGTACAATTCAATGCATTAAATATTCATATATTTTTTTGAAACTTTTATTTTAGGTTCAGGGGTACATGTGCAGGTTTTTTATATAGGTAAACTCATGTAATGGGAATTGTTGTAGAGATTATTTGGACACCCTGGTACTAAGCCTAATACCCAAATTTTTAAAAATTCTCTCCCTCCTCCCACTCTCCACCCTCAAGTAGGCTCCAGTGTCTGTTGTTCCCCTCTTTGTGTCCATGTGATCTCATCATCCCACTTATAAGTGAGAACGTGCGGTATTTGGTCTTCTGTTCCTGTGGTATAGTTTGCTACAGATAATGGCCTCCAAAAGACATGATCTCATTCTTTTTTATGGCTGCATAGCATTTGACGGTGTGTATGTACCACATTTTCTTTATCCAATCTGTCACTGGTGGGCGTTTAGGTTGATTCCATGCCTTTGCTATTGTGAACAGTGCTGCATTGAACATTTGTGTGCATGTGTCTTTGTGGTAGAATGATTTATAGTCCTTTGGGTATATACCTAGTAATGGAATTGCTGGGTTGAATGGTAGTTCTGTTTTTGGCAATTTGAGGAATTGCCACATTGCTTTCCACAATGGCTGAACTAATTTACACCCCCACCAACAGAGTGTAAGTGTTCCCTTTTCTCTGTAACCTTGCAAGCATCTGTTATTTTTCGACATTTTATTAATAGCCATTCTGACTGGTGTCATATGGTATCTCATTGTGGTTTTGATTTGCATTTCTTTAATGATCAGTGACATGGTTTTAATTTGGGTTCCCACCCAAATCTCATGTTCAACTGTAATCCCCCATGTTGGAGATACGGCCTGGTGGGAGATGACTGGATCATGGGGGTGGATCCTTCATCAACGGTTTGGCACCATCCCCTTGGTGCTGTTCTTCTAATGGTGAGTGAGTTCTCGTGAGATCTGGTTGTTTAAAAGTGTGTTGCACTATCTCTCTCTTTCTCTTGCTCCTACTCTGGCCATGTGATGTGCTCACTCCCCCGTACCTTCCACCATGATTATAAGTTTCCTGAGGCCTCCCCAGAAACTGAGCAGATGCCAGTATCGTGTTTCCTGCACAACCTTCAGAACCATGAGCCAATTCAAACTCTTTTCTTTACAAATTACTCAGTCTCAGATATTTCTTTATAGCTATGCAAGAATGGACTAATACAATCTGTGATATTGAGATTTTTTTCATATGCTTGTTGGCTGAATGTATTTTTTCTTTTGAAAAGTGGCTGTTCATGTCCTTTGCTCACTTTTTAATGGTTTTTTTTTTTCTTGTAAATCTGTTTAAGTACCTTATAGATGCTGGATATTAGACCTTTGTCAGTTGCATCATTTGCAAATATTTTCTCCCATTCTGTAGGTTGTCTGTTTACTCTCTTGATAGTTTCTTTCACCGTGCAGAAGCTCTTAAGTTTAATTAGATCCCATTTGCCAACTTTTGCTTTTGTTGTGATTGCTTTTGGTGTCTTGATCATGAAATCTTTACCTGCTCCTATGTCCAGGAAGGTATTGCCTAGGTTGTCTTCCAGGGCTTTTATAGCTTTGGGTTTTACATTTAAGCCTTTAATTCATCTTGAGTTGATCTCTGTATATAATGTAAGGGATCCAGTTTTAATTTTCTGCATTTGGCTAGCCTGTTATCCAATCACCATTTATTAAATAGGGAGTCCTTTCCCCATCACTTGTTTTTGTCAGTTTTGTCAAAGGTCAGATGGTTGTAGGTCTGTGGCCTTATTTCTGGGCTTTCTATTCTGTTCCATTGGTCTGTATGTCTGTTATTGTGCCCGTGCCATGCTGTCTTGGTTATGTTAGCCCTGTAGTATAGTCTGAAGTTGGCTAGTGTGATGCCTCCAGCTTTGTTCTTTTTATTTAGGATTGCCTTGACTATCCACGCTCTTTTTTGGTTCCATATGATTTTAAAGTAGTTTTTTCCTAGTTCTGTGAAGTATGTCATTGGTAGTTTCATAGCAATAGCATTGAATCTGTAAATAGCTTTTGGCAGTATGGCTATTTTAATGATATTGATTATTTCTATCCATGAGCATGGGATGTTTTCCATTTGTTTGTGTCATCTCTGATTTCTCTGAGCAGTGTTTTGTAAGTCTCATTGTAGAGATCTTTCACCTCCCTAGTTAGCTGTATTTCTAGGTATTTTATTCTTTTTGTGGCAATTGTGAATGGATTGCATTTCTGATTTGGCTCTCAACTTGGCTGTTGTTGGTATATAGGAATGCTAGTGATTTTTGTACATTGATTTTTGTACCCTGAAACTCTGCTGAAGTTGTTTATCAGTTGAAGGAGATTTGGGGCTGAAATTGTGGGGTTTCCTAGATATAGAATCATGTGATCTGCAAATAGGAATTGTTTAATAGGAGTGGTAAGAGAGGGCATCCTTGTCTTGTGCTGGTTTTTAAGGGAAATGCTTCCAGCTTTTCCCCATTCAGTATGATGTTGGCTGTGGGTTTGTCATAGATAGGCTTTTATTATTTTGAGGTGTGTTCCTTCAATCCCTAGTTTATTGAGAATTTTTAACATGAAGGATGTTGATTTTTATCAAAAGCCTTTTCTGCATCTATTGAGATTATCATGTGGTTTTTGTCATTAGTTCTGTTTATGTGCTCAATCACATATCTTGATTTGCACATGTTGAACCAACCTTGCATCCCAGGATGAGGCCTTGTTTGATCACAGTGGATTAGCTTTTTATGTGCTGCTGGATTCAGTTTGCAAGTATTTTGTTGAGGATTTTTGCATCAATCTTCATCAAGCGTACTGGACTGAAGTATTCCTTTTTTGTTGTGTCTCTGCCAGGTTTTGGTATCAGGATGATGCTGGTCTCATAGAATGAGTTGAAGAGGAGTCCTCAATTTTTTGGAATAGTTTCAGTAGGAATGGTACCAGCTTTTCTTTGTACATCTGGTAGAATTTGGCTGTGAATCCATCTGGTCCTGGGCTTTCTTGTTTGGTAGGCTATTTATTACTGATTCAATTTCAGAGCTCATTATTGGTCTGTTCAGGGAATCAATTTCTTCCTGTTTCAGTCTTGGGATGGTGTATGCGTCCAGGAATTTATCCATCTCTTCTAGATTTTCTAGTTTGTGTGCACAGAGGTGTTCATCATAGTTTCTGATGGTTATTTTTAATTATTTGGGGTCAGTGGTAATATCCCCTTTGTCGTTTCTAATGGTGTTTATTTGGATCACCTCTCTTTTCTTCTTCATTAGTCTAATTAGTGGCCTATCTTATTAATTTTTTCAAAAAACCAACTCCTGTATTTATTCTCTTTTGAGTGGTTTTTCATGTCTCAATTTCCTTTAGTTCAGCTCTGATTTTGGTTATTTCTTGCCTTCTGTTGGCTTTGAGGTGGTTTGCTTTTGCTTCTCTAATTCTTTCAGTTGTGATGTTAGGTTGTTAATTTGAGATCTTTCTAACTTTTTAATGTGGGTGTTTAGTGCTATAAATTTCCCACTTAACACTGACTTAGCTTTATCCCAGAGATTCTGGTATGTTGTATTTTTGTTCTCATTAGTTTCAAAGAACTTCTTGATTTCTGCCTTTATTTTATTATTTTTGCAAAAGTCATTCAGGACTAGGTTGTTTAATTTCCATGTAATTTCATGGTTTTGAGAGATTTTTTTTTTAGTATTGACTTCTATTTTTATTGCACTGTGGTCTAAGAGTGTGTTTAGTATGATTTCAGTCTTTTCGCATTTGCTGAGGATTGTTTTATGTCTGATTGTGTGGTTGATTTTAGAGTATGTGTGCTATGTGGTGATGAGAAGAATGTATATTCTGTTGTTTTTGAGTGGAGAGTTCTGTAGAGGGCTATCACATCCATTAGGTACAATGTTGAGTTCAGGTCCTGAATATCTTTGTTAATTTTCTGCCTCAGTGATCTGTCTAATATTGTCAATGGAGTGTTGAAGTTTCCCACTATTATTGTGTGAGAGGCTAAGTCTCTTTGAAGTGAGAGGCTAAGTCTAAGTCTAAGTCTACACTGTGAGAGGCTAAGTCTCTAAGAACTTGCTTTATAAATCTGAGTGCTCCTGTGTTGGGTAAATATGTATTTAGGATACTTAGATCTTCTTGTTAAATTGAACCTTTTACCATTATGTAATGCCCTTCTTTGTCTTTTTTGATCCTTGTTGGTTTAAAGTCTGTTTTGTCTGAAATTAGAGTTGCAACCCCTGCTTTTTTTCTGATTTCCATTTGCTTGGTATATTTTCCTCAATCCCTTTATTTTGAGCCTATGGATGTCACTGCATGTGAGATGGGTCTCTAGAAGATAGCATATCATTGAGCCTTACTTTTTTATCCAGACTGTCTCTCTGTGCCTTTTAAATGGGGGCATTTTGCTCATTTACATTCAGTGTTAGTATTGATATGTGTGGATTTGATCCTGTCATTGTGTTGTTAACTGGTTGTTATGCTGGCTTGTTTGTGTGGTTGCTTTATAGTGTCACTGGTCTGTGTACTTAAGTGTGTTTTTGCATTGGCTGGTAATGGGCTTTCCTTTCCATATTTAGTACTCCTTTCAAGATTTCTTGTAAGGCAGGTCTGGTGGTAATGAAGTTGCTCAGCATTTGTTTATCTGAAAAGGATCTTATTTCTTCTTTTGTGAGGAAGCTTAGTTTGATTGGATATAAAGTTCTTGGTTGAAGATTTCTTTTCTTTAAGAATGTTGAGGCTGGGCGCTGTGGCTCACGCCTGTAATCCCAGCACTTTGGGAGGCCGAGGCAGGCGGATCATGAGGTCAGGAGTTCGAGACCAGCTTGACCAACGTGGTGAAACCCCGTCTCTACTAAAAATACAAAAAAAAATTAGTCGGGCGTGGTGGCACGCGCCTGTAATCCCAGCTACTCAGGAGGTTGAGGCAGAAGAATCGCTTCAACCCCGGAGGTGGAGGTTGCAGTGAGCCGAGATCGTGCCACTGCACTCTAGCCTGGGTGACAAAGCAAGACTCTGTCTCAAAAAAAAAAAAAAAAAAGGAATGTTGAATATAGGTCCACCAATCTCTTCTGGCTTATAGGGTGTCTGCTGAGAGGTCCACTGTTAGCCTGATGGGGTTCCCTTTGTAGGTGACCTGCCCTTTCTCTCTAGCTGCCTTTAACATTCTTTCTTTCATCTTAACCTTGGAAAATCTGATGATTTTGTGTCTTGGGGATGATCTTCTTGTGTAGAATCTTACAATGGTTCTCTGTATTTCCTGAATTTGGCTGTTGGGCTCTCTGGCAAGGTTGAGGAAGTTTTCATGGACGATATTCTGAAATATGATTTCTAAGTTGTTTGCTTTCTCCCCGTTCCTTTCAGGGATTCCAGTGATTTGTAGATTTGGCTTCTTTTCATAATCCTATATTCCTTAGAGGTTTTGTTCATTCCTTTTAATTATTTTTTTCTTTATTTTTGTCTGACTGTCTTATTTCAGAGATCCAGTCTTCAACTTGTGAGATTCTTTCCTCAGCTTGGCAAAGTGTACATTTTCACATATTTATCTAACCTATGGAATTCTTGTGAGCATTTTTATATTGCAACACAAGTTCTTGAAACAAAATAGGTCATTATTCTATGTATTCAGCTTAACTTAAATATAAGGATTTATAACTGTAAACTAATCACTCTATCTGAACAATTTTAAAACCATATAATTTTGAGCTGTAATTTAAGAAAACATGCGTGCTTGCAGTCCTGTCTTCTAAACAAATACAGGTTCCCTCCCTTAAGTCCTGTCGTGTTTGAGTCTAAAGCCGTAGATAAAGGTTACTGTCATCATTCCTGTGGTAGAGGGTTGAGCTGATATTTTTGTGCTCCAGGTCACAGCTCTGTTCACAGCTACTAAATTTCGCAAGTTGAAAGTATGTTAAGTGTAGGAGTTTCTGGATATTAAATATGATCCAACATCCTCTGTGAAAATAGAGTATGATAGATGGATAATCAGGAGATCTAAATAGATAGATGATAGATCCATAGATAGATGATTAATGGATGGATATATGGATGGATGAAAAGATAGACAGATAGATAGATAGACAGACAGACAGATGGATAAGCTAGGACTAACTGTAGGAGGAGAACCAGGTATACTTGCATTTCTGTGAAAGTGACTTGTTTGTTTATTTTCTCCTGAGAGATCTTCTAATTCATGCACCTGATCAAGTATCTCCCTTCTGCTACTGGAAAGCACAGAACCATATCTAATCTCACTTCTATCAAGTGTAAGCTCATAGGCTTCATTTTGGGTGCTGATTTCACTCCTGGATGACATTATTTTATTATTTGTTCACATCTTATATGTGATTTTTCATTTTATTTAGCCTGGTGTTTATGTTTGTAAACTGTAATTTTAAAAAAGGGAGAGGTATTGGGAGGAGAAAGCAGAAATGCTGGAAAATGAAGGGAGGCCACCACCAGTCAGACACAGGACTTCTTCAGGCCCCCGTCCTTCTTTCCCAAGGCGTCTGTTTTCTAAATGAGGAAACCAAGGCACGCAGAGGATGACGAGCTGCCCAAGGGCATGCAGCCTAAGAAATCTTGAATCTGGATTTCGCCCAGGCTGGCTGACACTTACAGTCACGATCAGGTTGTGGTCACCATGGCTTCGTCTCTCCCCAGACATCAGGGTCATCTCAGGACCCCACTCAGGCAGCTGCCTCATTCTCAGTATCATCTCCTGCCATTACCTTTGTACCTGTTGGCTGTGGTGAGACATGCTGGGCCCACTCACCGTTTCTGGACTTCCTTACCTTCGTTCAGTCACTTCCTCTCTGCAAATGCTCTTCCTTTGACAAACTTTTTCATCCTCCAAACCCCAGCTGAAGAACTGCCTTCTCAAGTCTTCTCTGGGACTTGGTAGGTTTTCTTGTCTTTGCTGAGTCAGTGAATGGGAGGATAGATGTTTTCAACAGGAGGCTGCCTGCTGTGTGCTGGGAACAGCCTCTCCCAGGCTGCAAAGCTCTAAAGATGCACTGAAGGCAAAGTGCTCAGCTCCCAGGGCACCTGGGAAGCCGGGGTGTGGTGTCCCTTGGGGTGTATGAGAAGCTGCATTCACATGTCAGGAGACCTTTCACTGTCAGCAACTAGCAGGTCCCGGGTGTTGAAGTTTGCAAGGAGACAGGGTCCAGTGGACTTGTATTTCCCTGTGTCTCAGAGGCATTTGCTCCCTGTTTGGCCGGCATAGCAGGGGCCCACCCTGGAATGGCTGCAGGAGCTGGCTCTTGTGCTGCAACTTCATCTGCTCTGCTGCTTCAGCCGTATGCCATTTTTCATGGCAAAAAAGTCCCATTTCCCCTCTAGCTACAGAACTGCTGGGCTTAGGGGTAGATCCCCCGGTTGTGATAATTCTCTGCCCCAGAGGCCTGAACAGGCACAGGCTTCCCCATCCTTTCTGCTGCTCAGTTTCTGCTGAAGATGAGCTCAGACCCTCCCCTCCAATGCCGCCGAGGGCTGAACAGAATCTCCTCAGCTCTCCTAGATAGTAAAGTTCAGGTCTCACTTGCTAGAAAGCAGGGGAGGTGGGTGGGAGGCACAGGTGGGACCCCCCTACTCTGCACAATACAGCACTAAGCACAGACCCCGCTGACCACTGGAGCTGGCGGCAGTGTTTGCCATTGGAGGAATAATGGTAGACGGCAGGCTGGGTGAGAAATGGATATGCAGTTGTCAACTCTGCAGAGCACATGCACTGAAACAGTCTTAATAGGACATCGGAATAGTTATGGAGATCCATGAAGATAGGATGGCAGCTACTCTGCAGGTGAGTTGTTGAGGTGAGAAGAGGTGGAGGGGCCCAGGGTCAAACACAAGTCAGGGAGAGTCGGAGCCTGCTCCTGGGAGTGACAAGATACCTGTGCCTTCACCCTCAGGACACGTTTGCAGGCATGTCCCCATCTTTCCAGAGAAGGCAATGGTGAGAGAGAAGAATGACCTTTTCTGGGATAGGGGCTGAGGAGCCCTAGCCTCTTCTCCCCAGGCAGAATGCATGACTACCAAGGATTCTGCCAGTAGGCGCCACAACAGAGACTTCCAGGCCAGTTTCTTTCCCACTTGGCAGGGAACCACCCAGAATGGAAAAAGAATTCAAACTTCAATTTAGAGTGTTGTGACTAGCATTTTACAGATGAAAGCACAATGAAAAAGTCCTAGCAAACTGAGTAGCCCCTTTGCCTATGTTTGTAGGGAAAAACACTAATATTTACTAAATCCTTTCAAACATAAGACTGTGGTGTTTGTCTTCAGTGGCTTCATTTACATATTCATTAATTGGGATTTCTTTTCACAGAACTGAGATTATTTATTATCCAAGTGAATAAATATCACAGCTCAAAGCATTTAATCACATGGTAATTGCATCCGGCTGACTGATGGTTGTTTTCTTTGTGTATACCCAATGCTGTGCTTGGGGCAGGCGTTATGTTTAGGAAGCCTCTTTATTGTTTGAATTGAAGGACATGGAAAGCAGGGAAAAGAGCAGAGGTGTGGGGCGAGTCATGCCTGGGATCCATGAGCTCCTGCCTTTGGGAATGCCGACACACCGGAGAACTTTTCTGGGCCTCACATCACACGTAATATGTCAGTAATCTCAGTCTCAGAGGGTTGTTGTAAGAGCTGCCTAAGGATGCATACAGAATGTCAGGGTCGGGCCCAGTGGCTCACGCCTGTAATCCCAGCACTTTGGGAGGCTGAGGTGGGTGGATCACCTGAGGTCAGGAGTTCCAGAGCAGCCTGGCCAATATGGTGAAACCCCATCTCTTTTAAAAATACAAAAATTAGCTGGGTGTGGTGGTGGGTGCCTGTAGTCCCAGCTACTCAGGAGGCTGAGGCAGGAGAATCACTTGAATCTGGGAGGCAGAGGTTGCTGTGAGCTGGTATCATACCACAGCACTCCAGCCTGGGCAACAGAGTGAGAGTCCGTCTCAAAAAAAAAAAAAAAAAAAAAGTCAGTAGCTACCCTGCAAATGAGGATGCTTGGCTTTTCTAACTAGGGTAGGATTCCGCATGTGCAGGTTGTGGGCTCAGTGTGATCGTGGTCTAGCTCTGTTATTCCCAACACCGCTTTTGTGGAGCAGGGTCCAGTCATGATTCCCTTTTACAGAGACGGGGACTGACTTTCCTAAGATCCCACAACCAGCTTTGGGCTGAGCTGGGAGTTGAACCTGGCAATGTGGACCCAGAGTCTGAGCTCTTTGTCTCTCCAGGATCACATGCAAATAAGAGGTCTGGGCAAGTGTGAGGCTGTTCCCTGCAGCCTGCCCAAGAGGACACAGTAGGAGGCAGGGCCAGAGAACGAGGGTGGACCCAAGTCTCTGGGCACCAGGGAAAGAGGGTCCCAGAGGGGTAGAGGAAAGTGAGGAGAGGGCAGCAGAGGTGAGGGAGAGAAGGCAGGGCCTTCTCAGGGTCCCCCAAGACCCCACTGAAGGAGCTTCTGGGATCTCCTTGTGCTCTGTGAAGAGGCCCCTCCTTCCAAATCCCTGCTCATCAGCACTGACTGCTTGGCCAACGCTGGATCCAGGGTGTCCAGTTGGAAGCTATTTCAAGAGTTGTCCTTGATACGTTAGAGACGAGGTCTGGAAACTTCCAGAAGAGGCAAAGGCCTTACCCAACATGACAGGTTCTGAGATATTTTCTTTGGCATACAGTACTTAGTAGTTGATCCAAACTTATCATCATTCATTCCTAACAATTCCAAAAAGTGCACCAAGTATAGAGATGACATTGAACCTGGGCAGCCAGAGGGCTCTATGAAAAAGCTATTTCCATAGAAATAGGCTCTTTACCGTAGAAACTGCATGAGGTCACTTGGAACAGAAATAGAACTGTTTTCACCTTATTTGTTCCAGAATAAAGTGTCTTTTAGGCATTTCTGTCGATTTTTAGATGAATAAAAAAAGCTGTGCTGTTATGTATAAAGATAAAAAGCATAGACAGTCCTCACTATGCTTATGTACCTTACTGGTCTTCCCAAAGAAAATTGTTAATCATTTTTTTTTTTTGCAGATGAAGTATAACTGATTAAATATCAAGGAAAAATAAGATTCATGATTTACAGCCTGAAAAACAATATATTTGGTGAAAAGAAAATCTATAAACCTATAAGCCAAATAATTTGTTTCACATGATTATGGATATCTTGTCTGTGTCTTTTCCCAAGGATATTTCATTTTTTCGTAAAGAATTGGAGAGAAAAACTATTTTAACAATATGTTTATCATAAAAGTAATCACTATTCCTTTAAGGAAGACTGGAAGAATAGAGTATAAAAGATAAATTAAGGGCCAGGCGCAGTGGCTCATACCTGGGAGGCCGAGACGGGCGGATCACCTGAGGTTGGTAGTTCAAGACCAGCCTGACCAACATGGAGAAACCCCATCTCTACTAAAAAATACAAAATTAGCTGGGTGTAGTGGCATTTGCCTGTAATCCCAGCTATTCAGGAGGCTGAGGCAGGAGAATCACTTGAACCCCGGAGGTGGAGGTTGCAGTGAGCTGAGATTGCATCACTGCTCTCCAGCCTGGGTGACAGAGTGAGACTCTGTCTCAAAAAAAAAAAAAAAAAAGAAAGAAAAGACAAATTAAAAACCAGCCCAAACTCTACAATGTATTGTTGACTCCAGGTGTGATTTTGATGTCTCTCCTTCTACTCTTCATTCTATGTTTCTAACAAAGTGTAACAATGTAGCTAATATTTTGCTTTTTTTCTTAAGTTTATATTCTCAATATTGATATTCTCTTCTGTTTTTAAGCAAAATTATAATTGTATGCGAAACAAAATTAAAATACTATTATATTGAAATAATTTGTAAATTTTGTGCTTTTCTCCACATAACATTAACATATATATTCATTTCCATGTCATCGAATTGGCTGTAACCCATCACTTCCATCATTAATATTTGGTGTAAAATCTTCAAGTGTCTGTCCATACATGGATGTACCAGTTGACTCTTGAACATCACAGGGGTTAGGGGTGCTGATCCTGTGCAGTTGAACATTTGAGTATAACTTTTGACCCCCCAAAAAGCCTAATTACTAATAGTCTGTTGCTAACTAGAATTCTTACCAATAACATACAAGGTCAATTAACACATATTTTGTATGTTTTATATATTATACAGTGTATTCTTAAAGTAAGCTAGAGAAAAGAAAATGTGATTAAGACAATCATAAGGAAGAGAAAATACACTTACAATTTATTAAGTGGAAGTGGATCATCCTAAAGGTCTTCATTCTCATCGTCTGCATGTAGAGTAGGCTGGGGAGGAGGAGATGGAGGAGGGGTAGTTCTTGCTTTCTCAGGGGTGGCAGAGACAGAAGAAAATCCATGCATGAACCTACCTGCACAGTTCAAACCCATGTTGTTCAAGGGTCAGCTGCACAGGGAAATGCATTGCTATTTTACTTAATGTTGGAGGGGAACTGTTTCCTCAACTGACTCCCCATCAGCACAATTCCTGTAACGTTTGCATGAAATCCCATTACTGGGACTTCTTCCAGTTTTTCGCTGTTTTAACAGTGAGGTGGTGACCAGTTTCGTCTCCATGACTGACTACCTTTAGAATAATTTTCTAGAAGCCTTTCAGCTGGGCCAGAGGACATGTGGCCATATTGCTCTCTAAAAGGCTTAAACCAAATTGCCTTCTCCCAGTTAGAGAATAGTGAAGTCCACTTCTCTGTTTTGCCAACCAAAAGATTCATTCATCTTTTTTCATTTTTTACCTAGTATTTTAGAAATGATTATCTTAATTGCTTTAAATTTCAATTCTTTGATAAATGAAACATTTTTCATGTGTTTATTTTCCCTTGTATTTTACCTTTGTCATCAAGTAGTTTGCCTTTTAAAGAATTTGTATATATGTATCTTTGCCTTCATGATTCATAAATGATTTTGATATAAGAATATCAAACCTTTGCCATTTATTTTGGTGCAATTCTTCCTACTTAGTTATTTGCCTTTAAACTTGATTATAGTGTTGCTAGATATGCAAAAAATTTATAATTTATGTAGAAAATCATTTTTTCTATGGTTTGGCCTGAGGTTTTGTTTTGAGAGGTTTTTGTCACCCTTGGATATCATAAAGTCAGCTAAGTCTTCTGTAGTTTTGTATTAATACCTTTAATTATTTAAGATCTATTTAATGTATTTTAAGTTAGAGAAACAAAGACATAGTCTGTAGGCCTAGTGTGAAACTAGAATATTTTTTGGGAAATAGTTAGTTTTCCTGGTAGCCTCCTTTACCTGTTCATTTCAAGTATCACATTTCTCTACTATTTATGTGGGAAATGAATTCCTGACAGTGTACAAAGCTGATGTGAACCCATGGGCACTGAGACATGCTCTCTGGTCACATGTGACCCTGCACACTCCTCTTTTCTAGGAAAGGAGTTAAAGAAAGTCAGGGACTCTAGGCAGATCTGATTTTTCCTTTGCCCCTGATACGCTGGGTGGCTGTGAGTGAGTGCTCTAGCTTTTCTCAGGTCCAGTCTCCTCATCTACAACAATGAGAGGCAGGACATGAGATATTTCTGTTACCTTTGGCTTGAAAGACCCAGGATGCTGGACCCAAGAGGCGAGAGGAGCCCAGGAGCGGGCTGGAGGCCTTGGGGAGCTGGTGGAGGGATCGTCAGCTCTGTGAGTCAGTGCTGTGGCGGGTACCCAAACCAGTAGCTGCAAAGGCTGGTGTGAACTTCTGTTCAGAGGATGCGTTGACGGAGGAGCCCGGGTGACTCACTGTGCGCGGCTTGCACCCACCTGAGTGTTTGCATGCTTCCCGCCATCGTTTTTCTATGAAAGGATCTCAAACACGGGGCCTGCTGGCCACATTCTGCCCCAAGAAGTTTTATTTGTTTTGCAGATAAAAAAGTTGGTCCACACGGTGGGGATTTTTTGGGTTCAATTTATCATGAAATTTGTTGCAAGGTTAAAAATCACAAAAATCTCGATTGTGTGTTTCTCTTTAAAACTGGCAAAGTTCAGTAGACACAGAGCCACGTTCCCCCACAGCCACAGTTGTTGATGAGTGAGACATGAGCTGTTCATTCCCTGCAGTCCCCACCACCCTCTACTGTTTCCCAGCACCGCGTATTCAGTTGCCAAGGATCATCATTATGGGCCGTTTCTCTTGCAGTAAAGGGGGAAGAAAAGATTTCCTATATCCTTCTTGTGCCCTATACAAAATGCAAACATAAAAAAGCTAGAAGACTATAGGTTCCAAGAAGAACAATAAAAGTAAACCAACTGAGGTGTAAAAGTGAAAAAGAATTTGGTATGTTTACTTTACAAACAAAGCATATCTGTGTAGAAGGAATTCAGTTAAAACATTGTCATTAATATAACACAAATACAGCAATAAGGTCTATGATCCATATAAGGAAGAGATGCATGGTGGAAAATTTAACAAACTATAAAAAAGAACACTTCCATATATTTTGTTTTTTAAAAAGAAAATTCAATAACTAATGTGACTGAGAAATACACTTATGATTGAAATGTAAAACAATTGCCCAGACATAAGGGCAAGTTCATAAAAGGGAGTCTTGTGAGTGCAGTAGAAATCGTGTGTTCTGAATAGAGAGAAGTATTTGGAAATGTGAACCTAACTAGAAACCTGCTGTTCCGTCTGTGTAGACACAGCTAAGAATGCATAGGACAAGTTATAAGAAAAAGTGAATCATTTGTAGCATTATTTTTTGTAATGATGAGAGTCCAGATGTAAATAATGCTCTCCAATAAGCCCTGTGTGTTCAGGTGTCAGTGAGAATATTTGTAAATACTTTTGAATCTGTCGTGCAAGGAAGACCAGATCTTCAAGCAGTGACTTGGTTTGAAATATTGAGATAAGGCTTAAAGTTTAATGCAGACTAGTCAAAATTTACATATGTGACCACGTTAGGCTCCTCCAATAATTGCTTCAAATGTTGGGTAACTAGCCAATCCAACAAGTTCAATACAAAATGACAATACTTTCTCCAACAAGGGACTTGGGTTGTCCATCGTGGCATGTCCTAGAAAATGCTTTGTGCTAAACAGAGAAAGCAGACATGTGCCATGGACATGTAGTTAACTCGGCAAATTTCACGCATGCCTGTGCTGAGCCCACTGGCCACTCGACATCAGGATTGTGGAATTAGATGTGCAATGTCCCTGTTGGCTGTGCTACGGGAAAGCAGGTGCTTTCGCCTTGGCATGGTGCCAAAAAGATGTTTTAAATTTAAAAGGTAACATTTTTCAGTGAAAAAATTTCTGTCCTTAACAGATAATTTGGGATCAAGACTCAGCTTTTTCATAAATTCAACAATCCATCTCACACTTGGAATCTTTTTCCTCTGCTCAGGCATTAGCCACTTGTTACACAATTTTGTGATTCAGTTCCTGTATTGCAAAATTGTCTTTGAAAAACTCACTTAGAATAATATGGCTCATGTATTAGTCCATTCTTGCACTGCTATAAAAAATACCTAAGACTGGGTAATTTACAAAGAAAAGAGGTTTAATTGGCTCACGATTCTGCAGGCTGCACAGGGAGAGTGGCTGGGGAGGCCTCAGGAAACTTATATCATGGAGGAAGGTGAAGAGGAAGCAGGTATGTCCTCACATGGCCAAACCAAGAGGAAGAAGCGAGAGGCGGGAGGTGCCACACACTTTTAAACAGCCAAATCTTACAAGCACCCAGTCACTATCATAAGAGCAGCACTGAGGGAAAAATCCGCCCCATGATCTAATCACCTCCCACCAGGCTCCACCTCCAACACTGGGAAGTACAATTGGACATGAGATTTGGGAACTCTGATGACCCATTTTCCTTTGCTCTACCTGAATGATAGCCTCCAAATTGTGGCATTGAAAGTTGAAGTCCAAAAAAGATTTTCTGATTTAAAACTTTATGAAAACAACCTGACATTGTTCAGTTTGCCTTCCTCTTTATACGGCAGTGGGAATGAAAAGCTATGAATAGAAGTGATTGAACTGTTCCTCCATTTTAACATAGAAAACTAAAGGATACCTTAGAGTCCTAAAGGATGGCCTTGAAATACCAGAGTTCTGCCATTACATTGGCAGAAAGCCATCCTGCAAAGGTTACCCCTGTGTTCGGAAGGCCCACACGTGTGATCAGCAATGCTGAACACAAGGTCTGTTGTTGATAATTCAGAATAGTGGATACCCTGCACCCCATTTCCCCTAATGGTAACGTCTCACCTTAGAATAGTACAATTGTTAAAATTAATGAGCCGCATTATTATTAATTAAAGTTCACACTTTATTCAGAGTTCCCCAGTCTTTGCCTAATGTCCTTTTTCTGTTCTAGGATCCTGCATGACATTGAGCTATCATGCTTCCATGAGATCTTCTGAGCTATGGCAACATCTCACCTTCCTTGTCTGTTTTCTTTTGATTCTTTTTGATGGCTTTGTCAGTTTTGAGGAGTATTGGTTAGGTATTTTGTAGAGTGTCCTTTAATTGGGGTTTGTCTGGAGTTTTTCTCTTGATTAGACTGGGATTATGTGTTTTTGGGAGGAAGGCCACAGACTTAAGGTGCCATCCTCATCACATCATGTCAAAGGTACATACTGTCAACATGACTTACTACTGCTGACCTTGATCGTCTGGCTGAGGTCGTGTTTGTCTACTGTAAAGTGACTCTTCCCCATCCCTGACCCCCCTGCCATTCTGTCCCCTTTGGAAAGAAGTCACTATCTGCAGCCAGCACTTTTAGAGTGGGGATGTAGGCTTCACCTTCTGGAGGATGAAGCATCTACTGAAATTGTTTGGAATTCTTTATATAGGAGATTTGCCTCTCCTGTCTCATTTATTTTGATTCAGTGATTTATTTGTGTCAGTATGGACACATGATATTTATTTTGCACTTTGGGTTATAATCCCATATTATGTGATTTTTGTTGCTCGGATTCTTCAGCTTGTACAGTTGGGAGCTCTTACAGTTGGCTCCTGTGCCTTTTGACAGAACCCCATTGTTCATTTGTTTTTACTTTTTAAAATTTTTTGAGCACTACCTTACTTTAGGCCACTACAAGATGTTCCAGGCTTATTTTGTGTATTTTTGCCAAATTGGCCTGACATGGTTAGGCTTTGTGTCCCCAACCAAATCTCATCTTGAATTTTAATCCCCAGGCGTTGAAGTAGAGACCTGGTGGGAGGGGATTGCATCATAGAGGTGGTTTCTCCCATGCTGTTCTTGTGATAGTGAATGAGCTCTCATGACAGCTGATGGTTTTATAAGGCAGTTTACCCTGCTCTTGCTAGCTGTCTCTTTCCTGCCGCCACGTGAAGAAGATCTTTGCTTCCCCTTTGCCTTCTGCCATGATTGTAAGTTTCCTGAGGCCTGCCCAGCCATGTGGAACTGCAAGTCAATTAAACCTCTTTCCTTTATAAACTACCCAGTCTTGGGTATTTCTTTATAGCAATGTGAGAATGGACTAATGCACAGCCATTTCTCTAAGGAGTTCTGGTTCCTTTTATTGGAAAGTGATATTAGAAACCAAGATCTGGGCACTAGGTGTATGGGTTACACTTTAAAATTATGATTTTAAATTTCTATCTAATGTTCTTTACCAGGTATCATAATTTATTTAAACATGTTGAGTCTTTTCCATTTTTTGCTATTATGAACTATGACCAATGCATCCCATAGGCAGGTGTAATGGAGAAATTTTAGAAGGATCGACTCCAATCCTTTGTTTCACAATAATAACCTCTAAAAGGTGTTGTTCAGTCACCTTCAGTCATAGAAACCAGTGTGTGAAAATGGACATTGGATCCTCCTGGCTATAAATGGGCTCTGCAGCTCCACCCATTGCTCTCCACCATAAGCAGAATGGCCACCCACTATGGGGTGGGAGGGAGATTACAAGCAGGCTCTCAGCTGTGCTCTGGTCTGCAGCTCCCGCAGGGCACCTCGTCACCTTTGTTTTTTCTCCCCTGATCATAGGATAGAGTCACATTTCCTCATTTGGGAGCAAGGAACTCATTAGTTATCCTCGAGGTCTCTGGGCACCCAGAGCTTGCCTCCCAACTTTGCCTCACATTCACTTTTAAATATTTTATTTAATGCTGTCCTGAAAGATCCAACTGTGTAGGCCTCCATTTATAGAGTCCCATGTTATGGTACCAGTGGCAGGATTGTGGGGTGGGAAAACCAACCAACCAACCAACCAACCAACCAACCAACCGGCAACCAAACAACCATCAGATTAAACTGAGTTTTGGTCTCTGACAGACTTGAGGTGGACGTTACAGTTTTATAGCTCTATCTTTCTTGGAACTGATCCATTCTTGCAGAGCTGGGAATTTTTAGTAATGCATATGAAAATAATTTATATGTTACAAACATGACTTTTTTTTCTGCTTTCCTTTTTTCTTTTACTCCCTGTCTTTTTTTTTTTTTTTTTTTTTTTTACTTTCTCTTCCTTAGCTTATCAGAGGACATAGAATGAGAAGCATGTTTCTCTAGGGAATTCTCAGACTTTGGAGATAAGATGTCTCAAAGGTCTGTTATGGCTGTGGAAGTCTGGCTCAAGTCTTTTCTGTCTAAATCCCTGCTAATAAAATCACCCCTAGCAAAGGCAACCCTGAGACCTGGTTATAAGGAATACCTGCAAGAATCATTAAAAAAAAGTTTCTAGAGATCTGGAGTTATTATACCAGACATTAAAATTTGACCCCATTTTTCCTTTTCTCTTTCTTTCTTTTTAGGTTGTGACATTAATGATGCTTATAGAAATAATAAGTTAATCTTTTAACCTTTTGGTTTTCTACAAGATATGGAGATTCACAGTTGTCTGCTAGGTGGGCTTATGATGATAAATAAGACAATAAATGCAGTGCCAACACATGGCATGGCATATAGATTTTTTCAACTTTTCTTTTTATAGGCAATAGTGTTTTTAAAAGATTTTTAAAATTTTAATTTCTTAGTTGACAAATAATACTTGTGCATATTCACGGGGGTACATCATGATTTTTAGGTGCATGTAATGTATAGTGATCAAATCAGGGTAATTAGCATATACATCATATCAAACATTTATAAGCTCATTGTGTTGATAACATTTGATATCCTCCTTCTAGCTATTTGAAACTGTATAATATTTTATTGTTAACTATAGCTATCCTACAGTGGTATAGACCACTAGAACTTATTCCTCCTGTCTAGCTTTAATTTTTTCATCCTTTAACAACTCTAAAAAAATGCAAGTTGGAAAGTTTGAAAAATCAACATCGAATAGACACCACTCTGCTTGCATGATTACAATCTGAAACATTCTTCGTTGATTTACATATTTGGTTGCTGGGTGTCTTTTGCTCTGCTTGCATTCCTAAAATAGCCTCATAAAATAGTAGGCCAAAGCAAGACTCCGTCTTACAGGATGCATTACATATTTTGAATCAGAGACCATGATGGCCAGAGCCCATGGGTCCAAGAATTAATCGCCATCCTAGCAACCTGGGATTCTGAGGGCTTGGGGATCTCAGACAGCTGTGCAGAAGCACTTGCCCCCCCATCAAGGGACACAGCAATGACTCTACTGAACTAGAAGCAGAGACTCCGCATGGCCATTGTGGGGTCCTAGAGGCCACTGGACAAACAGTCACAAAAGGAATGAGTCTATAGCTCGGGTGGTTGATCCTGGTGACCAAGGGGAAACTGGGTTTCTGCTGCGCAGCAGACGGAGGGAGGAGACTGTCAGGGGCAATGAGTGCCCCTGAGTACTTGCACGTAAAAACTAACCAACAGTAAAGTTTAGTAGAAAACTAGAGAAACTAAAGAAAAGGCAGGCTGATCAAGGACATAACCTCCTTGTAAAGAATTGGAGCAGCCACGGTCTGGCTTAGGGCAAGGGGAATATGGAAGAGCCAGAGAAGGAAGCCACACATCCTAACATGGCTCAATGCCAAATTACAGAAACAAGGATTATAGAAGCTCTGCAAATGTTCTATTTGTTTATGACAAGTATTTTTTTCTACATGATAACCATGTTCATCGTTTTTCCTATTTTTATTTCATGTACATGTTGTTAGAAATTCATTTTATAATATATGCAGAAAACATGAGTTAGACTACGATTGAATTTGAGAAGTGATTAATATAGCCCATCACCAATATAATGACCTTGAGAACTATGGGGCTCCTGATTTGAGGGAAAGGCTAAGAATTTCTTCATTTTTGTCCTCTTCAGTTTGGGGAAATGTCTTTCCTTCGATTTGAAGAAAAGAGGCCCATTTCTAGCAAGTTCTGCTGTTGCAACACCACAGCACTTGCAAAAATTCCCTGCCACCCACTGAGCTATGGCTGTGCCCTCTCGGCATGTCTGAATCTTTTCAGCCCTGGAAGCGAGGGCCCTTCCACGAGCATCCATCTCAGCTCCAGGGACGGAGAGTGGCGGCTCCCTCTATCTGCTGCTTTGTATTCTTTAGAGTTCACTTCTCACTAGCCAATCCCTTGTTACTCCAGTTCTACATTTTACTTATTAATTCTTTATACTCAACTTTCCCCGTTTAAGTTACTGTGTGGTTTCTACTTCCTGCTTGAACTGCAACTGATACAGACCATAATCATCTGAGGAGAAAAACATACATACAAGCTTAAAAATTATAAAAATTAACACTGCCTTGAATAAACAACACTACTCACAATATTGCAAGGTGAAACACAATCTTCATTGCTTTATACCCTTGATTCCTGGGTGTATTTTGTTCTGCTGCTAATCCTAAAAGAGCTTCATAAGATATTACTTAAAGGCAGTTAGGGTGCCCCATTCTCCCCGGTGTTGATCAGCTTAATGCATAAAATACCTCTGTTTCAGGAAAACGTAGTCAACCAGATCCCTGAAATGCTTGCCAGCCTAAGCCGGCTCAAGCTGTAAACCATCTGGGCCTCAGGACAGTTTAAAATGGGGATGTGGAGGGTGGAATGTTTCTGAATCGAATGCGTGTGTGTTTGTGAATTCCTTATGTCTCATTTTCTGACCTCAAAGTGTAATCTTAAATGAAAAAAACAAAAAACAAAAAAACCCCAGAACTTCAAAAGAAAATTGCTTTTTAATTTCTTGGTGGAATGGCAGGAAGAGCAGAGTCCGCACAGCTGTACCGGATGCAGGATCGGAAAATCACTTCTCTTCTTGATATCAGACTGGTCAGCACAGCAGCCAGCCCTGCCAAGGTTCAGGTCTTCCCGCTCTGGGGCAGCCAGACCGGGTATAGCTGTCTGATTTTGATTTCTGAGGGTTGTTTTTTTTCCTCAGTAAGCCTGGCTTCACTTTCCTCCATCTGTTGAATAAAATATTATCTGGATTACTTAAAAAAATTTTTTTAAGGTAGCTGCATTTCTTGTTGAAGAAACAGATTTTGAATTTATGTGCCTGAATCACCCTTGAGACCTTTCCACACCCTCGTGATCAGCTGAAAGCCCCTTCTACATCTGCGCATGTGGATCTGGGGCCAGAAAGCACTTAGATGTGTGCATCCTGTGTCTGTTCAGGAGCTTGTGTACCTGGGGAACTCACTGAGAGTAAAGAGCTGTCACCCTCACAGGTGATGTCCACGAAGCTGCAAATCCATGTGCTTTTCTGTAGCATTGTCATTCTTCCAAAGGAGCCTGGAATTTGCCTGGAAAAAAAGAGGGTGTGGTGTGCAAGGAGGAAAATATTATTTTCACTGGTGACTAACTCACCGTGTGATCTTGGGACGCTGCCTCCCTGCTCTGGGCCCAGCTTCCACAACAGTGAAGGGCTGGAGTTCCTTCCAGCTAAAGAATGGTACTGCCTGAAGCTTCCTCCTACATTTCTCTTGAAGAACCCACTCTAGAGGGGCTGTGGTAGCAGCAAGCTGTGGATTTCCCCTGCCTAGTGTATGCATAGCTACTCAGTGTATAAAAACACTGCCTTCTATCTGGCCGTTAGAATAACGATAACCACGTTTTTCAAAGGGTGATCCACAGAATGCAAGTCCCACAAAACAGGCTGAAAAAAATGGAGGGTTTTGTGATCAAGGCTTGGGAGGTGAAGCTGGCAGGAGGTACCAGCCGGTCTGGGAAAGGAGGGCAGTTGGCTGCTCAGAAGTGAATCTAGCCTGGGCTGGGAGGGAGACGGTGGAAGTGGGTCACTGCCATCCCCACGTGTCCACTGGGCATTCAGAGTGTTTGCCAGAAGACCCTCCTGTGCCTCATTCCTCAGCCTCTAAGTGGACATCTTGGAAGGGCACCAGCCTTGTAAGGAGATGGCAAGACCAAACCCCTGGGGAACCCCTCACAATCTGGCCTGATCCTGCCATTTTCCAAAAAAGAAACAGGTTACACAAGGTTGTTGGTGGAGTTGTGTCCTGATTCCTGGTCACGCGGGGCAAGGCTGCCTCTCCAATCCCTCACCTTAGTCTTACTCCCACTTACTCTGCCTCTGGTCACAGCTTCTTGCAAGCTCTAGATCCAAACAAATGGGGAAAACCAAAGGTGCTTGGAGACGTGTGGTCCAGTGGGAATGGTTTGGTTCATGTCAGCAAAGCACCTGTCACATGGAGGCTCCATGCCTAGGCTTTGGGCTTGTTAGCTGAGTGACCAGGGGCCATCACTTGCCTTCTCCAATCTTAGCCTTGTCTTTGTAAAATGGTGATCATACTCCCTTTCTCGTCTTATGAAGATTAATGAAGACAGTGCACATGGGACTGAATGAATGACCTTAAAAAGCTGTTTATAACTAACAATAACACTTGAACGTTGATTGATAGACTTAACTACTGTGTACGGAACACTCACTTAAGACAAGAGGGACAGAGCAGTGCACAAGGAGGATGGAAAACTCACCCACAAAATTCTCACATCCTAGTGACACAAGCTACAAAATGAAGATATTCAAGATCCATGAACGATGGGCATGATTTCTAAAGGTTTTTCAGAGGCTACAAACTGGCTCTAGAACTAAAATTGAGGATCACAGAATGCTGGAACCCTCACTATCCATTTGTGACTGTATGGGCGTCTTTCCTAGTGGGTTACATGCTTACCTCTTAAAATTCACAAGGATGGGTAGAGAGGTTTTTTCAGATGGAAAAACATTCTGAACTCCTTTGTGTGCAGTCTACTCAGTATTATATTTTATCATACAAGAACCTGCTGGGTTTTTTGTTTGGACATTTAGAAACATAAACCGACATTTAAGGCCAATTTAGATTTAAACTAAATCTAAGAATTTTATTCTTATACTTTCTGGTGCTCCTGGTCTAATGAATAGTTTTGGATGTGGGAGGAAAAGACATCCCTGCATTGTTAACAAAAGAGACACAACAGACAAATACCAAAGTGACTCACCAGCACACCGCAAATGTGAGTGGCCAGCTTCCCCCACTCCATCTGGGATTGTCAGGGGCTTTGACAACATTCAGCACTTTATGATAACTTCATATATGGGCTAATCTTTCCATTAAAAAAATGGACTCAAGAATGCAATTGGTTTGAAATTTCTTTGGGAGAAAAAAGCCTACACATCTTGCTTGGTGTTTGGACCTTAGAACTAAGAGCTATTTTCTGGCCTTAGTGATTCCTGGGAATCTTTTTGTAAAAATGACATGGCAACCTCTGCTTAAACACATAACATTTATACATTATTCATCCTGAACCAAGTCATGGCTGACTTGCTTTAAAAAAATAATAAGTGTAATGGTGGATACCTTGGAAACAAATAAACAAGATATCTATCCATTAAAAAAAAACTAAATTAGGATAACAGAATAAATTGTTTCCAGTACATTTAGTTCTTGAGAAGCAGAGTACTAGTACTTGACATTTGATTGTAACAATCAATGAGCTGTTGAAATGACTATTTAAGACAGTATATTCCCAAAGATTACCTTTCATTCAAGGGAGGCTATTTTTGGTGTGAGTTTCCAGTGTAGTAGGCTCAAGGATTGTTTACTCTCTTCTAGTGGTTTGTGCCCAGTGAGAACTTCGGTGATGTCTGTGGGTTTCATTTCCTAGAAGGAACACCCCTAAGGAATTCTGCCTAGTCCCACGTAGATTTTTTTTTTCTTGAACTATTTAATCATCCCAGTCAATTTGTAATTTGGGGAAAAATAAAGGAATTTGAGCTATTATTCAGAATTGTGTTGCTTAATTTTTGGTTTGCTGGTAATTTAAATGGTGATTTAGATAAACAGAATTCCATGATGAAACTTATCCAGAGGACAGGGAAATAATGATTATAGCTAACATCTGTGGATCACTTAACAAGTAGCAAGCTTGTTCTGTACTTCCCCACTAAATTCTCATGACAACCCTATGACTTGGAGACCCAACTTTTCTCTGGTTACAGTGCCCTTAGGATCTCAGGAAATTTTCCCTGTGGCCCCAGGTCAAAAGAAATACCAGTTTTCAGTAGTTAGGTCCAACCAACCCAAGAGTTGCAGTATTGCAATAGACATCATGATTATGTCAAAGCTTCATGCAGTATCTGATAGACATCTCCATGTTTCCTCCTGGAGATTTAAAATGTGCATTGGTGCCCTTGTGAGTTTGTTGTGGCATCTTGGGGTGCCTTGGCACACAGCTTGGGAACCATGGCCTCATGAGGTAAGTCTTATCAATATCCCAGTTTGACATATGGGAAAACTGAGTATAAGAAGGTCTAGGTACTCAGTCAAGATTACCCAGCTGGCAAGAAGGGATGGAGCAGGGAGTCAAACCTCCGGTGGGTGATTCCAGAATGCACCCTTCAGCCTCTGTGCTCCTCACCCCCAAGCCTGTTACTATGGGGAGAATTTCAGGATTCCAAAGCCTGAATGGCATAAGTGGAAAGAAGAATTTGGGATGCATATCAAGGGAGTCTTGCAAAAAGGTGATCTAGAACTAATTCATTCATTTTTCTTTCCCTTTTTTCCACTCATTTATTCATTTCATTCATTCAAAAAGCACATGTTGCCAGGCACTGAGCCATGCCCCATGGAGCTCAGTCTACTGGGGAAGATGGAGAGAGATGACTGATCAGAGCTGGGATGGAGTGTTCACCAGGTGCGTAGAACACAAAGCAGGCTCTGTCTTGGGGCAGGGGGCAGAGGGGCATGTAGGTTTATGAGCAGCAAGGACAGAACCAGTCATACCAAGCAAAGCCAGAAGAGAACAGACCATCTGCCTGGAAAAATGTGACACAGCCCTGCCAAGGCTGTACTTGTATTTCACGACCAAACTACCCGTGCCCTGCTGATTCATTCACATTGTCTCACCTTCTCAGACGGCTACAATTACACACTCATTAAATTCAAACTTGCATGATATGCATAGTCTGCAAGAGATACAATTCCTTTAATACGATGGTGATGGAATTCATACTTGACTCCATATGATATTTAAAAATAGAAATTCAATGCCTTAGCAACTTTTACTTATGTTTATGTGTGTGTATTTTTCCCTTTTAAAACCAGTAAGTCATGTACAGCTCCACCCTTTGATCAAATAATGCATGACTTTTCCTTGTTGCCAGAATCACATTTTCCTCCTCCAAGGCTATATTTCACAAATGCAGCATTCAGCTGGCATTCATTGAGCACCTACTTGCAAGGTGACTCAGAAACTCATTTCTCCACTGAAGTCTCAGTCTGGTGAAGGAGAACGAAAAGGACCTACAGATTCAGGGCACCTGCTAGAGGGTATGGATTTGAGCAGGGTCTTTAGGAATAAATTAGGGCAGGAAGCAGAAGAGGGAGCAGGATCCAGCCAGGAGGAGCACCGTGTGCAAGTTCTAGGGCCTGAGGTAGCACAATCCTCAAGCAAACCATAGCCACCAGGTCCTGCAGCAGCAAGCAGCTGGGGATGGCTGGAATGGAGGAGCCAGCTAGGGAGTGTTTGGAGATGAGGCTGAGGAAGGCAGGGATGCAATTATCAGGAGCTGGGTTCCTTTGGTGGGAAATTGGCATTTTTTGAAGCCACTGAAGGATTTCAGCAAATGAGGGTGGTAATCTTGGTGACCTAGTCCCTCAAATGAGCCAGATATGCAAAGTCAGACCTGAGTATAAATTGTACCATTTAAACTAATTTTTTATACCCCTTGCTATTCTCCGTTTTCGATAAACAAATATTGACTAGGCTTTGATTGTATATCAGGTGCCATGTGGGAACCATCTCTGAGGACAGTCTTCTTTCTGATCAGCAAGGCTCGAGGGTCGCTAATGATAATCAAAAGAGTCCCACTTGTCCTGCTCTCCCTCTGCATCCACTTCTACCACACTGATAAGTAGAAAGAAAGAAAAGTCAACAACCTCAGGATGCTGGCGACGTCATGCAACCCCTTGATGAGTTTTTCCAAGCTGAAGACAGTGAGTTCTGTTTGCCTCAGTTGACAGGAATGGAGCCATCATCTCACATAACTACATGTCCCTGTCCTTTGGCTTAAAAGAAAAGTTAGTCTGTTGTGTGTATTTTCCAACATTTAACAGGGCATAAGAACGTTTTCCTATTTCCTAAGAAAGGCCCAGAGACTATCTCTTCATGCTGCCAGACTCGGGTGGATATGCACTTCTGCTCTCTGACACAGTGCTGACCTGCCCTTTTTCCTTGATATTATCCCATTCAAAGTCCAGGTGAGATAACTGTGAGGTAACTGTGTGTGTGTGTGTATGTGTGTGTGTTTGTGTGCATTAGAGAGTCTGTGTTAGAGAGAAAAAACATTCTAGGGATATTTATTTCCTACTTTGGGTATACACCACACTGCTTCATTTCTTTGCTCTAATTGCTCTGGTTCTGGGCATTGGGAATTCTTTAGGTTGACTCCTGTGCTCTTTTGACATATTCCCATCAATATGATTCTTCCTTATTTTTGAGCATTTTCTTATTTCTGGCACTACAAGATGCTCCAGGCTTGTCTTGTATAATTTCTTGCCAGTCCTGGAATCATCCATTTCTCTAAGGAGTCTTAGTACCTTTCACTAGAGTACCTTTCACTTAGTATTCTACACTAAGATCTGAGTACTAGGCGTGCTGATTGCTACCCTGGGTGTCATTTCTTTTAGGTCCTCTCAGCTGACACAGCAAGGACATATATGCGTGCATGCTAATCTATGTAAGTATACCTATCAATAAATAGTTCCATATGTAAATATCTATACTAAGATAACATGTGTTCATATTGATGTCTCCAACTCTAGTCTGTTACCACGGGCATCACTGTTGTCTCTCTTCCTTGCTTAACTGTGCATTCCCACTCCAACAGTGAGATATCTTGTTCCTGCCATTTGCCATCCATTTACTTAATTGTTCAGTTTTAATATACATGTATAGCAGTATTAGAATTGTTAACCTGTGTTTCTTGGGAAACAACTTTATCAACTAGAGCAGTGGTCCCCAACCTTTTTGGCACCTGGGACCAGTTTCATGCAAGATAACTTTTCCACGAACCAGGGGAGAGGGGATCATTTCAGGATGATTCAAGTGCATCACATGTATTTTTATTATTGTTACAGTGTAATATGTAATGAAATAATTATACAACACACCATAATGTGGAATTAATGGAAGGCCTGAGCTTGTTTTCCTGCAACTAACGGTCCCATCTTGGGGAGAAAGTGACAGATAATCAGGCATTAGATTCTCATAGAGTGCACAACCTAGAACCCTTGCATGGACAGTTCGTGGTAGGGTTCCTGTTTCTATAAGAATCTAATGCACTGCTGATCTGACTGGAGGCAGAGCTTAGGCGGAAATGTGTGCAATGGAGAGCAGCTGTAAATACAGATGAAACTTCACTTGCTCACCTGCTGCTCACCTTCTGCTGTGAACCCCGGTTCCTAACAGGCCATGGACCATTACTGGTCCAGGGCCTGGGGTCTGGGGACCCTTGAAGTAGAGTACAGTCTTATATAAGGTTCCTTTTACCTTTAGTCTTATGTACTCTACTCATTTCCAAAGTTACTTAGGTCAGCACCTTTTGACCTACCACCTTCAGTGAGGTTGTTTCATACATTAGCAATGCATTTAGATTTTTTTGGTCTGTCGGCATTTCTTTCTGAGATTTCTCAACCTCCTAAATACTTTTTAAAAATTTATGTACATTAAAACTCACTTTTTATGCTGTAAAATTTATGGATTTTTACAAATGCATCATACCGTAAAACCACCACTACTGTATTATACAAAATAGTATTACTGCCCTAAACATTCCCTGTGCTTCACTTATTCATTCTTTCCTCCTCCTCCTTCTCCTCCCTTGGTAATTACTGATCATTTTACTGTGTTGATAGTTTTGCCTTTTCTATAATGTCCATCATGATGGTTAATGTCATGTGTCAACTTAACTGGACCACAGGGTTCCCAGACATTTAGTCCAACATTATTCTGGGTGTGTCTGTGAGGGTGTTTCAGGATGAGATTATCTTCTTTTTTATTTTTTGGGTGGTGGGGGAATGGAGTCTCACTCTGTCACCCAGGCTGGAGTGCAGTAGTGCAATCTCAGCTCACTGCCACCTCTGCTGCCAGGGTTCAAGTGATTCTCCTGCCTCAGCCTCCCAAGTAGCTGGGATTACAGGCGCCTGCCACTGTAGCTGGTTAATTTTTGTAGTTTTAGTAGAGACGGAGTTTGACCATCTTGGCTAGGCCGGTCTTGAACTCCTGACGTCATGATCCACCTGCCTCAGCCTCCCAAAGTGCTGGGATTACAAGCGTGAGCCACCACACCCAGTCGAGATTATCTTTTGAATCTCTAGACAGTAAAGCAGATTGCCCTCCCTATTGTGGGCCTCATCCAATCAATGAATCCTAAGTAGAACAACAGGATGTGTGAGAAAAAGACTCCTTCTGCCTGACTGTTGAGCTGAGACATCAGTCTTCTCAGGTCTTTGGACTAGGATTGGAACTACACCACTGGCTCTCCTGGGTCTCCAGTTTACCTAATGCAGATCTTGGGACTCCTCAGCCTCCATAATCACATGACTCAGTTCCTTACAACAAATCTAATCTAATCTAATGTCTACATACCCATGCATCCTGGATAATACAGATATTTGTCCTGAGAGTGATTCTAGAGAAACAGAATTTTAAGGATGAGTTTTCTAAAGCTGTAAATAACTTTTTTTTTACAGTAGTAAAGAGAACATTGACTGTCCATGGTAAGATCTGGAAATATGGATACACAAAATATCACTATAGCATACTCCTAATCAACTACTTATATAAAGCAAGGATACTGATGACCAAGAATATGATACACTGGAAACTTTTTGGCAAACTAACAAAAATAATGAGATTAGCTGGTTGCTTCTAATGTCATTGGACAAGGTGGGAAAAGAAAGAGATCAGATCAGGTATTTGAATTCCCAGAAAAATGATCTAAAAGCTTCTGTGTGTGCCCTAAAGGAGACCCTTATCTCCTGTAGTTGCAGGGCCGATATTGCTGAAAATTAAACCTAGAACCTCATATTGTGGTGGGCTGAATTATTTAATACAATGCAAGTTGAACTCCCAGTCTTGTAGATGTCCACTGTTAAAGCAAAGGTATTGATTGGGAAGGAATAGGGCTCTGAAAGTTGGAATGGGGATGTGTAGGAGGACCCTGATAAGGCTGGAGACATTGACATTGAGCCTCTAAGTTCAGATGAGTTTTTTTTTTGCCCGTGAAGGAGACCCCCCCCACCTAGTGGGAGCAGCTTTTCCACTCCCATCTGAGAGGCTTAACACTGCTTTGCCTGAGGAAACTTTAATGACCTCCCCTGAGGCAATTGCCATACAAGACTGAGTCCCCTCAGGAACCACCCCCACCACCCCTCTTTGCTCCTAGACTTCTAACTAGACTCAAGTTCCAGCAAGCCCCTGAAGGTGGGAACAAAGTATGCACACTTTGTAGCATAGGCATGCTACATTAAAATCAAAACAAAACAAAACAACAACAACAACAAAACCCTTGAATTTTCTAATTTATACAGACAGAAATCCAAAAAAATATGTACAGGAAAGAATATTAGTAGGAAGAATCAATATTGTGAAAATGGCCATACTGCCCAAGGTAATTTATAGATTCAGTGCCATCCCCATCAAGCTACCAATGACTTTCTTCACAGAATTGGAAAAAACTACTTTAAAGTTCATATGGAACCAAAAAAGAGCCTGCATCACCAAGTCAATCCTAAGCCAAAAGAACAAAGCTGGAGGCATCACGCTACCTGACTTCAAACTATACTACAAGGCTACAGTAACCAAAACAGCATGGTACTGGTACCAAAACAGAGATATAGATCAATGGAACAGAACAGAGCCCTCAGAAATAACGCCACATATCTACAACTATCTGATCTTTGACAAACCTGAGAAAAACAAGAAATGGGGAAAGGATTCCCTATTTAATAAATGGTGCTGGGAAAACTGGCTAGCCATATGTAGAAAGCTGAAACTGGATTCCTTCCTTACACCTTATACAAAAATCAATTCAAGATGGATTAAAGACTTAAACATTAGACTTAAAACCATAAAAACCCTAGAAGAAAACCTAGGCATTACCATTCAGGACATAGGCATGGGCAAGGACTTCATGTCTAAAACACCAAAAGCAATGGCAACAAAAGACAAAATTGACAAATGGGATCTAATTAAACTAAAGAGCTTCTGCACAGCAAAAGAAACTACCATCAGAGTGAACAGGCAACCTACAAAATGGGAGAAAATTTTCGCAACCTACTCATCTGACAAAGGGCTAATATCTAGAATCTACAATGAACTCAAACAAATTTACAAGAAATAAACAAACAACCCCATCAAAAAGTGGGTGAAGGACATGAACAGACACTTCTCAAAAGAAGACATTTATGCAGCCAAAAAACACATGAAAAAATGCTCACCATCACTGGCTATCAGAGAAATGCAAATCAAAACCACAATGAGATACCATCTCACACCAGTTAGAATGGCAATCATTAAAAAGTCAGGAAACAACAGGTGCTGGAGAGGATGTGAGAAATAGGAACACTTTTACACTGTTGGTGGGACTGTAAACTAGTTCAACCATTGTGGAAGTCAGTGTGGCGATTCCTCAGCGATCTAGAACTAGAAATACCATTTGACCCAGCCATCCCATTACTGGGTATATACCCAAAGGACTATAAATCATGCTGCTATAAAGACACATGCACGCGTATGTTTTTTGCAGCACTATTCACAATAGCAAAGACTTGGAGCCAACCCAAATGTCCAACAATGATAGACTGGATTAAGAAAATGTGGCACATATACACCATGGAATACTATGCAGCCATAAAAAATGATGAGTTCATGTCCTTTGTAGGGACATGGATGAAATTGGAAATCATCACTCTCAGTAAACTATTGTAAGAACAAAAAAACAAACACTGTATATTCTCACTCATGGTTGGGAATTGAACAATGAGAACACATGGACACAGGAAGGGGAACATCACACTCTGGGGACTGTTGTGGGGTGGGGGGAGGGGGAGGGATAGCTTTAGGAGATATACCTAATGCTAAATGATGAATTAATGGGTGCAGCACACCAGCATGGCACATGTATACATATGTAACTAACCTGCACATTGTGCACATGTACCCTAAAACTTAAAGTATAATAATAATAAAAGAAAATTAAAAAAAAAGAGTGTGAGATAATGGTTGAAGGAACTTAAGGTTTGACCAGGCCTAATATATTGATATGGGCTCACTACACAGAGATTCTGCATTTAATGTTGGAGCTATGGGAGCTAGAGTTCTAATAGTTTGCTTTCAGCAGGCAAGGCTAGCAATATACCTTTACTGTTTTATCTCAGGGGTCTATCAACTCTTTAGCCCTATGTCATAGTTCACAGGGATCCTGATTGTCTTTCCCTTCCACAAGATGAGTCACACTGGTCCATTACATTGATGACATTATGCTGATTGGACCTAGTGAGAGAGAAGCACCAATGACTCTATGACATTTGTGTGTCAGAGGTTGGGAAATGCATCTGACAAAAGTTCAGGGGCCTTCTACCTCAGCGAAATTTCTAGGAGTTCAGTGGTGTGGAACATGTGACAATATCTCCTCTAAAGTGAAAGACAAGTTGTTGCATCTGGCCCCTCTTACAACCAAGAAAGAGACACAACACCTGGTAGGCCATTTTGGATTTTGGAGGTAATGTAGTCCTCATTTGGGTGGGTTACGGCAGCCCATTTACCAAGTCACTGAAAAAGGCCCAGAACAAGAGAAAGCTCTGCAAAAAGTCCAGGCTGCCATGCAAGTTGCTGTGCCATTTGGGCCTTATGATCCAGCAGATCCAATGCTGCTTGAAGTGTCAGTGGCAGATAGGGATGCTGTGTGGAGCCTTTGGCAACCTCTAGAGGTGAATCACAGCACAGGACCTTAGGATTTAGAGCAAAACCTTGCCATCCTCCATGGATAACTCTTCTCCTTTTGAGAAATAGTTCTTTCCCTGCTACTGGGCCTTTGTAGAGATTAAATGCTTAACCACCGGCCACCAAGTTACCCTAAGACCTGAGCTGCCCATCATGAATTGAGTGTTATCTGAGCCACCAAGCCATAAAATTGAATGTTCACAGAATCAGTCATCAAATGGAAGTGTTATACACAACACCAGACCTGAGAAGCCTCTGAAGGCATAAGTAAGTTGCATGAAGAAGTGGTCCAAATGCTCATAGTCCCTCTCTTATTTCACCATCTTCTGTTTCCTAGCCAACACCTATAGCCTCATGGGGAATTTTCTACACTCAGTTGATAGAGGAAGAGAAGACTACAGCCTGGTTTACAGACGGTTCTTCATCTGAAAGCCCCTTTCTGGAGAACTCTTAAAGAACAATGGTGAAGGGCAGTCCTCCCAGTGGGCAGAACTATGAGCACTGGACTGGTCTATCACTTTGCTTGGAAGGAGAAGTGGCCAGATGTGCAATTATATATCAATTAATGGGCTACAGCCAATTGTTTGGCTGTATGGTTAAGGACTTAGGAAGAAGATGATTGAAAAATTGAGGAAAAGAAAATTTGGGAACAGTGGTATGGATAGAACTCTCTGAATTGACAAGGAAGATATTTGTGTTTTATATGAACACTCACCATAGGGTAACCTCAGCAGGGGGGAATTTTAATAATCAAATGGGTATGATAACCCATTCTGTGGATGCCAGTCAGCCTCTTTCCCCAACCACTCTTGTCATCACCCAATGGGCTCATGAACAAACTGGCCATGGTGGCAGGGATGGAGGGGATGCATGGGCTTGGTGACATGGACTTCCGCTCACCAAGACTGACCTTGCTATGGCCACTGCTGAGTGCCCAACCTTCCAGCAGTAAGGACCAATACTGAGTTCCTTATATAGCACCATCCTTCAGGATGATCAGCAGCTACCTGGTGGCAGGTTGCTTACATTCCATCATGTAAGGGACAGAATTTTGCTCTTACTGGAATAGATAATTACTATGGATATGGATTTGTTTTTCCTGCACGCAGTGCTTCTGCCAAAACTACCATCTGTGTTCTTACACAATGCCTTACCCACAATGATGATATTCCACACAGCATTGCTTTTGATTAGGAAATTCACTTTACAGCAAATGAAGTGCAGAAATGGGACCATGCTTATGAAATTCACTGGTCTTACAATGTTCCCCCCCACCCTGAAGAAGCTGGCTTGATATAGTGATAGAATGGCATTTTGAAGACTCAATTACAACACCAGCTAGGCGGCAACATGTCATGGGGCTGGGGGAAGGTTCCTCAGAAGGCTTTATATGCTCTGAATTCATGGCCAATATATGGTGCTATTTCTTCCACAGCTGGAATTCATGGGTCCAAGAATCAAACAGTGGAAATGGGAGTGGTGGCACTCACTATTATCCCTCACAACTCACCAGCAAAATTTTTCCTTCTTGTTCTCATGACCTTATTCTTTGCTAGCCCAGAGATCTTAGCTCCAAAAGGAGTATGCTTCCACCAGGAGTCATAACAATGAATCCACCGAACTGGAAGTTAAGAGAGCTGCCCCACCACTTTGGGCTTCTGGTGTCTCTGAATCAGCAGGCAAAGAAGGGAGATACTGTGCTGGCTGGGGTAATTGATCTTGAATGCTAAGGGGAAATCAGACTCCTCTACTACAGAGGTTAAGGAAGAGCATGTCTGGAATACAGGAGATCTGTTAGGACATCTCATAGTATTACCATGCCCCAAGATTAGGATCAATGGAAAATGACAACAACCCAATCTAGGCAGGTCTACTAATGGCCCAGACCCTTCAGAAAAGAACGTTTATATTATCCCGCCAGGCAAAGAACCAAAACCAGCTGAGGTGCTTGCTGAAAGCAAAGGGAATACAGAACAGTTAGTAGAAGAAGGTGTTTACAAAAGCCAGCTGTGACTATATGACCAGTTACAGGAACAAAGACTGAAATTGTCATGAGTATTTCCTTATTTTATTATAAATATGTTTCTCTGTATGTGTATATAACAAATAGCTTGGTTTTCTTTTTCTTTCTTATTCTGTTATCATGTAACATAAATTGTATTGACTTTATATCATAGTATTTAAGCATTATTAATTATGCATCATATGAGATATCAAGGAGAAAAGTAAACATCACTCAAGGACTTAACCTCCTCTTCTGGGGAAGAGGTTAGTGTGATTTTAGTTGAATGCAGGATAATTGTACTATGTCAGGCAGAATTATGACCTTGTTATTGTCTTTATTTGGAGATTAAGTACGATTTAGGAAGATGTGTATGGGTGTCAAGTTGACAACAGTGGACCTGTGATGGTTCATTTTATGTGTCAACTTGACTGGATCACTGGGTGCCCAGACATTTGGACAAACGTTATTTTGTTGTATCTGTGAGGGTGTTTCCAGATGAGAATAAAATTTGAATTGATAGACTGAGTAATACATAATGCTTCCCTAATGTGTGTACTCCTTATCCTATCAAGTGAAGACTTGAATAAGAACAAAAAGGTACGGAAAGAGGTAACTCCTGCCTGACTTCTGGACTGGTATATCAAATTTGTCTTTTCAGCTCAAAATGAAACCTCAGCTTTTTTTGTTTTCAGATCTTGCCAGCTCTTGGACTGGAACTTACACCATCAATTCTCCTGTTTCTCTAGTTTGTCAACTGCAAATCTTGGCACTTAGCATCCACGATTGCATGAGCCAATTCATTATAATAAATATCTGTCTCTCTTGGTCTGTCTTTGTCTCTCTCTCTCTCTCTTTCTCATACATGTACATTTACACACACACACACATATCCATACATATCCATCCATCCTGTTTATTCTGTTTCTCTGGAGAACCCTGACTGATACAGCCATATAATTGGAATAATACAGTATGTATTACTTTCAGGCTGGCTTCTTTTAATTAGCAATATGCATTTAACTTTCCTCCATGTTTTTTCATGGCTTAACAGCTTGATTCTTTTTACCATTGAATAATATTTTATGTGTGCCTGCACAATGTTTGTTTATAGATGCACCATTTTGAGTAATCAGAATTCTTTGGGATGTTCTATGTAGGCCACCACATCATCTGTGAATAAACTAGAAAACTAAAGATGTTTTTATACCTTCCTTTTTGACCAGTTGCATTTTGTTTCTTTTACCTGTCATATTACACTGGCTAGAACCTCTAGAATGATGTTGATTCCAGAGGGGAAGACTTGATAGAAAATTATAGGATATAACTGTGGCCATGATGTAGGCTCTTTCCCATGTTATGACACCTCCTTTTCAATTAAAGACCTTCAGTTTTAGAACTGGTGAGAAGTGAGGACTTCCCATTAGATAACTCAGTCATATTTTTCTCACTGGCTGCAGAATTTTTCTAGTTACAGGTACCATCTATTTTATCCACAGGAAACACTTGATAACTTAGCCATGGCTGTTAATTCTCTGCTGTACAAAACATATCACCACCCTGATCCTACAGCCTATTAGGGTAATTATTATGGTAACTGCTGCCCTTGATCTTGAGGGTTTAGTGTTGCTATCTGGCCTCAGTCACACTGGGATTCTCTCATTCCTATGGAAATCAGGTCAGGGAGTCTATTAAGTCAATGGAAGGCTCACCTTTCATCCTCTCTTGCAGAGGATGCTGTGACAGAGGCTTCAAGGATGCTGATGCTCAATTCCTTGTTGAGTGTCTTTTGAGTCCAAAAGGAAATAGTCAATATGGGTGGCTTCTACATAACAACACCTACTTCTTTACCCCCATCTCTCTAAGCATTTGGATCCCTTCACACTAAGCTGCAGAAGTTCTGACATTCTGACCTCATTGAATGTAGGTCACCATTAAAACCAAGTTTCAGTCAATGAACAAAGCCAACTAGTAAAGCCATTCCAGCTGTGAAAGCTAGAACATTAAATTCTGAATCTTGTAAAAGTGTTCCCATATTGGCAAGTTCAGCTTGATCCAGTCATATTTCATCCTTGTTCTGATACCCTTTAAATCTTCATGTTCCTTGGGGTTCTGCCAATACAAATTATTGCAATGATTTTGGTGCCCAAGTCATTTTCTTCTACTGGAGGCCTTGTAATTGTCCCTGGGCTATGCTGGTTATGAGTCATAGGCCTGAAGGCAATGAGAGGTAATGAGGATGGGCCCTGAGGAGCGTGGGTGTTTCAACAACCTCCACAAGTGACATGATCACAGATTCTTTAAATAAGGGAAGGATAACCTTCTCAGACACGAGGAAAGGTCTCATTCTCGTGGGAAGGAAAACTCAAGGGCATTTGGGAGTTCAAGGTCCCATATTAATCTAAGTCTATCTAGCAGCCCCATTCCAAGTCTCCATGCCCAACTTCTTTCAAATATTAGTAAGTGCCTTTTCCTTAATACAGGAAACTTACCACTTCTGTGCTACCAGCTTGGTTGTAATTCTGCAACTGGATTAGATTTTACAACTAAATTTCAGCTCTGTCTGTCATATGGACACATAAGAATAAGTACTTCTCTTAAGTCTACCAGAGAATACTGACTCTCTGTACCTGCTTGAGCTGAGAGTTGAAAGCCCTGAGCATATCATTTTCTTCTTCAAAGATCTGTAGCTCAGTGAGAAGCACCATTCTATCTCCTCATTGAAGGCTGCAAGTACCTGGATAACCTAGAGCCTCTAGGTTTCTAGAATCGGAAATATGTCCTCTGGCATTTCAGGGAGTTAGTAATCCATGCCTTACACCCAACTACAGCAGGCATCAGGGCGACCACTTAAATGGAGAGGCAACCTCATTATCCCCTCAGAATATTGTCAAGGCAATGCTGATAGATTAGCTGGTAAATATTGGGGAAACCTGCCCCCAGTATTTCAACGTAGGTTGTTCTATTTTCCAAAAGTCTCAGCCAGCTGAGAAATAAAGAGAAAGAGTACAAAGAGAGGAATTTTACACCTGGGCCGCTGGGGGTGACATCACATATCAGTAGGACTGTGATGCCCACCTGAGCCTCAAACCAGCAAGTTTTTTATTAAGGATTTCAAAAGGGGAGGGGGTGTAAGAACAGGGAGTAGATCATAGGCTTCAAAGGACAAAAAGGAGAACTACTGATAAGGGTCTATGTTCAGTGGTGCACTTATTGTCTTGATAAACATCTTAAACAGAAAACAGGATTCAAGAGCAGAGAACCGGTCTGACCACAAATTTACCAGGGAGGAGTTTTTCCCCACCCTAATAAGCCTGAGGGTACTGCAGGAAACCAGGGCATATCTCAGTCCTTATCTCAACCGCATAAGACAGACACTCCCAAAGCAGCCATTTATAGACCTCCCCCCAGGAATGCATTCCTTTCCAAGGGTATTAATATTAATATTCCTTGCTAGGAAAAGAATTTAGTGATACCTTCCCTACTTGCACGTCCACTTATAGGCTCTCTGCAAGAAGAAAAATATGGCTCTTTTTGCCCGACCCCGCAGGCAGTCAGACCTTATGGTTGTCTTCCCTTGTTCCCTAAAAATCGCTGTTATTCTGTTCTTTTTCAAGGTGCACTGATGTCATATTGTTCAAACACACATGTTTTACAATCAATTTATACAGTTAACACAATTATCACAGTGGTCCTGAGGTGACGTACATCCTCAGGTTGCAAAGGTAACAGGATTAAGAGATTAAAGACAGCCATAAGAAATTATAAAAGTATTATTTGGGAACTGATAAATGTCCATATTAAAATGAAATCTTCACAATTTATGTTCCTCTGCCGCAGCTCCAGCCAGTCCCTCCATTTGGGGTCCCTGACTTCCCGCAACAGGTAAAGAAACAATGAAACATTTTAGGTTCAGATAGTTTATTGCTTACATAGACAGAAAAAAAAAAAAGCCAGAGTAGCAAAGACTAGCGACCTTTCTGGTCTCACAGGATGACACCAAAACATCAGAGAGTCATTGGCGCCCTGTTGCTGAGGGCCTTATTCCACACTGCAGCTAAGTGTTTTATAGGCTACGACTGTTCCCTAAAGGTGGGGGTTGGGAATGGAGTGGGGCAGGGGGTAGAGGCAGAGAGCCTCAAACTTCATCAGAACAAGGGAGGCAATGAGAGACAGTCTCATGAATCAGGAATGGTCTGGGAGCAGCTCCTCCCCAGCCTCCCATAGTAGTGCTCTAGTAGGATCACAGGATGCTCTACCAAGCCTCATGTCAACTCCGAAGGCTTGCCTTCATGGCCGATGTGGAGATGCCCAAGGTCACCAGGACCACACTGGAGCCATTGCCCTGTACATATTTGTCAATCCATTTCTGCTGAAAGCTTTTCTACTGATTGCCCTTTGGAACCAAATATGTCCATTCGTATAATTCTACAATCTTCTGCCTTCTAGCCCAGCAACAGGCTCCTTTATTGCTGCATCCAGGCCTATTTGAAGCAACCAAACCCAGGACACTGAGTGCATGGTGGAAGAATTGCTGGGCTCCTTTTGCTATGAGAAATACTTGTATGCTTTTCCAGTCAGGCTTCTTATATTATAGAAACTCATACTTAGTCGTCTAGGTGGCTGCTTTTAGAGCTAAGCTTGCCTGTTATGAGCAAGCTTTCTTGCTAAGAATGTAGAACCCCTCCTGAACTCTCTCATCCATCCTTGGCTACTGGCTTGGTAGGGGCCTTACCCGTGGGGATGTTTTGCTAAACTATGAGTTCCCATATAGCTACCCCATCTTTTAGGTAGGGAAGGTTCCTACACAGTTCCCCCATCTTTTCAGAGGATAGTGGCAAGGAGTGCTATAAATTATCTGTATGACATTACCAATTCACCCACAGCACACACTCAAGGCAGCTCATGGAAGTGAGTACTGAGCAGGAAAGTTATTACAGGCTATTGCCTTGACTTCTGCTATATTACTCAGAGTTCTGCTGCATGTGATGTTTCATCCTGGTCCTAGGCTCCTGGCTCTACACTTGAAAGCTGGTGCCCAATTCTTGAAGATTCCCTGTGTCTTTCCAGATCTCCTATTTCCTGCATAATTATTCTTGATCCATTCATTTTGAGGCCTTTCCTTCCAACAGTGAGTCTTAACCGACAGAGTCCCCAACCCCTGGGACCATCACACCTGTTGGGCATGGCTTTGTTCCAGCAGGCAAGGAAAAAGTTATATAAAAAGTAGCTCTGATGGAGAAGTAGTGGAAAGCAGGTGGGAAATTAAGCAGAATCCCTAATCCTGATGAAAATGTTTAGGCAGATGACCCCTTACTCTAGTTCACACCGGTCTTCTGCAGAACCAGCAGTTAACCAGCCCATCTTTTGAGGAGGGGAGTAGGATGGAGGTCCTCTTTTAGCATCAATTTTACCTTCAGTTATTTGACAGTCACTTTTTACACTTGATATCCTCATTACCTTGTTGGCCATTAATTTCTCAAACACTGAAAACTAGATTCACTCCACCAAAACTGTTCCTTTCAAGACTACTGAAGATCCACTGAGGCAAGTTCAATGGACTTCTCCATCTTCATCCTATCAGAACTTTTCACTATATTTGACTCTGTTGCTATTCCTTCCTCTGGGAACTTTTCTCAGACCTAAGTATCCAGCATATCATATTTTTTGTCATCTAATTCCTTTCTTCTTATGAACAATGCTAAGCAAGATGCAGGGTTGACCCACATACATAAAAAAGGGTGCTGGCGTGGGGAAGCCCAATCTATTATCTTGATGCTTGGAGTAAATAATGAAGTGTGGGAGCCATGATTCAGAGGAGGAGCTGAATGAAGGAGGAAAAATAGTTATCAAACTAGAGGTATACAGCTAGGAGGAGGTGGTAAGGCATGAGAAAATGTGAATGGGGATGGCTGGGTGTGGTCAGTGAGATGTGCTCTCTGGGTAGTTCCAGTGATATCATACCATGTGCCTCTAATTCTACATCCCCTGACCACTCCCCTTACACTGCTTTGGGCAGAAAGGGACGACCCAGTCCTTGCTATATCATTTTGTGTTTGGATGGAAGAGGTTTATGTTCATCTTCCTGGTCTTAGGGGTGTTGATATCTTTGTAAAAATCGAGGTTATTATAACCTCTGAGATTCTGGGCTGCTCTGGTCTCATACATCCTGCTCCCTATCTGAACTAAAGCCCTATAATCTGGGAAACTGGGGCACACAGAGCACGTCCTGGGCCACCGGCACAGGCAGCAGAGCCATTTTATGTACCAGGTGGGGTGTGGGTGACCTGAAAGGCCAGATGCTCAATTTCTAGAAGGATGTTTCCCTTCCTCCTAGAGTAGGAATTCCTCAGGCAATCCATCCTGCAGCTTCCTTCTGATAACTTCTGAGCACAGAAGGCAAGGTATTTCCTTCTAGCTTCTGCCTGAAGGAGCCAAGTCCATGGGTGTGATGGGCTGCCAACTTCTTCCCCTGCCCATCATCCACACTGCAGTTTTTTTTTGTTGTTGTTTTTGTTGTTTTTTGAGATGGAGTCTTGCTCTGTCACCCAGGCTGGAGTGCAGTGGTGCAATCTTGGCTCACTGCAAGCTCTGCCTCCTGGGTTCACGCCATCCTCCTGCCTCAGCCTCCTGAGTAGCTGGGACTACAGGCGCCCACCACCATGCCCGGCTAATTTTTTTGTGTTTTTAGTAGAGACGGGGTTTTACCATGTTAGCCAAGATGGTCTCGACCTCCTGACCTCGTGATCCGCCTGCCTCCATCTCCCAAAGTGCTGGGATTACAGGCATGAGCCACCATGCCCGGCCCACACTGCAGTTTTTAAGTGTTTGACAACCTCTGGGAAGAAGGCACAGGCAAACAAGCTACTAAGTCAGAAATCTTGTGGGGAGTCTAAGAACGAGGTTACTGGCTTGCAGGAAGGGGGTCCTGCCACATTACTTCTCTGCCAGCCTTGAAACCAAAAATGCTGCTCATCTGGGTTGCTCAAAGACCTATAACTTAGCATCTCCATGGAAAGCCATAAGAGTGGAGTTAGGTTTGTTCTTTTCCCTGCCAGGGCTATAGTGGTGGCAACTGGGGAAAATTGTTTCCTGATATTTGGAGGAATAGATGCTGGTGTCGGGGCAGTGGAAGACCTGCCTAGGCTTCCAAAGGACTCAGCACCATGGTGGGCCACACCCTGCAAGGTTCACAGCTTGATCCTCATGCAATAAGAGTTCAGCTTCGGAACTCTGGTTGATATTTTTAGACAATGCAAAAAGCTTGTTTCTCTTCAAACTTTGAAATACTAATTTCAGCATTCATCAGTGGATCTTGCCTGCAACACATCCTATCATGTTGTTCTAATGGTGATTATATATTTCCTTCAATCCTTATACATTTACCAGCTGGAATTCTTTAAGAGTGGTCCCCAATTAATTAACTAATTTATTTATTAAATTATTTATATCAGCATAGACCCATGGATATAATTATTGCTATTACTCTTAATATTTGCTCAAATATTCGTCCATTGGGGGTTCTTTCAGGTTGGCGTCTGTGCCCAATGGACCTGTCCCTGTCCCTTTTTGATCCGTTTCTTATATCTGTCATCTTATCAGCTCTAGGCTCATCAACCAGTCCTGAAATCAACCACTTTCCCGGGATTATTTTGTTGGAGAACAGTATTTAGAACTCAAGATCTGGGTGCTAGATATGCTCATTGGCCCTGTGGTGCCACTGCTTTTAGTCTCTTCCCATTCAGTTCAAAGTTAGGGAATGTATGTTTGTGCACACATTCATGCATAAACACACATCTATATTTATTTTGCCTATCTATCTTCATCAGCACCATTGTCCCTCTATACTTATCTATCCATTAAAAATCCATGAGTTCATACTGATGCCTCCAATTCCAATAGAATAGCCGAAAGATGATTCTAGCTGTCACCTCTTTGTATTCGTAACTAATTTCTCTGACAGTAAGACATGTGGCTCCCTTTTTCTGTACTTTATTTACATATTTGTTCCCTACTCATAGTATGGTTTCAGAGTAGTGACTCATTCTCTTGTGAAAAACAAATGTACTAACTAGAGTACTCTATTTGTGTGTAGATTTTGTTCTTAGTCTTAATAAATTTTTTTGGCATTATCTAGGTTAGTTCTTTTCTTCCTCATCCCTTCCAGTGTGGTTATACTATTTATTTATAATAAAGTTAGGTACATTTACTTTTTCTCTGTGTATATTCCATTTTTGGGTCCCTGAACATTGTAGCTGATTTTAGAAAAATGTATATACATTAAAATTCACTTTGTGGTGTCCATTTTTATAGGTTTTGACAAACGCATGGAGTCATGTATTCACCACGCTAGCCCTTTATCCCAGGGCTATATTAACTCTCCTGCTTTCTGTGACAAAAAAGTAAGCAGGGGCTTTGATCATCTTGGCAACCCATAGTATGATACACTAGTCCCTTATATGAGTCATAATGTTAATTCCAGTTGGTGGGCAGAAAATGACAAGTACTCTGGATGCCTTCGTAAGACACATTTGTACCAGATAGTGGAAGATAAAACCTACAAAGAGTCAGGAGTCTCTCACATTGATGACATTTTAAGGGGGTCACTAGTCTAGGACATGCTGTGATCTCTTCCCAATAAAAAATTATTGTATCTCACACCCCCTACCACCATCAAAGAGGCAAAAAGCTATGTTGTTCTCTTTGGAATTGAAAGCCATTTACACTGTGCTGAACACTGCCTTGACCTATGTACTGAGGGATCTGCAAGGCTGCCAGTTTGGAGTAAAGCCCAGAACTAGAGTCGGCTCTGCAGCATGTTCACAGGTCAGGCTGCCCTACACTTCAGGCTATCTGACGCTGCAGATCCAAAGCTTGTGGTGGAAAAGAATGTGGAGTTGTGGTTGTTACAAGCCCAATAGGTGAGTTGCAGTGTCGACCACTGGAGTCCTGGAACAAAGCTGTGCCTTCTGTGGCTCACAGGTATTCCCCATTTGAAGAGAAGTTCCTGGCATGCTACTGGGCCTTAGTAGGGCCAGAGCATCTGGTCTTGGGGTATTAAGTGACTGTGGACAAACCATCCATTATGAAGTGGGAAGTGTCAGACTCACCAAGTCATCAGATTCAGTGAATGCTGTAGCAATCCATTGGATGATGGTAGGGGTACGTATGGGAGCAGGTCCAGAAGGCACCAAAATGCAAGAAGAAGTGGTCCAGATGCTTCTCAGTTCACTTTCATCCACCTCCCTGTGCCGGGACCTAATTTCATCAGGTCCTAATCACCTGATGCATAAAAAAAATAACTCAGACTTGCTTCTAAGATGGGTTGACTAGAAATGCTGGGGGAGCCAAGAATGGACTGTTTTCACACAGTGGCCATAATCAGGGTGCCCCTAAAGAATAACGGTTGAAGGGAATCATCCCAGTGGGTGAACTGCAGTAGACTTGGTCTGTCACTTGTCCTCTGACAACTGCCATTCTAGAGTTTACTGAATGCCTGTTTACTGACATGCAATTCTACAAACCATGGCTTTGGACCAGAAGACCTATTTTACGAATCTGCTGGTCTTACCATATATCACATCGCCAGGGAACATCTGGCATACCAGAATTATGCACCTATTAAAGGACCAAGTCTTCTACTTATTTAGGGGTGTTGTACCCCGGAATGCAACATATGGAGTAAGCTCACAGCTGATGCACGGGTTCCCCATTTGCTACAATATTTAGGCTTGTGCAACAAGGAGTTGAAGTAGAATTGCCTCTGGTCCTGTAGCTTCCATTAATCCACTGTGGAATTTGTGCTTCTCATTCTTATAACATCAGACCCTGCTGAAGCACAGGCCCCAATTTCCTGGGATAGAACTTCCTCCAGGGACATGGTGTTCACTGATTCAGAGCCTACGAGTACAGCTTGTTCATTTCGGTCTTGCTATGCCTGCAGATTCACAGTCAAGTAAGGAGGGGTAACTGAGTCTGTCATCAGGATCTAGAGGTGTTCCTGGGGTGGAGCCTACAGAATTCCCTGGAACATCTCTTAGTGATTCTAAAACAGTAACAGGCAATTGCAGCAATCATGGCCTGAAAAAAGAAAGACAGCCAAACACTGAGACCCATCAAGGGGGAAGGTTTAGGTCATCTAAGCTTTAGGTCTAGGCAAGCAACCTAGACCAGCTGAAATGTTAGCTGAAATAGAGGGGAGGATCTGGAAAGGATGGTGAAGGAATGAGGTGAAGAGTAACAACAGAGGCCTCTGGGTCCATTGCAGCAGTGGGGACTGTGCCTTCTTCCACTGACCCAGTGTGTTGAGTCTTTGGAAGACTTTGGTTCAACTACCACCTTGAATATTTTGTCTTGGTGGAACTGGATGTAATGTGAGGCAGGAGTGGATCTGAGGAGTTCAAAGGGTCCATGTATCATATACCTCCAGACCCCCTCCCTGCACCTTCCTGGCTTCCCTTAGATTGTAGTTCTGATGATGGGAAGCTCTGTGGGTGCTTCCAGTCACATTTGCTGACATCTCCGGCCTCAGGCATGAGCTTGCCTCCTTCACTCTCTGCCCCGGAGCCTCTCTGTTGCTATGGACCTGGCAGGTCCCCACTTGACAAACATATAGGGGCATCTAGAAGTGTGGGGTGGTAATGCCCCTGGGGGCACCCAATGTAGTATGGGGGCTCATAGTAAGTGTGTTCCCTTTGGGTCCTCAGGAGGCCAATTCTGGAGGCATTCTGCAGGCTCCTCCTAGGTCCAGGTGGGACTGAGCCCCTGTTGCCCACAACAACTTTATAGTGCACTTTTCATAATGGACTGTTGGCCCATTATGGGCTTTTCCTCCTTCCTTTACTCTCCCTGATCCCTTACTTCTATTCTCTGGGATTACATTTTAAATAAAATACCTGCACACAAGTCCTTGGCTAAAACTCTGCTTTCATGGCAGTGGGGTGGAGAGAAACCCAGGCTCAGACAACCTCTTTTCCAAGGTAGGTTAATAAGCCACCCATGTAATGTTGCCAGAAAGGACAGTAGCAATGTTGCAGCCAAGGTTGCACTGGAGATGGATTAATAGGACCAGGCATTGGGAATGCTTTCTCGAGTTTCTTGCTCACTTCTATTCAATGCATCCTCTGGTGAACATATTAGTCCCGCAACTAGTATCAATCAAGTGACTCCTGGCACACTAGACTCAATCTCTCTCTTGATCTCCAGCATGCACCCCCCGCCTACCTGACATATGCATTTAGACATGTTCATGGCCAAAACCTAATGTGTTGCCTTACACACTTGTCTCCATTGCTGTTGGTGTTGCCACACTTAGCCTCATGATGTGGAGAGATCCTTGATTTCTTCTTCTTCTTCCTGACAACTAATAATCAATTCCAGCTCTTAAAGGTCTCTACAACCCCTCCGCATCTTTAATTCCACTTGTGCTTGTCCCAGTCCAGACCTGCCCCATCTTTCTTTTTTTCTTTTTTTTTTGAGATGGAATCTCACTCTGTTGCCCAGGTTGGAGTGCAGTGGCACGATCTCAGCTCACTGAAACCTCCGCCTCCCGGGTTCAAGTGTTTCTCCTGCCTCAGCCTCCTGAGTAACTGGGATTACAGGTGCACACCATCATGCCTGGATACTTTTTGTATTTTTAGTAGAGACGGGGTTTCACCATGTTGATCAGGCTGGTCTCAAACTCCTGACCTCATGATCCTCCCTCCTTGGCCCATCTTTCTTAGTGCGTAACAGTTATTTCAGCAATGTGCCTGCCTGGGGCATCCTCTCTTTCCTTCTCTTGTCAAACTCACTCTCCATTATTACCCAAATTATTGTTCTAAAACATTTCAATCATTCATTCACTCAACAAATATGTGTTGGTTTTCCATCTCCTCCAACAGCAGCAAAAAGAGACAAAATCTAAACTCCTTGGCTTAGTTTTCTAGAAGGTTCCAAAGCTGACTCATGTCTGTTCCTTTGGCACTTGTTTTCAACCTTCCTTGCTGTGACTCCCTTGAGCCATGTGGTGACAACTAGGCCTTTTCTGTTTTTCAAGTGCCAGTATTTGGGTCAGTAACCCCAAGTGAGAGAGAAGGAAGATGTTTTCTGACCCAGTGCTATTCTTAGACATAGAATGAAAGGCTTCAGTGGCATTGAAACTTGGTAGACACTTGGAAAAAAAAACTTTGACTTGGATGAAGAGTTGGGACTGAGCCTTGCAACTTAAAATAAAAGCATCTGGAGAGGGAGAGGGGAGCGAGGTGTCCTCCAGCTCTCGGGGACAGTTTGTAATGGTGTTACCCTGTGGCCGGCAGAAAGCATCTGGGCTGTCACAAGACTCCAAGCCCACAACCCTCTGGCAAGGGAGGCATTCTGGAAGACTCACATCATGGTCCTTCCTCCATCTGTTGACTTCTTTAGGATTTGAAGCCTGGAGCACTCGGCGGTCTGTCTCATCATCTTGTTCCGACATTGCCATTGTGTTTGCTGTCCTGGAGTCAGGACTCTGGCCGCCTTCCTGGCTGCGCCCCTCACTTGGCTGGAGTGTCAGTCATTTGCTCATCCGTGCTGCTCTGGTGTCTGACTCCACATCTGCTCCCTGCTCTTGCTCCCAGTTTTCCCAGCGTATGTGTTGATAGCCCAGATAGACCCACCCTGTAACAGGGCCAGCAATGGCAGCCTTGGCAACCCATAGTATGATACATTAGTCCCTTATATGAGTCATAACGTTAATTCCAATTGGTGGGCAGAAAATGACAAGTACTTTGGATGCCTTCATAAGACACATTCGTACCAGATAGTGGAAGATAAAACCTACAAAGAGTCAGGAGTCTGTCACATTGATGACATTTTAAGGGGGTTACTAGTCTAGGGCATGCTGTAATCTCTTCCCAGTAAAAAATTGTTGTATCTCACACCCCCTACCACCATCAAAGAGGCAAAAGCTGTGTTTTTCTCTTTGGAATTTGAAAGCCATTTATACTGTGCTGAACACTGCCTTGATCTATGTACTGAGTGGTGGCACTACGGACAAGAGAAGTGTCTTCCCAGCTGAGACAGCCTGAGCAGGGGAAGAGCTGTGAAGGGCCAGGGGTATGGAGTGGGGGTTGGGGCACCCAGAGGAAGATGACAACATGAACCTGAGTGAAGGGCAGAGAAGGGTCAAGGCTGTAGAAGACCCAAGAGCAGGTCACATGGCCAAGGTCAGAGCTGAACGCTCCATGGGTCTTGGCCAGGACAGCTTGTGACACCTGACTGCTAAATGACCTGAGTGTTACCCATGAGACTGCAACATTGTGGGGGCAGACAGCAATGGACTGGGGACAAAAAGGTGGGGTTTTATTGTGATCATGTTAGCAATAAGTCCAGTAACTTCCCTCCCCCAAACACTAGGGCATCCGATAGTGGACAGCTGGTATTTGGTCACCTAAGAACCTTTGGGGTTTCATTTTGGGGCATCACTTCTTCCACATAGGACCTGATTCATCTCTGAGTGGACCCCCAGGTGACTCTACTGATTATCTCTTACTAGCTAAGCCATTGGAACTTCCCTGATTACCCCTCTAAGCCTGATTTTTCAGCTATCTTCCAATTCTGTGAGCCACCTCTATTTTTCCAATAAACTCCTTTTAGGGTTGAGGTAGTCAGAGTCTATTTCTGTTGCTTGTAACCAAATAATCCAAAATGATGAGGACTCCTCTGCCTCTGATCCTCTGGAATCACAATCATCAGGGTGGCATGAGTTTGGAAGGGAGACGGGACAGAAAGGCTCTTTGCCTGGAAGATGCTCCTGGAGATAGCGGCTGATGAGGCTGAGCTCCACCTTCCCTGTGTCCCATCCCGCACTACACCTGGCTGTCACCTGTCTCTAGTTAGGCTCATGCTTCCATGCCTTTTAGGGAGACTGCTGTATCTCCAGAGTGATGGTTTTAGGTGTTCTTGGGCCATTTGATTCCTTGGTGGTACCTCTGGGGTTATTTGGGGAGAGGGGCTGGGGACTGATTAGGCCACCATGCCTCTCTGCCACTTAATCAAAATTGTTCCTCCTCTATCTGTTTTATATATTTTCTTTATAAAATTTTATTTGAAAAATTATATTTTCTCACTAAAAGTTTAAAAGCCACTACTTTAAAGAATTCTTGAGAGTTTTCCCAGATGGAAACTCACAGGATGTCTAGTTCTACTTTGTCACCATCACTGGCTCTCCAGGGCTGACAACCCTCCATTGGCATCTTCTGTGGGCATGGATATTATTTTCTGAAAAATGGGATCCAAGATCTCAATTATACTGGCCATGTACCACCATATGTTCAAGCATGACTCAACTAATGGATAAAGTTAATAAAGTTTAAGTGTTTGCAAAGTTACTGCCAAGGGAGTCAATGAAAAGGAATCACTTCTGGAAGGACATGCAGAGCAAGCTTGGGGAAGTCCAGCACCTGAAGCTGCTGGGTGGTGCGTGTTGCCCAGAACAACTCACGTGAGCCCAGGGTGCCCAAACTCCCACCAATGACAGCAACACAGTGGGCTGCCCTAGCCTCTGCGGTTGCAGCAGCAGAGGCACAAAAATGGCAGTGATTCTGGAGAGGCCAAGATAGGGTGGCAGACAGAGGAAATGAGAAGGCTTTTCAGGCATGTTGAGGCTGCAGGGATTGAGAACCTGAATGATAACCAGAGGAAGTGGGGAGTGGAGAAGTTGATTTTGGAATTGCCAGTGCAAGGCAAGATGAGAACAGGTGAGCCATGTAGGACCAACAAATGCAAAAAATGAGAAAGAAGATTAAACCATAGTCTAAAGAAAGGATGGCTTTGGGATAGTGATTTAAGCAAGGTTCCGGATTAGTGATCTGTAAACACTACAAATAATAGATGTCTTTTTTTTTTCACTTATCTTTTTATACCAGGCACTACATCTGACACCTTACAGCCGTGATCTTATTCCATTCTTGAAAAAATAACGACTGCCACACACACAAAGTACAGGTGACATTAACTCTATCTACAGATTTATTTAAAAAAAAATACAGGCCGGGTGGCGTGGCTCACGCCAGTAATCCCAGCACTTTGGGAGGCCAAGGTGGGCAGATCACGAGGCCAGGAGATTGAGACCATCCTAGCCTACATGGTGCAACCCTGTCTCTACTAAAAAATACAAAAAAAAATTAGCCGGGTGTGGTGGCGGGCACCTGTAGTCCCAGCTACTCGGGAGGCTGAGGCAGGAGAATGGCGTGAACCCGGGAGGCGGAGCTTGCAGTGAGCCGAGATCACACCATTGCACTCCAGCCTGGGCAACAGAGCGAGACTCCGTCTCAAAAAACAACAACAAAAAATACAACCTGGCAACATTCAGTGACTTGCCGAAGGTCACCTTGCTAGTAAGTGGCAAAATCTGATTAGATGCTGATCTTGCTGATTCAAAGGCTCTTACATTTTTACCTTCATGATGAAAATGAAAATTTTAACATTATATAGTGTATTAAAAATTGTTTTAAGTGCTTTTAAAATGTATTAAAAATCCTTCTCACCTAAAGAAAATTACAAATAGCAAGTGAAGTTTCTGCACAAATTATACAAATGATATGTAAAACTTCCGACAAATTGTATTCATCTCATATATTAACTTCCAAAAAATTGAAAAATCCCTATTTTAGCAGCTCTCAAATCATTTACCTTCTCTTCCTCTTACCTGCCACCACTGTATTTGGTACCATCTTCATCTTTGGCTTAGATCACTTGAATGGCCCTCTAATTAGCCTTCCTGCATGATCCTGACCCCTAATACTCCTCGCATCCATAGACAAAGTCATCTTTGAGGAATACTCTACTCAGAGCCCTCCAGAGGTTTCCTGTGGCTCACCGGATAAGTGCTCAAGGTTCTTCACAGTTGGGTTCTTGTTCACTCCGCCAAAGTCTTTTTCCTCATACTCCTCTCCAATCTCTCTGTTCTCTCCGCTTAGCCATTAGCCCACTAGGGCTGGGCTACTTTGAATTCTTAAAAACACCCACCTTCACTTGCCTCCAGCCCTTGGAATCTGCTGTCTCACTTCCCACCATACTCCCTCCTTTTCTCCTGCCTCTTCCCAGGAGTGGTCCTATTCATCCTTCAGGTCTCAGTGGAGAAGCCCCTTTTTAGTTCCCTAGATTAGGATATTACAATCTGAAAGCACTCTGTGCTTCTCCTTCACAGCATTTATACTTGTAATGATTTATTTGATTATTTTCCCAGTTGTCTCCAAGCCTACCATGATGCTTTGCACACAGGAGGACTTAATAAATCTTTGGAAGGAATGCATACTAGCTGGTTACAACACTGTATTGATCTGTCTTAGCCTAAGTTCTTTCGAAAAGAAAACCTGAGAGAAACACTGTTGATCAAAGCTTTCATTGGGAATTATGATCCCAAGAGCAAAGCTAAGGAACAGGGAAAGCATTTCAGCAAAGAAGAGTGAGTCAATGCAAGCTACACTGGCCGCTGAGATGGGAGATTGTGTGTTTAACACCACGATGTCTTCCGAGAAACCACAGAAAATGTGACTCAGAGTCAGTGCTGTGGCGTGGGGTAGGAAACGTTTATTTATTGGTTCCTTTCTCCCATTGTTTAAAGAGCTTTCAAGTGGAGCATTAACTATCCTGCACAACTGAGTCATGTATATGTGGGCACCAAGGGGTTCCTGTGGCATCCCATGCCCTGGCATTATCAGAAGTCACAGGCTGGTAGCCAAGAGACGTGTGAGCAGATCTGAACAAGGCACTGTCAGGGTGCACTCAGATGAAGACTGCACTTGGATGAAGCTGATTAGCCCCACACAAAGCTGCCATCACTTGGTTTCTGGAATTGGAGATGGGTGTGTAAGTGGTGTCTGAGCGTCCACCATCTAGATCACTCATATCATCTGATGCCCTATATTATATCTGGTTCCAGTTCTAAAAATGTTATCTCATTGATTATGAGAACAATATGCCCTCACTCCTCCTTGGAGAGGGGGAGAACTAGTGCAATCTGAGACATAGTGCACTCAAATATGCTGGCCATACCCAATCTCTGTTGACTTAACCCAAGAGGGTTACTGGTATAATGTATGGTGACTGAAACTGCAGATGAGTAAGACCGAACTGATATTCATATCTCCTTTTTCTTTTCCTCAATTTACATTTTCCTACCTTTCAAACACACTTTGCTGGGTCTGGGTTGCTTGCCTGGTTGAGGGACTTAAACTTGTAACCCTGAGGGGTCTGAGCCCTTGTCAAGCAATAGTGGCTGCAATAATCCTTCCACAGTGATTTCTAGGGAATCCTGGAAGCATCAAGGTACACGCAAGTATAGTGCCCAGGTTCCAGACACATCCACCCCTGCCTCCATTGCATGGAATGGTGTTTCTCTAAGTATGGTCTACAGACTTCTGGGGGTTTTCCCGAACAGCCTTTCATGGTTCTGCAAGGTCAAAATTATTTTCACAATAACATTAAGAAAATATTCCATGCAAAAGAATTTCAAATAATTTATGTAGATAGTTCATCCTCCAGGAGGCGGGGCATAACTCTCCACTCATTAAATGTAGGCTGCACATGGTGACTTCTTTTCAAAGGGTGCAGCATGGAAAAGAGAGAAGGTAAGTTTGCACTGTAGAAACCTGACAAACACATTGATCACCTGGCAAACCTGTCAGTTGATCAAAGTCAACATCAACAATAACAAGTCAGGTTGAGGCTGGGCGCAGTGGCTCAGGCCTATAATCCCAGCACTTTGGGAGGCCGAGCAGGTGGATCACCTGAGGTCAGGAGTTTGTGGCCAGCCTAGTCAACATGGTGAAACCCCGTCTCTAATAAACATACAAAAATTAGCCGGGTGTGGTGGTGCACACCTATAATCCCGGCTACTCGGGAGGCTGCGACAGGAGCATCGCGTGAACCCAGGAGGTGAAGGTTGCAGTGAGCCAAGATCGTGCCACTGCACTCCAGCTAGGGCAACAAGAGCAAAACACCATGTCAAAAAAAAAAAAGAAGTTAGGTTGATAGTATCTACCCTTAATATGATGCAGTTAGAATGGTGCTTCTCTTCTGTGGTGTTTCTTCCCCAAAACCCACAAACCCAGTCTAATTCAGAGAAAACATCAACAAGCCCCGATGAAAGAACATTCTACAAGATACCTGACCACTGTTCCTCAACATTGTCAAGGTCACCAAAATCAAGGAAGGTCTGAGAAATGGACAGTCAAGATGAGCCTAAGGAAACATGACAAGGAAGTATCATGTGATATCCTTGACGGGATCCTGAAACAGAAAAAGGACATTGGGTGAAACTCAGCAAATCTGAATAAAGCATGGATTTCAGCTAATGCTAATGGTTGTGACCAAAGTACCATACTAATAAAAGATATTAATCATCAGGGAAATAGAGTGTGGGGTTCATGAAAACTCTGTATGACCTTTGCAATGTTTCTGTAAATCGAGGCTGCAGTTAATACCACTGTAGTGCACACTTGAAATTTGTTAAGAAAAGGGTGGGCGGTGGCGAGTGATAAAAGACCACACATTGGTTACAGTGTACATTGCTTGGGTGATGGGTGCACCAAAATCTCAGAAATCACCACTAAAGAACTTATCCATGTAACCAAACACCACCTGTTCTCCAAAAACCTATTGAAATAAAAAAATTAAAAAGTGATTTAAAAAGTGGATCTTAAATGTACTCAGCAAGCACGCACAAATGGTAGCTACGTGAGGTGATGTGTGTGTCAATTAGCTTGATTGTATCACAAAGTGTACACATATCAAATCATCACATTATACATCTACTTATATAATTTTTGTCAATTATACATTAAAAAATAACAAATATTCCAGAATAAAAAACTTATTTAAAAACTCCACTAAGACATTTTTGCCTTCTCTACTGTGTTGACATTTTCCCTAAGGGTGCAAAAACCATGGTTCCAGCACCTTGGCAGGAACCCAGGCAGTGACATCAAATTCTACCAGGACACCTGAGCTCTCCATTGCCACAGCAGTATTTCATAAATAAATTTTATTTATAAAATCAATAAAATTATTGATTTTATTAAATTTTAACTTTTGAGGACCTGTCCTTTGAATATTCTGAGTGCCAAGATGGGGAGAACACATATGAGACCTCCGTACACCAACTACAAGGGTTATCCCAAAGAAGAGCTCTCATGCATTGTTTGTGTTGTGAGCTGAGCTAGTCTCTTTTTTCATAGAACACCAATTTTCTTTTTTTTTTTTTTTTTAGATGGAGTCTCCCTCTGTCGCCCAGGCTGGAGTGCATTGTGCATTGGTGCGATCTTGACTCACTGCAACTTCCGCCTCCCAGGTTCAAGTGATTCTCCTGCTTCAGCCTCCCGAGTAGCTGGGATTACAGGCGTGTGCCACCATGCCTGGCTACCTTTTGTGTTTTTAGTAGAGATAGGTTTTTGCTGTGTTGGCCAGGCTGGTCTTGAACTCCTGACCTCAAATGATCGCCCGTCTCTGCCTCCCAAAGTGCTGGGATTACATGCGTAAGCCACTGTGCCAAGCCTAGAACGCCATTTTTACTTGAAAGAATAACTGAAAGACAAATTATGGTTGTTCGGACTTAGGTATTTGCCAGAGAGTTGCTAAAAGAATTAATGGTGTGGGCCTGTCACTTCAAGGAAAACAATTGACCATGAAAATTCGAACTTTCAAGCACAGATTAGAACTTTATACAATGGTCACTAACTCAAGTGACACCCTGGAACCCTGAATGAATCTTTGTTGACTGGCACATTTACTTGTAGAACTTATTTTCAACGTCTTAATGTTCCATGTTTTCCTAATAATTATCATCATATTATTCATATCTAAGTGAATTTTTAAAACCACAATTTATGTACATTTTCTATTCCTAGTCTCCAGGTCTAGTGGAGTCTGTTTGCCTGGGTTTGGTGAAAGCAGAAAATAATTTTGTTGCAGGGCAGGGTGAAAAAAACAGAATCTGTCCCAATAGCCTGGAGGGTGTGGAGACTGTCACCGTCCTTCCTGACTGAGGGGAGTTTGATGCCTAAATGAAAGATGCCATGAACATGAACATACGCATGCATGTACCTTTGTAGTCCAGTGATTTATTTTCCTTTGGGTATATACCCAGTAATGGGATTGCTGGGTCAAATGGTATTTCTGGTTCTAGATAAGTGGGAGCTGAGCAATGAGAACACATGGACACAGGGAGGGGAACAACACAGTAGGGCCTGCTGGTGGGTGGGTGGCGGGGAGGCAGAGCATTAGGAAAAATAGCTAATGCATGCTGGGCTTAATACCTAGGTGATGGGTTAATAGGTGCAGCAAACCACCTTGGCACACGTTTACCTATGTAACAAACCTGCACATCCTGCACATGTACCCAGGAACTTAAAATAAAAATACAAATTTTTTATAAAAGAAAGACGCCAGATGGGCTCAGTGATTAAGATGAGGGATTTCTTAGGCAGAGTCTGAGACGGGGGTCTTGTGGAAATGATCTATTGTAGGACCTGTGGGCAGAAAGGGAGTGAAGGAAGCCAAGAAGCCTGGAGAAGGGTGGAGCCAGGCAGGTTCTTGGCTGGGGTCCAGTTTCTGCCTGATCCCCGGGGAAGTTGGGGAGTGTGAATTGCACCACGGAGTGGTCCCACTGTGAGGGAGGGGGCCTGGGCTTTTGTCCTAGTCAGGCTTGGCCCTTGGCTGCCTTGTGTGTGGGAGAGTAATCTTCTGGGCCCAGAAGCTGTTACTGTCCCAAGGGAACTTCTCTGGAAATGGGCAGCTGTGAGCCCTCGGCAGCCAATGCTCACAGACCTAGAGGATGGGGCACCAGCCCAGAGATCTGGGCAGGGAACAGAGAGTATCCACTACAAGGTTTCAGCAGTCCCTGTTTTCTCTGAACAAAAGCCCACAACCCCAGAAGCCAGGATGACTTGGGGCAACCCGTGACACATAAGACCAACACATTCTTCTTAGGGGAATTCCTGCAGGGAATAGTTGAGGTCCTGGCTGCAATTCAAGAATGAGTTGCATCTTGGAGCTCCTTCATGAGGCCAGCCCTTGGGACCAAGAGTTCCTTTCTACCCTCGCCACTTCAAAGCCATCCTGGAAGAGTGCATGTGCATGTGTGTGTGCATGCAAGGTGCGTGGATGCATGTGTGCACATGCATCAGGTAGGCACATGGATGGCTTCTAGTCAAATAAAAAAATCCACACGACTGTATGGAGCTTCTCTGATCCATTTTGGCTGGCTAGATGTGATCATGGATTTTTATGTAAAATACAATTAGTTTTACGTATTGTTGCACAGTTTGGACCTATTAGAAAAGACCATTAAGGCTAAAAATAGAACCAGAAGAAAAAGGGGACTGACAGCAGACAAATCCCCTAACTTAATTCTCTCCGTGTAAGGTAATCTAGAAGGGTATGGAGGGAAATGTTAGGCAGGGGCCACTAGAAGGCAAAGGGATTTTTCTGCCTGGACATCTAAGTTTAAGAAAACATTGCTTGGGGGTGCGCTGGTGACAGCAGCTGCTGTACAAATGCAGCCATCCACCCCGGGTCAGTTTGCTTTTTGATTGATAACTTGGGAGCAGACTCAACACATCTGGACCATACACATCTGGAAAGAGAGTTGCCAAATTAAACATGCACTAACTTCACACTGTCTCCCAGATTGTTTAGTTTTGGGGAAACTGAGGAAGCAGTGGGAAATGGGGGCCCCAGCAGCTTTGTCTGAGCAGTTTGTTTTCCACTGAAAATCCAGGTCCCCAAAGAGGTTTTCAGGTATTTCAGTTTTGAGAACCGTAATATTGGAATACGATTGTTTTGGTGAAACCAACCTGACCGTAAATGAACTTTGCTTTCAAAGTTATCGTATGCCAAGATTCTTATTGTCTAGAGAGTAACGGCATGTAGAATGTTTAATCAATATGTAGTCAAGCCAATCAGTTTCTCATCAGACAAAAATGCTGTGGTAATATTCTGTCTCTGTGGTCTATTATTTTTCTTTACCCAATAAGATAAAAAATCTTTTTTCTTCATGAGCAAAATGGTCATTTCCCCAAGCACGTTATAAACAGGAAATGCACCATCTGCAGTCACTTTTTCTCCCTTGGGTCCGCAAACCACCTGCATTCCAAACTCACCAGGCTGCACTCTGGGACGTTGCCACGCTTGCTAAGGGAAAGTTTGGCTTTCCGTGGGGATGTTTTGTGAAGAGATGACAGCGAGCTCCCAAAGATGCCAATTTCAATACTAAAGAGAAAAAAGAAACATGATCTTTTAAAAGAAACAATATAAATTTCACTAGATACCAACCCTTCAACTGAATAAAATTAGTAAAATTGATCTCCACAGCTAACATTTGCAATCACTGTGCTAAGCAAGTTACTCAGGTTAACTGAGTTCACCTCTACAAGCTCCTATGAGTTAAGTCTGCTTGTTATCCTCCTTTTTGAGATGAGAACCGGAGGCACAGAAGAGGTTATTCAAGCCAGAAGTGGCAGAGAGAGATTTGAACCCAGACAGTCTGACTCCAGCAATGACCTATGTTCCTATTAGGCTCCTAGAGTCAGGGGCACTGGCCCTTATGTGCAGAGAAGGGTGTGGGTCCAGGTTCTCCAGCCAGGTAGACCGTCTCCCCAGCCACTCTCTGGCTGTGTGTTGTGTAGGGCAGCACATTTGGAGCCTCACAGAACACAGAGACTCACAGAACAGAGCCTGGGAAGTGGAACAGCCTTCAGACACAACGAGAGAGAGAGAGTGCCACCGCCTGCGGGAGGGTCGCCACTTCCCCTTCTGAGCAGAGCTTGGGTGGATCAGGTGGGGAAGGGTAGGGTCGTTATTCCCCATGTACTAGGAAGCCTGGTTGAGAGGACATGTAGCTTAGGGAGAGCCTGTGCTGGAGGAACAGGGGTGGGCGAGGGCCCCCACCCAGGTTCTGCCCCGCTACCAGCTGTGTGACCTGGGACAAAGCAGTTATCTTCTCTGGTCTTTGTTTTATTCCTCTATAACAGGAGAGGTTTGGTGGACAGAATCAGATGTAGATATAAGTACAGGTGAAGATAGGCCAACATGCAAAGACTCATCTAGACTAGATGATAAAACCCACTTTGTTACGGATTTGAGCAGGAAGGATTGCACCATGTATAGTGCTGGCAACTAATGAAGTATTTGGAAATGAGTTAATTCGGTCCTCGCCTTATATCAAACACTAAAGTCAACTCTAAATGTGTTAAAGAGCTACATGTTAAACAAAGAAAGAAAATAAATCCCTAAGAAACCATAAGAATTATAAGTAAATGTTAATTTCAGAATGGGAAAGGACATTATTCATAAAAGCAAAAAAAAAATTTACAAAAGGGAAAGATTTAAGTAATGCCTAAATGAAAAATTTAACCCAATAGAAATTTAGGGGAAATATTTATTAAAAAGGGTTTTAATGTCTCTTGACTATCTTTTAAATGGTTGCTAAGTTGATAGTAGCTTCATCTATCTTCTTATTGATTTTATTTGTAGCTCTTTGCTAAAGCACGAGGTTAAACCTCTTCAAGTGTTTGTTCATGCCCTTTACCTATTTTTTAATTGGTATATTCATCTTTTTTTAATTTAAAAATTCTTTGTATATTAAGGAAATTAATCATTTATTTATTATATACTGTAAAGAATTTTCTGTTAGTATATTGCTGTTGATTTAAAGTGTGAAAGTGTAGTTTAAAAAAAGTTCTTTTTTGCTAAATAATATGTATTTGAATCCACTTTTTTTCCTTTATACTTTTTGGTTTTGAAATCACTCTACTTCAGTATTATTAAAGGTTTCACCAGAAATGATTCCTCATAATTTTATGATTTTGTATTTTGCTTTTAAATATTTTACCCATCTGGAATTAATTTTGATTCTAAGAGTGAGCCAAAGATCTGGCTTTATATTTTTTTTTACAAAAGTCCCCCAAATATTTATTGAATAATTTTTTTCTCCTCATTTGAAAAGATACTTTTTATCATAAAGTACATCGTGACATACATATTTCTATTTCTGGACTCTCATTCTATTACATTGATCTGCCCATCTATTTCAGGGTCAGTTTTATACTCCTTTACTATCATTTGATAATGCACTTGAGTATTTGATAGGATAAATCTGATTTAAACGAGTCTCCTTTTTCCTCACCCGAGAATTTTCTTAACTCTTCTATGTCTCTTCTTCTTGTCATTCTAACATGCTAAATTCCTACTGGAATTTTTATTGCATTACTTGGAATTTGTGGATATATTTAGAGATTGCTAATATTCATAATAGAGACTTCTCTGCAAAAACAAGGGACACATTTTATTTTACACTTTACGGAATTTAAAAAATTAAAATGGTACATGCCCACGAGTTAAAAAGTCAAACACCACTACAATATTTAGCAGTCATTGAATGCACTTACACACATATTTTTCAATGGTATTCATACTACCATGTCTATTGTCTTCTTACTTGTGGTAAGTGAGTGAGGAGTGAATTATTTCAATAGATTCAGGGAAAATTTTTTAAACTTTTTTTTTTTTTTTTTTTTTGAGATGGAGTCTTGCTCTGCCGCCCGGGCTGGAGTGCAGTGGCGCGATCTCGGCTCACTGCAAGCTCCGCCTCCCGGGTTCACGCCATTCTCCTGCCTCAGCCTCCCGACTAGCTGGGACTACAGGCGCCCGCCACCACGCCCCGCTAATTTTTTGTATTTTTAGTAGAGACGGGGTTTCACCGCGTTAGCCAGGATGGTCTTGATCTCCTGACCTCGTGATCCTCCTGCCTCGGCCTCCCAAAGTGCTGGGATTACAGGCGTGAGCCACCGCGCCCGGCCTGGGAAAACTTTTAATAAAATTCAGCACTCACTTATGATAAAAACTCAGGAAGTGAGCAACAGAAGGAGACTTTTGCAATCTCTTAAAGGGCATCTAAGAGAAATCTAGTTTAGCTAGACTGACCCCCTATCATCCAAAAACGAGAGACAGAGGACTCAAATTACTAAAAGCAATGCTGAAGTGGGGAACATTACTACTGACCTCAGAGAAATTTAAAAAGTATATAAGGGAATCCTATACAAAACAGTATGCCAACACATTAAATGACCTAGATGAAATGAACCGATTCCTCAAAAGATACAAACTGCCAAAACTAAATGGAGAAGAAATTTTAAAAACCTGAATGTATCTATAACAAGTAAAGAGATTGAATTGGCAATCCAAAATTTTCCCACAAAGAATGTCCCAAGACTAGGTGGCCTCACTGGTGAATCCTCTCAAACGTTTAAAGAATTAACACCAATTCTTCACAAACTCTTCCAAAAAAATAGAATGTAATGGGTCATTACCCAATTCCTTCTATAAAGTCTGTGTTAATTGAAACCAGATGCAAATATCACAAGAAGAGAAAACTACAGATGAATATTCCTTATAAATATTGATGCTAATGTCTTAAAACCTAAAGCCAACACATATAGGAAGTGTTCTACACCATGACCAAGTGGGATTTATTCCAGAAATAGAATGCTGGCTTAACATGTAGCATGTCCACGTGGACCAGTTTTACATCTCTATTTCTTTGCTGAGACTTTGAGTTTCTTTGGTGAGACCTTGGAGTTTCACATTTGTTTCACATATGTTTGTAATCTCTCTTTGAGACATTTTACTGATGGCTGCTTTAAAATCTTTGTCAGATAATTCTAGTCTCTGCTATTTTGGTGTTGGAACCTATTGTTGTTTTTTAATCGGTTTAAGATCTTCCCGGTTCTCTGAGAAATTTTTGATTGAAACCTAAACATTTTGGGCATTTTCTTTGAGACGGTGAATCTTATTTAAATTTTCTGTTTGAGCAAGTTCCTCTGACACTGCTCTGGCAGAGGCAGTGGGTGGGGGCGCCTCATTCCTGCCAGGTGGGGGGTAGAAGGACAGGTTCCCCACTGAGCCTCCTTTCATTCCTGAGGGTGGGGGTTGTCTTTTCTGATAGGCGGAGGTGGGAGTTCTAGCTTCCTGTTGTATCTCCACTAAAACCTCCCTGACTGGGAGAAGTCAGAATGCTGACTTCTGCTGGTTACTGCTTGAGTGCGTGTGGCCTCCACTGACAAAGGGACGTGAGGGGTGGCCCCATTACTTCTGGGTGGGGTTGAAAGCTCTGCCTATCCACCAGGCCTCCCTGGACACCACTCCAGCAGGGGAGGGAATGGGCACTGCGTTATTGCTGGTGGTGGCAGGAAACCCAGTTCCCCATTGGGCCTTCTCTGCCACCACTGCATGGGAGACCAAGGTGCCTCCTTACAGCCTGGCAAGCCAGGGTAGAAGCCTAGGTTCCTGACTCAGATTTTGCTGGCGCCATTGGGAGAAGGACCACAGGTCTTTGTTCCTGATATTTGGCTGCTGAAGAGCAGCTATTTACTACAAGCTTTCAGTTTTTCCCCCTTTCCTTGGGCTAGAGAAAGCAGGCTGTTTGGAAGGCTCTTTCTGCCTGTGCCCATTAGAGTTTTTAGCTTGCAGCTTCTCCGGCACCAAGTTGGATATGTGAAGCAAAAAGAAAACCCAGGGAACTCAGTGCCATACAGCTCTAAAGTCCCCGGCCAATCTGCAGTCTTCTCTCCACTGTTTGAAGTCTTCTTATATTCAGTTTACATCCAACACCCAGGGATTTAGTTGGACTTAGAGGAACAGAGAGAAGCATGAAGGGAGAAAAGTCTTCCACTCTCAGGTTTTAATTGAGCATTTCATATGATTGCATTTTATCTCCTCTTGTGATTTATCATTTATACTTCTTTTTACAACTTTTTAGTAGTTACTCTTGGGTTTACTATATATGTATATTTAAATAATCCACGGCCACCTTTAAGTAACACCGTACCACTTCATGTGAATGCAGGTAACTTGTAGCCAAGCATCCCCAATTTTGACTATTGTTGTCATTCCTTTCTCTTACCCACTGACATGGTTTGGCTGTGCCCCGACCCAAATCTCACCTTGAATTGTAATAATCCCCACATGTCGTGGGAGGGACCTGGTGGGAGGTAATTGAATAATGGGGGTGGGTCTTTCCTGTGCTGTTCTCATGATAGTGAATAAGTCTCACGAGATCTGATGGTTTTATAAAGGGAAGTTCCCCTGTGCAAGCTCTCTTGCCTGCCACCATGTAAAACATGACTTTGTTCCTCCTTCACCTTCTGCCATGATTGCAAGGCCTTCCCAGCCATGTGGAACTGTGAGTCAATTAAACGTCTTTCCTTTATAAATTACCCAGTCTCGGGTATGTGTTTATTAGCAGCATGAGAACAGACTAATACCCCCACATTATAAAAACCAGATACATTGCTATAATTATAACTTTAAACAAATAATTATCTTTTTAATCAATTAAGAATAAGAATAGGAAAGCTCAAGATTTTATTTTAGATTCATTTATTTTTTTCTCCAGCACTCTTCCCTTCCTTATATAGTTCCAACTTTCTGATCAAGGTTTAATATTTCCTGCAGGGCAGGTCTGCAGGCCATTAATTTTCTCAGTTTTTGTTTGTCTGAGAAAGTCTTTATTTCTCCTTAATTTTTGAAGGATAATTTTGCTGGGCATAAAGTTCTAGGTTGGGCTATTTCTTTCTTTCAATACTTTCAAGATTTCCTAAGTATAGTGTCCCAGATGGACCAGAAGTAGAATTGCCAAGTCATAAGGTCTGCCCATCTTCAACGCTGACCTGCTTTGCCAAATCGCACACGAAAAGGTTTTATCAATCTACACTTCAGCCAACAATATACAGTCATGCCTCACTCAATGATGAGAATATGTTCTGCAAAATGTGTTGTTAGGCGATTTTGTCATTGTGTGAACATTATAGAGTGTACTTACACAAACCTAGAAGGTACAGTCTATTACACACCTCGGCTCTATGGTATAGCCTCTTGCTCCTAGGCTACAAAAGTGCATGGCATGTTAGCATGCTGAACACTGCAGGCAACTGTGATACAATGATGAGTATATGTGTATCTAAACATAACTAAATGTAGAAAATGTACAGTAAAAATATAGTATAAAAGATAAAAAATGGTACACCTGTATAGGGCACTTACCATGAATGGAGCTTGTAGGACTGGAGGTTGCTCTGGGTGAGTCAGTGAGTCCTAGGACACAACTGTATCTACACTACGGTAGACTTTATAGGCACTGTATCCTTAGGCTACACTCAGTTTATTAAAATTTTTTTCTTTCTTCAATAATAAATTAACCTCAGCTTTCTGTAACTTTTGGCTTCATAAACTTTTTTGTTTTTTGTTTTTGTTTTTGTTTTTGAGATGGAGTCTTGCTCTGTTACCCAGGTTAGAGTGGGACAATCTAGGCTCACTGCAACATCCGTCTCCCAGGTTCAAGTGATTCTCTTGTCTCAGCCTCACGAGTAGCTGGGATTATAAGCGTCTGCCACCACACCCAGCTAAGTTTTATATTTTTAGTAGAGATGGGGTTTTACCATGTTGGCCAGGCTGGTCTCGAACTCCTGACCTCGTGATCTGACCACTTTGGCCTCCCAAAGTTCTGGGATTACATGCGTGAGCCACCACACCTGGCATTCACAAACTTTTTAACTTTGTTTTAAGATTTTTGGCTCTTTTCTAATAACACCTAGTTTAAAACATAAACACATTGTATAGCCATGTAAAAATATTTTTTCTTTATGCTCCTATTCTATAACTTTTTTTCTATTTAAATATTTTTATTTTATTTTTACTTTTAAAACTGTTTTTTGTCAAAAATGAAGCCAAAAACACACATATTAGCCTAGGCTTACACAGGGTCAGGGTCATCCATATCACTGTCTTCCACCTCCACCTCTTGTTCCATTGGAAGGTCTTCAGGGCAATAACACACATGGAGCTGTCACCTCCTATGATGACAATGCCTTCTTCTGGATACCTCCTGAAGGGCCCGTTGAGGCTGTTTTACAGTAACTTTTTTTTATAAGTAGAAAAAGAACACTCTAAAACAACAATAAAACATGTAGTATAGTAAATACTAGGCTGTAGGATTTTTGAGCTCCATTATAATCCTATAAGACCGCCATTGTATATGTGGCCTGTTGTTGAGCAAAATTGTGTCATTTGGTGCAAGACTGTGCCTAAGTTCTACTCCCACACACATCACAAAACCTTGTTCAGGACTATTAGTTTTAGCCATCTGATGGGGTGCAATTGTGTCTTATTGATGTCATTAGCATTTCCTCAATTAGTAGGAAGTTAATCCAAATTTTCTTTTCTCATGAATCACCTACTCACCTCCTGAGGTCATTTTGGATTGCTTAACTTTTTCTGGTTGATTTGTAAGAATTTTTATACATTTTTGCATATCAATCTTTTGTCAGTTGTTTACACTACAAATACCTTTTTCCAATCTGTAACTTGCCTTTTCTCTTCGTTTTGGTACAATGTTGTACCAATAGCATATGTACTATTGTTATACAATGTTTTGCATTTTCACGAAGTCTAATTTTTCATGTTTTTCCCTAATGGTTCGTGTTTTATATCTCATTTAAGAAATTATTTTCTTTTTCATGTTATTCATCATGTCTTTTTGCCATTACTAATTTAATCAGCTTTGGGGTGGTAATTTAATTATCATTTTGCTAAATCTTGAGTTTAATGCTTAATTTATTTTATTTTTTTACTTTTAGCAACAGTTGTTTAGGATAATTTTATTTTTTTTTCCATGTAACAGGGCTTTCTTTCTTTTTCTACTTACATTACGACATTGATTTTATTGCTTTATAGTCAGAAAATTTGGTCTGTGTTTTTCATATCTTTCTCTAAGCCCTCATCTAAATCATGGGATCTCAGCATTTTCTACCGCCCACATGGTAGAAGAGGCAAAGTTATAACCGCACATGTGTGTGTGCTTGCATGGAGAGAGAGAATGGTGAATGCCAGACCCTAAGGGGAGTCACATGCAACTTACAGTTTCTGCTGTGTGGTGCAGAAGAGGCTCACGTAGGCGTTCACAGTGACCCTGCCCACTCCAGAAGCAACTCAATCTGTGCCTGGAATTCAACTGACTGGTTAGCAAGTCACCCCTCAACATTCTCTCCCCATGTATTTATTTTTTGTTTTCCCAGCCCGGTACAATCCAGCTTTGGCCCTGAGAGGCTCTGCACGGGAGAAAACAGGACATTAATTGATGGCCATGTCTACTGTCTTCAGCAGGGAGCCCACTCTCAATTTCCCTCCACAGCTGGTTTGTTGGTCAGTCTTGCTGGTGATAAGCACCGCCCTATGGTAAAGGCAAAATAACCATAAGGCCTGAAATAGAAAATGGCCCACAGTTCCATCATGTGGACCTTCCTTAATTATTAAATTTCCCTAGAGACATTATAGTCTCAATCTTCCCTCCCCACTGGGAAATGAATGTCCTCCAAGAAAATCTCCCCTGCCCACAACCTCAGAGGAATTAACATCCCCCCGCCCCAACCAATGGCCTCTCCTGGATCACAACCCGCTGTGGCCTGTGCAGTGCCTCTTGCTCCTCCGCAGGCCAGGAGGCTCTGAGTCAGCCGTGCAGAGCGGGAGGGGTGTAGATGACAGGAGCGGCCTTGAGTCGTGCCTTGTGTTAATGCTGTCTCTAGGATACTGTATTTTCCCAAGGTCCTGAACCTCACAGAGTGATCTATATCCTGTTGCTTAATACATATTTATTGAAAATTAATGATGATAAGCAGCTGCTTTCTATGTCTGCCAAGTGATACATTTTCATAAGTCTCTTCTATTTTGAAAAGCAGCTGATTTATCCGTGAGAGACCTCCAAGTGTAAGATAATGGAGCTAAGGTTTCTTGGTGCTGTAAAACCCTTATGTTCAAACCTCCCCTGCTCCTCCGGTGTCACTCTGCCATGGCACAGCCCCAGGCTGCACTTCCAGCTCACACAGACCCTTGGTCAACCGTGAAGCCTCTCTGAAAACTTTATTTTCTTGAAAGTAGAAGATAGGAGAGGGTTACACTGCAGCCCTCAAAGCAAAAATATCAGCAAATATCTCCCTGCAGCATCTCTGTCCTTTCCCCAAGTGCCACATTGCACTCTTCTTTACTCCTCTTCCAAACACACACACACCATACATACCTTACACACACGTATCACATACACATCACACACGACACACATACCTTACACACATGCCACACACGTATCACACATGCATCTTACACACCATACATACCTTACACACATGCCACACATGTATCATGCACACATCACACACACCACACTTACCTTACACACACATCACACACCACACATACCTCACACACACGTATCTCACACACATCACACATGACACACATACCTTACACGCATGCCACACACGTATCACACATGCATCTTACACACCATACATACCTTACACACATGCCACACATGTATCATGCACACATCACACACCACACTTACCTTACACACACATCACACACACACCACACATACCTTACACACACGTATCTCACACACATCACACATGACACACATACCTTACACACATGCCACACACATATCACACATACATCACACACCATACACACCTTACACACATGTATCACACACATCACACACACCTTACACACACGTATTACACACACATCACACACAAGACACACATACCTTACACACATGCCACACACATACACACACCACACACCACACATACCTTACACAGATGCCACACACGTATCACACATATGTCACACACCACATACCTTACACACATACCACATACATATTACACACACATCACACACACCACCCATACCTTACACACATGCCACATATGTATTACATCACACACACCACACACACCACACATACCTTACACACATGTATCACACACATCACACACACCACACATACCTTACACACACGTATTACACACACATCACACACAAGACATACCTTACACACATGCCACACATGCATCACACACATCACACACATCACACCACACACACCACACATACCTTACACACATGTATCACACATCACACACACCACACATCTTACACACATATATCACACACATCACACACACCACACACCACACATACCTTATACACACGTATTACACACACATCACACACAAGACATACCTTACACACATGCCACACACATCACACACACCACACACACCTTACACAGATGCCACACACGTATCACACACATCACACACACCACACATACCTTACACACATGCCACACACATCACACACACCACACATACCACATACATATTACACACACATCACACACACCACCCATACCTTACACACATGCCACATACGTATTATGCACACATCACACACCACCCATACCTTACACACATGCCACACACGTATCACACACATCACACACACCACACATACCTCACACACATCACACACACCACACATACCTCATACACACATATCACACACATCACACACGAGACACACATACCTTACATGCCACATATGTGTTACACACACCCCACACATACCTTACACACATGCCACATATATATTACACACACATCACACACACCACCCATACCTTACACGCAAGCCACATACATATTACACACACATCACACACACCACCCATACCTTACACACATGCCAAATGTATGACACACACATCACACACACATCACACATACCTTACACATTACACACATGCCAGACACACAACACACAGACTACACATACCACACATAACATACACACACCACACACATGCCACACACGCAGCACACAACACACATGCACACGTGCATATGCACACAGGTTCTCCTAGCATTTGAGGTATCTAGTCCAAGACTCTTCCCCCAACTCCCGAACCCCATCCTCTCTACTTCAGCCTCACTCAGGAGAACAAAATGTTGGTAGCCATTAGGTCTGTGATCAACGCAATGGAATCACATCTTGGTTGAGGACCAGGTCCTAATTATCTCACAAAAATCCATGAGTAGAGTATATTGTATCTGTTAGCCTCGGTGTGTCATTAAGCATGGAAATCACACACAGTGCAGTGAGATGTCACATGGGATTGAGCCCGAATGAGGGAACAACAGCTTGGTGGCTCCTGTTCCACTCTTGGGAGTATAAAACCAAACCGTGCTCCGACCACGCTGGGCACATGTCGTCAGGACCTCCTGAGGCTGTGTCACAGGCACGTGTCCTCAACCTTGGCAAAATAAACTTTCAAAATTAACTGAGACCTATCTCAGATTTTCGGGGTTCACAGTAGCAAGGAAGTGGGGTCTGAGAGACGCCCCCATTAGACATAAAGACCTAAGGATTTGTCCTGGGAAGGGGCGTTGCCCAGAGCTGGCAGCCCCATGTCCCTGCTGCTGCGTCACAATGGCAGTGCTCCCATGCCCAAAGCTGAATGTGAGTGTGAATGACAAAAACAATCCCCATGACCTTCCTGGCTCCCTGATGAGCCCTGCTCCTCTTCTTGGATGCAGCCAGGCTCGCTCCAGCTCAGCAGCTTTGTACTGTCTGTTCTCTCCGCCAACAGTGCTCTTCCCTCAGCTGTATTTGCAGGACAAGCTCCCTCCCTTCCTCCATGTCCTTGCCCTTCCCCTCCAGCCCTTCGTGTCTCCCTTTCCTACTTTACTATCCTTCCTTTATACTTAGGATGCAATTAAAAGTAAATTAATGACTTCTTCCATGCCTTGTCTGTCTCAACCCCTAGAATGGGGAAGCAAGAGTTTTTGTCTGTTTTGTTCACAGCTATAACCCCAGAACCAAGAACAGTGCCTGACACACAGTCAGCACTCGGTAAATGCGGAATGAATGAATGAGTAACAACTCTGGAGCCTAATCATGGACAGTGTGAACCAGAGAGAGGGTCATGCTGGTGGCAGTGGACACTCAATTTGAGCTGTCAGTGGATAGCATCTCCTCACAGTGATCATACTTGCGTGATGATGGATGACTAGATGCCATGTATCTTTCCCACTGGGTGTTGGGGCTCACGCTTGAAGCCTCTTTGACTGTGTTCCAGGATAATTAGAGGAGGGACGGGCATGGCAAGTACGCAGTAGGAAAGATAATGTTCTAAGCGATTACTTGGACACATAAAGGAAATAAGATCATGTCTGTATTTTGAGAAAGTGGAGTGGGTTATGCTAGTTTATTACTCTCTCCTTATGTAATATTATGCTCAGCTCAATACCTTATACGTGGAAGTCCTCCTTCCTAATGGAGAATGACTGATTCAGAATGTTCAGTGTGGAAATAATTCCTTGGTTTTACCATGCGTGAAAACGAATAGCCTTGTATTTCCTTTACTCATCAGCATTTGGATCTGATTTTAATCAGCACACGATTCAAATTGCATCTTCTGTGCCCACAGATCAAGATTCCTGACTTGGGGGTGTTGTTGACTAACTCCCACAGTTGACCCTGAACCGGGTGTCAATGTTTCCTAGAATGTAGGTCATCGTTCTCCTTTCTTAACTTGGTCTTAGGTGCTGTCCCTGCAAAGAATCTCTCTTTTCACTGCTCTTCTGTGTCCAGGTCAGGACTGCCTGCCTTTTTATTGTTATCCTATTCTATACATATGTTCTCCCCTACCCAGAGGTTATAGTTGTATTGCTTCTTCTGAAAGAAAATGGACTGTTTTTAACGATATAGTCTAGGTCAGAGGAAAGAGGGTCAGAAGTGGTGGCAAGGATGATTTACCTTTTTCTGGAAGGAATCATCTTAAAAACCTTCCTGGCATTAGGAAAAATAGCTAATGGATGCTGGGCTAAATACCTAGGTGATGGGTTGATAGGCGCAGCAAACCACCACGGCACACGTTTACCTGTGTAACAAACCTGCACATCCTGCACATGTACCCCAGAACTTAAAACAAAAATTAAAAAAAAAAAATTCCTGAGGCTCACTCTCCTGTGTGCCTCATCAAAGAGCGCCCCCATCCAGCTCCGTGTTTCTCCTGAGGGGTGCACTGAGAAATCCCCTCCAGGTCAGCACCAACCTTGGGGCAAACGATTCTGGCATCTATGATCCGTCTTTAGGAATTCCTTCCTTTGCCTAGAGTGTCTCGCCCACATTAGGCCCAGTCCCTCCTGGGCTGTCTATGCTTCGAGTACACTGATTCCTCAATTGCTCCCACGGGAGGTGTCCGTGAGTTTCCTGCGTGAAGGGCACAGAACACTCTGGAGGAGGCAGGTGAGGGCCTTCACTAGGGGAGATGGGGACACGAGAGAGGCTGGGGCTGGGGCCAGCCCACCGTCCTGGGAACCTGTAGGCGGAAGACTCTGCTCCCTTCCCTCCTCCTTGCCAGCTCAGCCACGGGGCCTCCAGAATAACGAGAGACAGACCATCTCCAGGCTGGAGACTAAGATTTTTCCAGTCCCATAAAGGGGAAAATACAATCAAAAGCCGCAGATGACATTAGGTTTGGCGCATGTGTGTGACCACTAATCAAAGCCATGTGCAGTGCGAATACAACTTTAAAAAGCAAAACAATCTCCAATTTGTTTGCAAAGATGCAAGGCAATGTTGATGCTTACTGAGATGGCTAAGGGGACCAGGGACCTTCAGAGTCTGTGGTGGGGAGAACCCTGCTGTGTGCATACACGTATTTTATTGGCCTTGTTGGCATATGTTTGCAATTTTCAGAGATCATTTCCTCTTTCTTTCAGGGGGATATTTTTTTTTCATAAGACCTGCCTGTGATGTTTCTCTGCCGTGAATCATGTCTATATCCTCACAAAGGATAAAAACCAAAGCCACTAGAGCAGAGTCTTTGGATTTTTCTGAATATGGAAAGCAGCCATGCATTACATTGAAGCATATTCCAACGTCAGGGAACAGAGCACTGCTTCCTGTCCATGTCACCGCAAATTCTGTGCTGAGTGTTACTGCGCCAAAGGACATGTTAGGATGCCACAACGGTTCTCATCTGGTCCGTGATACTCACAGGCTGATGTAGTACACTAGAAAGGGAGGGCTCTTTCCAAGTTACAGAACTTATTTTGCAATATTTCCTGGGAAAGAATTCTGCTACAAGTTTTAATCAATGTAAGAAATGCTGTAACTACATTAAAGTAAACTGTACATGAAGCAGTGTGTGTCTGTGTGGTAGGGAAGAATTCTGTCGAAAATAAGATCTGTTCCATGTAGTACCGTGAAAATCCAAAATGCACCAGCAGCCCCTGAACCAAGTGTTTCCTGGGAATGTCAGTGCAGTGGGGGAAACCCTGCTGTCCAAATCTCTGCTTCCTCCTGCCTCCTCTTCCACAGTCTCATGAAGAGTGTCTCTAACTGAGCGTGCACGTGGTGCCTCCTGTGACAATACATTATTAGAATGGTTAGTGGAATAATACATATTGGTTGCATGCAATGGGGTAGATGAAACATCTCCTTTTGTGTCAAAAAAGAGTCCAGAAAAGAGGGATTATTTGCAGCTTTATAAGGAGCAGTTTCACAATCAGTTTGCGTGGGTTTTTATGTCAGTTTTATCTGGACTGAGGGGCCGGTGACTCCAGCCACATGGTGAGCACTGGTCTGGTTCATGCATCATAATCACAACACCATGAAGCTAATCGGTGACAGTGACACTGTTTGGCAGTGACCCTGCCCATTTCGCAACCTCGTTCCTCCACTTGAGTTCCCAGGCTCAGAGGAAACCATCATTCCATTGTACTCTTGGACTATAAAAAGTAGACTTTAATATGAGTGTGCGTACAACTCTCGACAAAAAAGAAACAGGATTTGACATGCTGTTTTGTAGCCCTTTCAATTCAGTAGAAAATTCTGCAGACAGCTCTCCAGGTGCAAGGTGTGCCTCCACATCAGCATGCGCATCGCCTGCCTGCCATCCCATCGCCCGGCTGCACTGCTCATTTGGTCAAAGCTGAAGGTTCAGGAGCCCCCCTCCATGGACCTCCCAAGGCTCTCTTGCTACTTTGTATTCCTAATTTTATGCTGTTTTCTTAAATAGGGGCTTCCTAACATGTATCCGCCTCATGCCCCACAAAAGATGTTTTCAGAGCCATTTTCCATTTGTTTATCTGCACCATGTAATTCCATTCCACTCCTTACCCTTTTTTTCTTCCCTGTTTTCAGGAAGCAACACGCCAGGTCCTGTCACCTGTCAATCACACTGGGAGAGTGCAACTTTTCTCTTTCAGTGTGGGGAAACAAGCAGTGCCCACCCACATGCAACAGGGGGGCCCCTGGGTGGGTTCAGCCGTGCTGACGATGTGGCTCCCAGGATGACATGGAGATCCTGTGTGCCCTCATTGGGGTAGGTAAAATAAAACAATATCTCTAATAGGAAAAACCCCTACTTGGAGGCTATATAGGTAGAGTCCCAGAATCAATGGTTCTTGACCCTGGCTCCACTGAAGCACGGGAAGCTTTAAAAACACCATACCCTGGTCATGCCCCAGAGCAAGCAAATCAGAATCCCCAGGCAGGGCCCAGGCATCAGCATTTTTAAACTCTCCAAGTGACGCCAGTGGGGAACCCAAAGTGAGAACCGTTTCTACACAGAGACTCCACCTGCTACAGAGGAGCTAGTGGTGTTCATAGCAGCCATGAGACACTGTGGCAGGATAGCGGAAGAAGGGACAAAAGGTCAGTGCAGAAGGCTCCCAGACCTGGTTCTCCACCCTCCGACTGAAGGTGCCCTTCTGAGCCTTCCCCAAGTTTTCTAGAAGGAAACCAAGAAAGAGGCTTTCCTGCTGGGAAGAAGAGAATGGACTGAAGATTTCTCATTCGGATATTCATGTACATGGACCACAGCCTCCTGTGTGTTGTTACAAAGCTTATGATTCTCTTAGGTGTTCTCTCTAGTTCTTAACAATGAGGACACCTGTGTTCCAGCCTTTGGAGTTGTGAAGTCTAGCCAACCTCAGAAAGCTCAGCCAATTCAAACAGATTTCATTCTAAAGTAGCATGGAACATTCTTCCTCTCCACCCAGAATTAGGGGTGTCTTCCCTTTGGTACAACCAATTATCAAAACAGCTTCTGATTGGTTTCAATCACCAGTGGGTTTGAAGCTTATTAATTGGTCACCGCTCTAGGCCTTTCCCCTGAGGACGATCCTGAAACCATCAAGCTGGGCAAATCCAGGGGCCATCCCCTTCCTTTTCCAATTACCTCCTCTGTGCAATTGCCTCTGTGAACACTAACTGGCACTGGCTGGTGGAGAATCCGTTCTCTAGACATTTGATATGTTACTCAACCCTTTGATTCATCTTGATTTTTTAGGATCATTAATAAAATAAAATAAAATAAAATAAAATAAAATTCCCCCAGAAAGAATGGAAACCCTCCCTGTGTGCTCTTTGATTTTTAAAGTAGGATGCAGAATCACATTTCCAGTCCATGGGGAACAGCCTCGGGTCTCCGGGCAACACTGCTAAGCAGAGAAAAAGCTTTGAATTACAAGGGTTTTAGTGCTGGTTTCAGAAAAATGTGGAAGCAGAGAGGCCAACTCGAGAACGGGCATGTTTCACTCAAAGCCCCATCTGAATCAAAAGCGTACGTGATAATGACTCCTTTTCAGCACTGTGGGTTTGGTGACTTTTCCAGTGAGGAGCTAGCTAGTTCATGGTGGGTTCTGTTCACAATGAATTAGGATTTAGAAACCAGCAGGAGGTGAGGTTTGACAGAAAACATTTGGTCACATTCATGCAAAATTACAGGAGTAATCGAAACGAGGCTTCATGGTGAGAATTTTCCATTTCCTTTAGAGGCAACATTAGATTCTTGCTAAAGAAAAGAGAAGGCACCCTTAATGACACCAGTGGGGTAATAAGTGGCTTCTTTTGCCTTCCTTTCATCATAGAAACTCGGATAATTTCCTAACGCTATCCAAGACAGCTGCAGTTTCCTACTGCACAGCTCCCAGAAGCCACAAAGAATGGCAAGTCTCACAATGCAGGACTTTCTCTGCAGCTCAAGGATCTCTCCCACGCCCTGTGCACAGGCGCAAACCCCTTCCTTGCAGGAATACTTCATTTCCTGGTATGTGGCTGAGCCAACAGAGCCAAAAGTCCAGATGTCACCCAACACTTACAAAAGCCGACCCGCATTCACAGCACCTGTGCTGGGTGCCGCAGGCCAGGGCTCCACCGCTCCAGAGAGATGCATCTTCACCATGTGCATGAAAGTCCAGGCTGGCTAGGGACTGCGGCACATGACTCCTTCATGCTTCCCTCCTGACACACCGACTCCATGCTGGGAATGAATTACTTTTTATTGCTGTCTGGGATCTTTTGCTTCCCCTCTGCCTTTTGTTGTTTCTTATATCAAGAGTGTCATGAATGGTGAGAGGGCCTCCCTCCCTCCACTTTTGGTGAGAGCAAGAAAATTATTATGCATGAGATGCCCAGGACACGACAGAGCCTGCAGACAGTTCCAGCCCCCCCATCCCCGGAGGAGATCTGTGATACAAATGAAAGAACAAAGCAAGGAAACCGACTTTGCAGATCAAGCCAAGAGGCTGAATGCCCCATACACCTGTGATCCTGACCCAAACTTCCCTGGGGGAAGTCAGTGCCTCCTCACGGAGCAGCACCTTCCACCTGTCCTCCAGTGTCACTGCGACATCAAGGCTCAGGGTTATACATGGAGTCCAGCCAAATGCAGAGGGTGTGGACTGTGGCAGGTCCAGGCCTTCCCTCCTGACCCGGGGTAGCTGGTGGGCTGGGAGAATTCAGCTCTCCAGTTCAGTGTGAAGGCCAACAGTGAAGCTATAGATTTGGGGATTGAGGTAGACTCAAAAAATGCTCCCCACGGCCAGATGCAGTGGCTCACACCTGTAATCCCAGCACTTTGGGAGGCTGAGACAGCGGGTAGATCACCTGAGGTCAGGAGTTCAAGACCAGCCTGGCCAGCATGGTTAAACACCATCTCTACTAAAAATACAAAAATTAGCTGGGCGTGGTGGCACGTACCTGTAGTCCCAGCTACTGAGGAGGCTGAGATAGGAGAATTGCTTGAACCCGGGAGGTAGGGGCTGCAGTGAGCTGAGATTGTACCACTACGCTCCAGCCTGGGACACAGAGTGAGACTCAGTTAAAAAAAATATATATATATACATATATATATATACACACACACACACACACACATATACACACACATATATCACACACATATATATACATGCATATATATACACGCATATATATATATATATATATATATATATATATAGAGAGAGAGAGAGAGAGAGAGAGAGAGAGAGAGAGAGAGAGAGAGAGAGAGTTCCTCCCAAAATTCCACATCCTAATCCCTGGAACCTGTGAATGTTACTTTGTGTGCTTCCCCTCACCCCCAAAATAAGGCTCTTTGCAGATGTGATTAAATTAAGCATCTTGAGATGGGGGGATTATCCTGGACTCACCAGGTGGGGTCTGAATGCAAACACAAGGATCCTTATAGGAGGGAGACACAGGGATACTTGATACGAGAGAGGAGAAGGCCACCTGAGCATGGAGGCAGAGGTTGGAGTGATGCAGGCATGAGCCAAGGAGCACTTGAAGTCACCAGAAGCTGACAGAGGCAGAGAGGAATCCTTCCCGTGACCCTCCTGGGGAGAACAATTCTAACACCTTGGGTTTAGCCTGCTGATCCTCATCATAGGCTTCTGGCCTCCACTATGATAGGAGAATAAACGTGTGTCATTTTAAGCCACCAAGTGTGGAGAAATTTGTTATGGAAGCTGCAGGATGCTAAGGAGGATCACACAGGATAGGTACCAGCATGGAGCATGGGGAGTTCACTTGCATTTGAGCGAATGATGGTGAGGATGCTACGGGAAAAAGCCAGTGTCAGAAATTGAGAGGTCACAGAAAGACAGAAAACAGGAGCAGGATTACAATCTCCCTCCTCAAGGGATCCAGCCCAATCCAGGTCTCCCTCTGATATTCTCAGGAGCCTGGTGATGGGCTCTGCATCCAACTGCCATGGCCCAAATCCTGGTTTCATCTCAACCCAGATGGGTGCACTCTAGGAAGCTGCATGGCCTCCTGGCCTCAGTCTGCCCTTGAGAGGAAGCTGGTGATACTAACAGCTCTTGTGAGCGCTTACGCAGCTGCTGAATGGCTAAACGCAGAAGGGAAAAGCGGCTCTTGTGAGATGGGAGCAGTAAAGTGATTTGCAGATGATAGAAGCAGCTGGTAGTGCCAAGGGATTGACTTTCAAGCAGCAGGAGTGACGGCTGGGAGGTGGCCTTGTGGAGAGAGGAAGCTACCGGTGCCACTTCATTTACAGCTCTGTCCAGAAAATTCTCTCCCTTCTCTCTCATGTCTCATGCCTTGGAGTCAGGAATTGGAGACTTTCACTGACCCCTCAAGGACTTCTATGGACCCTGCTTCCCCAAGATTCCACCTGGCTGGGCTAGAATTCCCCCCACAGGCTGCTAAACATGCCCCTGCCTGGTGCTGCCCACAAGAGGGCTGGCCTCTGCTTTCTGAACTCCCAGGCTTCGTACAGTGAGATGCAGTTAGCCACGCTTCTTCGTCCCAACAGCACGGTGAGGGTTAAGACCCAGCTGAGAGTTTCAGGCAACCCATGGAAAGGGCGTCACTGACCTTTGGGTATCTTAGATGTGGGCAAGGTGTGGACCCTGAGAAATGGAATGGGACAGGGCTGATGGGTCTGTAAGTGTGAGCTTCCTGTCTGAGGCTTGCGAGCCACAGGTCACCGCTCCACGTCCCCTGTCTGGGGAATGCTATCATCGCAGACTCATGGAAGATTGCTTTTCCTTGCCTGAAAGCAAAGCCATCTGAGCTCACTGCCCATTCGCTTTCCCCCTTCCTTGGAACTTGGGCAACTGCTCTTTGTCCCTTCGTTCTCTGGTGTTGAATTGCCTGGAAGCCTTTGGCAAAGGAGCTGAGGAAATATCCTTTGATTCCCAGAGATAATGGAATACCCATAATGTCCGCAGAAGGCTGCTCAGCTCTTAATTCAAATGCCAACAACATAAACACTTCCATTCTCTATGTTGAAGTCTTCAAAAGCAAAAATAGTTCTTCCTTAGGTCAGCAGTCCTTAGCTTGTGGTTGCACCCCCAGTGGGAAGTTCCAGTCACTTACAGAGTGGGAGGTGGGTGAAAGATTAGGAACAAATGTCCGGACCCTGTGGACTGGGAGAAATTCAGCTCCGCAGAGCCCCAGAGGCACTAAGGCTCAGTGTGACTCATCCCAGGGGCAGTGACAATAGCCAAAGGTCTGTGACCGCAAGGCAGCAAACCGGGTGACTCACCCTCAGGGCCTCCTGCTATCCACCCACAGCTTCTTGGTTATGGGTTCTCCCCTACCCCACCCCCAGAAGGGCCGGCCAGACAGGGTACCACCACATGCTATTTCCCACAGTTCCAAGACAGTACCCACGGCTCAGAGCCAGAGCCGGGCACGTGCATGAATGTTTTCAGATGACTTTTTTTTTTCCACTAAAGAGTTAAATGCTTGAAAGTAGAGTTCAGGCTTGGCCAACTCAGTTTAGAGCAAGAAATGGAAATGTTGTGGTTGTGTTTAAAGGGTAATTTTATTTCCCTCAGCGAAATAAGCCTGAGTATACCAGCCTTGGGAGGCCTGTGCAGGCCATTGAACTTCTAGAAACTTTAACAATCACCCTCGAAGGGCAATATTTCCTCTCCAGCCAGCCGGACTGGTCCTCCTAGGGCACTCCCAGAGCCCAGCTGCCTCACTGGTGGTGCGTGTCCTCCTGGAGGGAGGGAGACAGGGGCCCAGCTCCTCTGTAAAGACGGCCGAGGAATGCCTCAGGGTCCCTGTGGAGTCAGCTCAGTCCTCTGAGTTTTCTCACCCTGAGTCCTACCCGCACATTTGTATTTGTGAAAAGAGAAAAAAGGAAAGTCACTAACAAGGAGGAAGGCAGGTTCAATCCCTGCTTCCCTTCCCCCTTCCCTCTTATTATGTCTCCAGGTGCCACCACAGCTTGGAGGTGAAGCTTCCCAATGACCAGTGAGCAGAAGCCAGTGCTAACAAGGGAGGCAAAACTGGGACCAGGACCCTGGAAACATCACCTGGAAAAAGGGGCTTCTGAGGGGACCTGGGTGAGGCGCACACGGTGTCTGCTTCAGATTCTGAAGCTGCTCTGGGCTCAGGTGAAAGACAGCGTGGATGGTGTAGCGGGCAGTGGGATGCAGAGAGCCAGGTGTTCAGCATCCTAGCTCCAGGGTGACTCTTGCTCCAGTAGCACAGGCCTCCCGGCCAGCAGTGTTTGGTTGGTGAATGCTCTCGGACTTCCCTCTAAATCCTTGGAGACTTAAGACAGTGGCGGGCTTTGGTATTTGTGACTTTTTTCCAATGTCCCCCAACATTTTTGAAATACCTATTATATGCCAGATGTCGTTCTAGATGCTGGGGAAACAACGGCCACAACCAGAGTCCTACCATTATCGAGCTTATATTCTAGTCAGAAAAAACCATAGTAAAAGACAGCATGGTGGGTCAGTAAATTTCAGCATGTCTTTGTCAAAAGTCACACAGCTCCTTTGGAACTCTCTTGTCTTGCTCTCAGGGGCCCAGGAAGCCCTCCTCTCATAGGCTCAGAAGTGCCTGCTCTCACTGCCTGGCCTCTCACCACTCCCGGCACCTGGCAAGCAAAGTTGTGGCCAAGCCGGGGCATTGTCACAACCTGGCCAGGTGTGCACATGCTCAGGGCAGTGCTGACACACCAGACCCCTGCCACCTCGGCCTTCTCCGGACTTTGGGCACCAATGAGCATGGGAGAGAGGCCTAGGGGGCACCAAGGTGGCTAGACATGGGTCTGCAGGTGCCCTTGGCACGAACACTCTGGGCACTGTGGACAACATGATTGATGGCGGCAAGAGGCAGACAGGCTCCTTGGTGGAAAGGGGCTGGTTCCTGGTGAAGCCCCACCTTCAAACCAGGGATGGCCTGAAGCATGGAGGCCGGGCTGTCAGTTCCAGGTAGAGTCTGCAGACAGGAGTGAGAACTGATGGTGCTTTTTCCAGGCCTACCCCTAGCCACCCATGGACCAATCAGCATGCATTTCCTCCCTTCTGAGCCTGTAAAAACCATGAACTCAGCCAGACTAGAACAGAGGTCAGGACTACCAGCTGTGGAAAGGAGCTACCTACTGTGAGTCTCCTCTCTGTTGAGAGCTGGACACTCATCAGGAGGACCTGCCTGCAGAAAAGAGCTACCCACTTCGGGTCTCCTGAGAGCTGTTCTGTCACACAATGAAGCTCCTCTCCACCTTGCTCACCCTCCAGTTTTCCATGTACCTTATTCTTCCTGGACATGGGGCAAGAACTTGGAACCCACCAGATGGCAGGACTGAAAGAGCTGTAACACAAACAGGGCTGAAACACCCCCCCGCCCTGCTTGCCACATTGAGCAGGTGATGAGAGGAGAGCTAGAACCCTTCGGGGATCCCAGACCTAGGGGCTCCCCATGCCAGGGCTGTGACACCCTCTTTGGGGCTCTGCAGTTCCTGGCATCTCCAAGCTTCCAGGCACCACCATGTTCCCCTTGTCTAGATGCAGCTGCTCACAGCAGAAGCCACATACAGTATATCCGGTCCAGCTGCAGCCTCACATGGAGCTGACACCTGTGCTGTCACTATGCACCCTGTCACAGCAGCCAGTGTGCCTGGCTGTGTGCAGTGGCTGGACCCCATGTTTGCTCACACACCCTTTGCCACTCTGTGCCTGGCTTGCCCTAGGCAGGTGTGGAATCTGGGCCAGTAGCTTGGGCCAAGTGCAGCCTGCCAGGCTGAGTGGGCAGTAACAAGCCCAGTGGGCATGAGCAATACTCAGGCAGAAGGTGCCGCCAGCCACAGAGGTTTCTGGCTGGCAAAGCAACACCTTAAGGATCCTGTGACAACATCAAGGATAGAGAGAAAAGAATAACCAAGGATAATTCCCAGGTTTTTGGCTTGAGCAACTGTAAATTATAATTACATGAATAACAAAAAGTGGTGCCTGAAGTTGTTAGAGAAAATGTTAATTTCCCATATGTTAATTTTTAGGTTTGATTGTTATTCTTTACCAAGTCATTGATGACTCAGCATAGCTGCCATTGACACTGGGACCCTGTTGGGAAAAATGTGTTCTAAGAAAATCAGATTCCCTCCTCTAAGTCAAAGCAGTTAAGGTTAATTTGTAAAACACATCTCTGTGATAATGCAGCTGAATTATGAGTAACTCTTTTAACGAAAGCAAGCCTGGAAGGAACAGATCAATCCTCCAACCTCCAGGAGCTGTTGCTTAACTTCTTTACCCATCTGCTTTCCCTCTCCAAAACCAAAGGTTTAGTTTGATTTCTAACTAAAAGGCAAATTGAGTTAGTGTCTCACACACCCCTCCACTAGATAAGTTAATAAATAGTAAAAGAGCCCTAATTTAAAAACAGAGAGGACAGAGACAAGCTGGATAAAGTCCAGAATGAGTGATGGAGAGTGGACCCAAGTGCTGAGGTCCTTCTTATCCTTATAAACCTGTCCCCAACCCAGAAAACAAGGCCCTTCTTCTTGTTGGAGGCTTAGAAATATTTCTGCTGACACCTGGACTTGATGAGGAGGAAATAGCATGGGAGGAGGCAGTCTGCAGTTGTGGAAAATGCATGGAATTTGGAGCCAGACATAATTGGGTTCAATCCTGAGCTCTGCCTCTTATCGGTGATATTTTTGAAAAAGTAACTCAACTTCTCTGAGCCTCATCTGCAAATCCAGGTTATACAACAGACCTTATGGGCTGTTATCATGACTCATGGGTGTGTATACAAAGTACTTAGCATAGTGCCTGTCATGTTTGAATAACTAATAAATACTCCAACTCCACTCCAGACCCCCCAAAGAACTGCAAATTAATGACAGAAATCTAGAGATTGTGGAACACAGGAGTAATTTTAAATTTCTTTTTCAGATGGGAAAACCTCTTTGTAGAAATTCATGAGATGTCTAAAAATATGTACACATAACATTTATTGTCCCATGGAATTTTAAAAATCAAAATAGAGATCAAGAGACATCTGTTTTTCTACCATGGAAATACCATAAATATTTCCTTAATGTACGTCATGAGCATAAGAAAGAGAAGTTCACAGTAAATGGATGGAAATGTAGATACAAGCAAATTAACCCTGAACCTCAGCTTAATAAGTGCTCTAGTTCTCAGCAGTCCTTCTATTTGTCCTAAATTCCTCCTCCACACCATTTTCTCCACATGGTGAGATGAAAAGGGTATGGGTCAAACAGGACTCCTAGTAGGAGAATGGATAGTTTTTATGTGAGAACCACCTTTTGTAATTTTCTTATTTCTGTAAAATATTACTATTTTTACACTGAGGCATGTGGATTTTATCTACAATGTTGAAAACAGAAATTTCAGCCAAGTTTAAATACAAAGATAACTGCCTATCAACATGTTTTAGGTTCACGAATAAAACACATCAATTAGCATAGGTGTGATTATTTAACTGGGCAGAAGGAGCCAAAAAGTTCATGTGGAACATCCTCTGGAAACCTAAATCTAGGGAGATTCATCAACAAACCCTTCTACTGCATAATCTCCTGTACAATGTTTCTCTTTTGCCTTAGACTACCTGTACACTTCAGTACCCAGCTGCATGGTAGAGATGACTGTTCCCCAAACTTGTAACCTCCAGCCTGTTTGTTCTACATGGGAAAATTAAAAGAGCATGGGATTTGGAGCTAGGCAAATCTGAATGCTCAGAATCAGACTTCTCCTTGACTTTGGTTAATTATACAACCTTTCTGTAATAACTGCTACTGCTGTGTGAGATAACATGTTAAACTTCTGTGGTTTGTTACAAGTATCATTTCCCTCATGCTCATGAATCTACATGTTGAGTGCAGCTTAGCTGATAGCCTGGGACTCAGTGGGCAGCCCTGCTTCACGCTGTGGTTCAGCTGGGCATGGCTCTGGGCTTTGATCAGACTCAGGTCTGCGACGCGTGTTTTATTCTAAGGTTCAGGCTTCAGGGCAGTGGCCACTCAGGGGAAGCTCTTCTAATGGCAGGTCTCAGTGCATAAGAGCCAAGCAGACTGCTCAAGCATTGAAGGCTCATTTCACATCTGCCCACTTTCCCTTGGCCAAAGCATGTCCCACGGCCAAGCCCAACATCAATGTGGAGAGGAAATATACTCCTCCCAAGGAGCTGGATGGGGGCAAAGTAGGTAAATATTTGAGAACAATAATGCAAACTATCAGACTGCTTAAAGCCCTTCTGTGAAAATCAGAGACAGCACTTCCCACCTGCTAGGGCTGCTGTGTGAGTGTTGGATAGATATGGTGTCTGTCCAGTGGGTGGGGTCAGCATTGTACTGGTCTAGTTGTCCAAACACAGGAATAATGAATCAGCTTCACTTACACACAGAGCTTTTGTGATCTAACTTCCCTGGGGCCTTTTAAAGACATGCATCTGCTGCAGTGCCTGGGGGTGCTCATCGGGCTGAGGTCCACCCTTCCCCTACCAGCTCTTTCACTTTGTTTATATCTCCTTACCTCCCCACCTGACCCTCTGTGATTAGAGGGATTTGATAGCTGAAGTTGCTTTTTTACTTTTACTTCCTAGGAGCTAAAAAAAGGCCGGGGTAGATGTTGCTTCCTTTGGTCACTTTCTTTCTTCTCTGAAATCTACCCCAAGAACAATGTTCATCCAAAGCACATCTTTGATAATGTGATGTAAATTTGGCACACAAGTGGGTTTCTTAGAGAATTTATATTATCGTTTTAATAATGGAACATTCCACAGTGACCTCTTTAAAACTTGTCTTATTTAATTCAGAGTGGTTTAGAAATCAAGCTGCTTTAGAAATAGACCAGCCTGTAGTCAGCAGCCATGAACATGACTATGAGCTCTTTAGCTGGGGACCATGTGAAGCCTGGTTTGTGAGGATGATTGGCTCATTTAAGGGCAACAAACAAATTGTTGTAGAATTGCTGGGGAGCCAGTTAGGAAGGATCTTTCCAGTGCTCTGTGATTGTCAGCAGTTCTGGTGCAATGAGGCAAAGACTGTGCTTTTGACCCTGCTCCTGTTACACCAGAGTCCATAGCTTTCAATCCATCCTGATGTGGAGGCACTGAGGTCTTTAGCTTGAAGCTTTGGTTGGACAACTGTTTGGAAAGTCTAAAATCAGGAATAGACACAGCCCGTGAAGAGCACAGTCACAATGGAGATTCTCCTCTACCCAAGCCTGGAGGATGGGGTCTGCTCGCCCCAGCGAGGAGTGAAGGTTTGGATGCTGCAATGGTCATATGGAAAAGAATGAGGCTCTTGAACCTTCGGGGGTCAAATCTTGTCTCTCCCAGGTAATGTTGTGCAGTCTCAGATATGCCACTTACTTGCTCCGAACTTCAATTTCCTCCTCTCTAAATGAACATACGAAACTTGTGGGAATTTGAGGTTATGCAGTGAAGCAACCACACAAGCCGCCATCCCAAGAGGCCATAAATCAAAGGTGTAAAGGCCCAGCTGTTGGGATCGTCCAGCTGGATCCATCTCTTACCAACTGTGTGGCCTCAGGAATGTGGCTTCGCCTGTCTGAGCCTCGGCCCCTGAGTCTGTAGAATGGAGATAATTACATCATCTGCCTTACAGGTGTTTGTGGAGGTCAGCTAAGATGATGAGGAACAGAAGGTTGCATGGCAGGTGCACAGCACGTAGTCAGTAAAGGGGAACCTTATGACATGGACCACTGTCTGGAGGAGGAAGGGCACAGACAACATATCAGAGCTTGGACCAGGGCTTGGACTAGACTTCACTGAGAATCATGGGATCCCAGGGGGAAGGCAGGCTTGACTCAGGTGGCCAAACAGCTGTCTCAAGAAAGGCCTCTCCAGGTTGCATTGCTGATAGAAGACAGAGCTAGCCAGTTTGCTCTACCCCCTAAAGTAGGCTCCTCTCCTGCACAGTGTTTTCATATGCCTCAGGGCCATGTGACACTGAAGACAGCCCCTGAGTGCAACGTCTTTAGGACATCCGCACAAAGCTGCCCTGAACATGCACCTCGAAGACCATCTGGGAGCCTGCCAGAGCTTGGGCAAAAACCTGTAGAGAGTGCCCACATGCTGGTAAGGCAGAGGCTAACTGTTTTTCCATGGAGATGGAGTCCGGCTCTGTCTCACTAAACCCTGATGCCTTGTTCTGGAAAAGCATTCCTGGCCTTTTGTTTCTCCACTTTCCTTGCAGGGAGGTTGCTGTCATTTCCCTCTATTTTTTTTCCCAACATTTATCCTCAGGCAGAACACAGTCACATGCCAGTGGCTGCAGCCCCACACTGGGGGTTTCAGTTGCAGGTGGGAGGTGGGGAGCATGCCAAGAAATGCCAGCCCCAGGGCGAACGAGGGAGGGCTAGCTGGGGAGCACCCCCTCCCCACCCATAGCCACAGCTGGAGCCCCTGAAGCCCATCTCCAGGGCTAGATCAGGGACTTTTCCAGGCAGCCGAACCCTACAGGCATTTTCATACTGCGACCTGACGCCTTTCAAGGGTTGTGCTCCTGGGTGACTCTAGCTCAGCTACACCTAGACTGTCTGTTGCTGGCAGACTCACTCCTTCAACTGATACTTTCTAAATTTCTATCAGGTGCCAGGCAAGACCCACCTAGTCCCTGCCGTCATGGAACACACGGGCTAGGGGAAACAGACATTAGTAAAAAGTCATACAAATAACAGAGCAATCAGTGCTGCGAAGAAAAGTACAGGGAGCCACGAAACCATCTAACAGGGGCCTGGATTTATTGCAGGGAGACTGAGAAAACTTTTCTAAGAAGGTGGAATTTTAGCTGAGGCCTGGAGCATTCATGTGTTCATTCATACAGTGTGTGTGCTTGGGTTTTCTGGAACAGAACCAAAGGTGGGAAGCTGCCTGAAGAAGGTTTACTGAGAATTGCACCCAGGAGACCCCCACGTACTGGAAGGGGGAGGCAGGAATGGACACAGTGGGAGCTGGCCCATGGATGAGGCTGCAAATAAAGCCCAACAAAACCTGCCCGTAGCTCTGCAGCTGGGAGGGTCTCTCAAGGTTGTCCCAGCTTGGGCCAGGGATTGTGCCTCCATGTTCTGTGTCCCCAGGCTGCCAGGCATTGGCTGTGGAACACCTTTGGGAGCAGGAGAACTCTGAGTCAGGCAGCTCCTCAGGGGAGTCCCCGGCAGGGTATGCGGCCAGGAGCCATCAGCAGCCCATGCTCCCAGCAGCCCATGCTCCCAGCAGCTGGGGCAGGTGAGTCCCTCCAGGCGACGGAGGCTGGGCCCAGCCCCATGGCACCACTGCATCAAACAAACCCTCACTGAGACCTGCCATGGGTGGAATGCTCTTCTTCATGTCTTACACCAGCTGTGAAGAGAGAGAAGGTTTTCTGTCCTCATGCCACCCACATTCTTGGGGCTGAGCTGGAGTGAAGTGGGCCGCAGAGGGAGAAAGCACCCCGTGAGGTAAAGCCAAATGTGTGCAGGTGGAGCTGGGTAGCTGGTGGAACCATGCAGCCGGCAGAGCCAGTCATGACCCCTGTAGGCCTGGTACATGTCCCTGGTCTATGATCGCTGGAGTGGCCCAGGGCAGGGTCCTGAGACTGCTTCTCTGTCCCCTCTCCCCTAAAACCCAGATGATCTCATCCAGCCTCAGGACTTGGAATATCCTCAAGGGCTGATGGTTCTCAAGTATTAGCCCCCGGCTCCTCTCCCCTGAGCCCTGCCTGTGTCTGCACCTACCTGTGTGTGCACCTACCTGTGTCCGCACCTACCTGTGTCTGCACCTGCCTGTGCCTGCACCTGCCTATGTAATGCCCCCTCTCTGGTGGGCTTACACACACAGCACACTTAACACGTGTAAAACTGAGCTCCTCATCACCCGTCCCTGCAAACCTGCTCATCCCGTAGCCTTCTGCTTCTCAGCTGAGGGAAAATCCGTTCTTCCAGGGGATCCGGCCAGAAAGCCTCACTTCCACCCTGTCATCTCTGCCCTCACATAAAGTCCAGAATCTGACCACCTTGCCATCTCCACCACCTCCACCACAGCCCAAGCCTCCATCAGCGTTGGCTCTGGCCTGGATTCTTACAGCAAGCTTCTTACTGAGTTCCCATTTCTGCCTCTGCCCCCATCAGTCTGTTCTCAACGAGCTCTCACTGCGATTCTGCTACACACATTTCAGGTGATGCCATTTTTCTCCTCAAAACCCAGCAATGTCTTCCATTGCATTCAGGAAATAGCCAAAGCCCCTGCAGTGCCCCGCACCATCCTGCTGCCAGCACCGACAATGCTCACCTTGCCTCCTGCAACCTTCCCTCACTCGCCCACTCAGGCCGGGAGCTCGCCATGCAGCTGCTCACACATGACAGGCGCAGTCCTACCTCAGGGCCCTTGCACGGGTGGCTCCCCCAGAGCATCCTTTCCCAGCTGGCAGCTTGGCTCCTTCCTTGCCCTGGCAGGGCATGCTTAGAATTACCCCTGGGTGAGGGCTCCCTCTGCTTCCTTGCTGCAGTTTAAACATCACCCCCTGCTCTGCTCTTCACGCCCACTTTTCCTGCTTGTTGTACTCAGTTATTTTATTTATTGTCCATCTTTCCTATTAAAATATAAGCTCTGTTGAGAGGAGAGGGATTTTTAAAAAATGATTTGATTCCTATTCTATTCCCAGTACCTGGGAAACCCCTTAGTGGGCTTTTTTTGTTGTTGTTTGTTTGTTTGTTTTTTAAGATGGAGTTTCGCTCTTGTCACCCAGGCTGGAGTGCAATGACATGATCTTGCTCACTGCAACCTCCGCCTCCCGGGTTCAAGCGATTCTCCTGCCTCAGCCTCCCGAGTAGCTGGGATTACAGGCATGTGCCACCATGCCCTGCTAATTTTTTGTATTTTTTTTTCAGTAGAGATGGGGTTTCATCATGCTGATCAAGCTGATCTCGAACTCCTGACCTCAGGTGATCTACCTGCCTCAGCCTCCCAAAGTGCTGGGATTACAGGCATGAGCCACTGCACCCAGCCAGATAGTGGGTTTTCAATACACAGTTAGTATCTAAAAGAATGACTTGATTGCCTAAATCTCTTTGGGGGAAATGACAGCATTTGAACTGGAGCTCAATACCTCACGTGAGCAGAGGGATGTGCTATACAGCAGCCCCTCCTGAGACAGAGCTCAACGTACAGCACCTGGGACCACCAGGTGCTCAGAATCTGTAGGAATCCAGGATGCACTGCCTTCTTTTTGATATTTGGTGACCGACATGGGGAAGATTTGGGCTGCTTGGAATACTTCTGGATTGTTTCACTGAATGGACTTCATGCTGAGCTTGGACAGCTGAGGCCCAAGTTTTGCTTGAGTTAAATCACAGACAGAACTTAAAGATGCCTCACAGACCCTCACTGCCGAGCCGCTGTGTTGAAGGGGAAGGTGAGGCAGGGAGGGGTATTTCCCAGCCCGGGTCTGGTCATGGGAAATCCCATCCCCGGGGGCGGTGGGAGTAAGAAAGAGGAGCCAGCTTCTGAGGAGGGGCTGAGTTCCTCCTTCCCCGCATCCCACAGGCTGGTCTTAATCACAGAGAACTTGAAAGGAAGAACAGTCAGTCCTGTGAGCAGATGGGGCAGCCCGGCCTACAGTGGCAGTGGAGCCACCGTGAGGGCTGTGACTGCTCCAGCCCTTGGTGTAGATTGAGGCCAGACACTGCCTTCACTCTAAGTTTTATACAGTCAGAAAAACAGATTCCATTTTTACAGCAGAATATATATAAATTTCTAGTTATGAGTATTCTGAAAAACAGACTATTTCCTCTAGTGAAATAAAAAAGTGGAATTTGTCAGCCTTTAGCTGAACTTCTCTGAAAACAGCTTGGTTTGTGAGCTTGGATATATGTCCAAGAAGAGATATCTATGAGGTCCAGCCAGCTGGCCTTGAAAGAAATCCTCGGGGCTAGATTTACAGAAGCTTCCTTCTCCTCCTGTTAACAAGATAAGTCAGCAACTGGACTTTTGCGTTTCCTGAAGATGGAGGGCGACTTCCAAACTATTTGTTTTCTGGGATTCTGTCATAACACACATTTTATTCTCAAAACCTATGAAATTAATTTTTCCAACTTGTCTGACACCCTGAAAAACAGAACTGAAATTAGATATTGAGGCAATACCAAAGGCACTTGGAGAGCTGTAAGGGTGCTGCTGTCTCTGCCTGGCTGAGAGCAGAGAAGATCGTTTGTTGGGGAAGGCCCTCACGTGGATGGGCCCTGTGGGCGCAGAGCACAGCCTGCTGCTCAGGGGTTGGGCTGCCTCTCCCACTGGTCTTCTAGCCTGGAATATTCGCTCCAATTCTCAGGAAGCAAGGCTCCATCAACCTGATCCAAGAACACAAGAGTCTCCCTGGCCAGGGCAACACCCCACTGACTTACAATCTGGTCCTGCTATTAAGGGATGAGATGTTTTCCTTATGATCCCAGAACTGGCCATTTCTCCAATTAAGTGACAAGAGCTGAGAAGACTTTCTATTCAGATGTTGAGAAAAGTAAAAGCACAGGACTCTGGCCTGGGCACATGGCTCACACCTGTAATTCCAGAAATTTGGAAGGCTGAGGTGGGAGGACTTCTTGAGCCTAGGAATTTGAGACCAGCCTGGGCAACATAGCAAGATCCCATCTCTACCAAAAACCAGAAAAATTAGCTGAGTGTGGTGGTGCCAGCCTGTGATCCCAGCTACTTGGGAGGCTGAGGCTGGTGGATTGCTAGAGCCCAGGAGGTCAAGGCTGCAGTGAGCTGTGATGGTGCCACTGCACTCTAGCCCAAGTGACAGAGCAAGCCCCTGCCTCAAAAAACAAAACAAAACAAAACAACAACAACAACAACAAAAAACATGGGAGTCCATACCTACAGGAAGAAGGCCCTGGACATGGCTGAGGACACAAATCCTTCAGTCCACCCTGATGAGGTAGTTTCAGGCAGATAACTAGGGGGCTTCAGCCTCCAGCCATGCTTGGGAGGCCCAGGAGAGCTGCCTGTGGCTTTTCTCCATCACCCTCACTCCAACCGTCCATGCCCATAAATTATTGCAAATAACATCTCAATATTCCAGGACCAAGGACTGTTGTCAGTAGGTGCCTACAGAGAAGCAAATGCACCTCCCTGACCTCAGAGATGATTTTCCTCCACTAAGGGAAAGCCTTTCCATCCACCAGGCTCCAGGATGCAGCCAACAGTAAGGGGAAAATTTGAACCCTCCCTCAGTCACCTTGGGGAGCTACAGGGGACTCCGTGACAGAATTCCAGCCCTCTAGGCATTCAAGACTTGATTTCCAATGGGAGGAAAATCTCAGGCCTAAAGTTCATCTTCTGTATTCATAAGCATGACTGCTAGATTTTCTCAGCCTCTGTGGGGAGATGATCCTTAAAAGTGTGATTTGACTTCTTTAAAAAGGAGAGATAGTGAAGCCCCAGACGGTGCAACTTGCCTAAAATAATATGGTGAATCGCAGAGGGAATAAGAAGGAAAACATCATCCCCAGACTTGCCGCCCAGTTTTTAGCCCAGGAGAATATTTTTCTTTTCTTATTAAAAGAAAGACACGAATTAAAAGGAATCCATGTAATCCTATGAAATGTACTTCACTGAGAATATTGCTCTATTTAAAAAGCATGAAGTGGTGGCTCTAGGAGAGAACTTGCCCATCTTAAATGCATTTATATGGAATAAAATTAGATGGATTTTACAGGTGGAAAAAGATTTTGTGCACTTACAGACTAGTTCATTTTTTGTTTATTCAGATAGAAATATTTCAACTTCCTATCATACACAAAACATCATATGTGTAAATAATTTCTTTACCAAATTGTTAACATTAACCTTATAAAAGGTACTCAGATATGTTAGCCAGAAATGGAAGAGAGAATACACACAAACAAAACTGGAAATAAAAGAGAAAAATCATTAAGTAAAACTTTTGGGTCAGAAGATCATTTTGCACAACTCCCTGCAAATAAATTAGGGTTAATATGAGGTTTTTTTTTATTATACTTTAAGTTTTAGGGTACATGTGCACATTGTGCAGGTTAGTTACATATGTATACATGTGCCATGCTGGTGCCCTGCACCCACTAACTCGTCATCTAGCATTAGGTATATCTCCCAATGTTATCCCTCCCCCCTCCCCCCACCCCACCACAGTCCCCAGAGTGTGATATTCCCCTTCCTGTCTCCATGTGATCTCATTGTTCAGTTCCCACCTATGAGTGAGAATATGCGGTATTTGGTTTTTTGTTCTTGCGATAGTTTACTGAGAATGATGATTTCCAATTTCATCCATGTCCCTACAAAGGACATGAACTCATCATTTTTTATGGCTGCATAGTATTCCATGGTGTATATGTGCCACATTTTCTTAATCCAGTCTATCATTGTTGGACATTTGGGTTGGTTCCAAGTCTTTGCTATTGTGAATAATGCCGCAATAAACATACGCGTGCATGTGTCTTTATAGCAGCATGATTTATAGTCATTTGGGTATATACCCAGTAATGGGATGGCTGGGTCAAATGGTATTTCTAGTTCTAGATCACTGAGGAATCGCCACACTGACTTCCACAATGGTTGAACTAGTTTACAGTCCCACCAACAGTGTAAAAGTGTTCCTATTTCTCCACATCCTCTCCAGCACCTGTTGTTGCCTGACTTTTTAATGATTGCCATTCTAACTGGTGTGAGATGGTATCTCATTGTGGTTTTGATTTGCATTTCTCTGATGGCCAGTGATGCTGAGCATTTGTTCATGTGTTTTTTGGCTGCATAAATGTCTTCTTTTGAGAAGTGTCTGTTCATGTCCTTTGCCCACTTTTTGATGAGGTTGTTTGTTTTTTTCTTGTAAATTTGTTTGAGTTCACTGTAGATTCTGGATATTAGCCCTTTGTCAGATGAGTAGATTGCGAAAATTTTCTCCCATTTTGTAGGTTGCCTGTTCACTCTGATGGTAGTTTCTTTTGCTGTGCAGAAGCTCTTTAGTTTAATTAGATCCCATTTGTCAATTTTGGCTTTTGTTGCCATTGCTTTTGGTGTTTTGGACATGAAGTCCTTGCCCATGCCTATGTCCTGAATGGTAATGCCTAGGTTTTCTTCTAGGGTTTTTATGGTTTTAGGTCTAACGTTTAAATCTTTAATCCATCTTGAATTGATTTTTGTATAAGGTGTAAGGAAGGGATCCAGTTTCAGCTTTCTACATATGGCTAGCCAGTTTTCCCAGCACCATTTATTAAATAGGGAATCCTTTCCCCATTGCTTGTTTTTCTCAGGTTTGTCAAAGATCAGATAGTTGTAGATATGTGGCGTTATTTCTGAGGGCTCTGTCCTGTTCCATTGATCTATATCTCTGTTTTGGTACCAGTACCATGCTGTTTTGGTTACTGTAGCCTTGTAGTATAGTTTGAAGTCAGGTAGTGTGATGCCTCCAGCTTTGTTCTTTTGGCTTAGGATTGACTTGGCGATGTGGGCTCTTTTTTGGTTCCATATGAACTTTAAAGTAGTTTTTTCCAATTCTGTGAAGAAAGTCATTGGTAGCTTGATGGGGATGGCATTGAATCTGTAAATTACCTTGGGCAGTATGGCCATTTTCACGATATTGATTCTTCCTACCCATGAGCATGGAATGTTCTTCCATTTGTTTGTATCCTCTTTTATTTCCTTGAGCAGTGGTTTGTAGTTCTCCTTGAAGAGGTCCTTCACATCCCTTGTAAGTTGGATTCCTAGGTATTTTATTCTCTTTGAAGCGATTGTGAATGGGAGTTCACTCATGAGGTTTTTGACTTGAGGAATTTTTTTACCCTGATGATATTTTGAATAGAAACATTTAAATCAGAGTCACAAGAGCACTGATGGATTTATTGTGAAATAGTTATTTCCTAGAGTCAATTCCATTAGAAATATAATTCTTTGTTCAATTTCCTATACATCAAAATGAAATGCTCTTCCTTTTTTTTTCTATTCTCATTTTACTGAAAATATTTTTCTCAAGGCCAATTTTCTTCATTTATGTGGAAAGGTTTATCCTGAAGATCACTATCTGAATCCTCAACTAATGTTAAGCTCACCTGTCATTGTTTCTGATATTATAAATTTGCCTTTTGTGGCCATTATCCATTGTTTCTATCCAGTCTTATTTTTATACCAAATTTTGAATGTCTAAATTTAGGAAGGAAGATTTGTTTTTTGCAAATCTTAAAATTAAAAAAAAAAAGCATAAAGTGGTGCATCCAGGAGAGAACTTGTCAATTTTAAATGCATTTATATGGATTCACCGTACTATTTTAGGTAAGTTGCACTGTCTAGGTCTTTACTGTCTCACCTTTTTAAAGAAGCCAAATCATACTTTTTTTTAAGGATCATCTCCCACAGAATGATATGCTTTAAATGTTTCTATTCAACGTTTCAGTCAATAACAACTTTTACACTGTATGGTTTTAGTTGTCAGTTTAATTTTGTGTTAATTTTTCTGCAAATGTTATGACTATAAATTAGATAAAGGACTTCTGTGAATTTGAAGATCTATAACAACATTTCAAGCAAGGTTTTTTTTGAGAGAGAGAAAAGATTAAGATTAAAAGATGAAGATAGAAGAGAAAGGGAGGGAGCTGGAGAAAAATCAGAGACATACATAGAATTTGAGTCAAAAGAGACAGAAAGTCTGCAGATAGAGTGAAAAATCTCTAGGGCTAAAAGTATAGTCAAAGGGCAGGTTTGCATGTTGGGGTGAAAAGATGGAGTCAAAAGAATGCTTTCTGCTTCACTTTTGTCCACTCCATGATGAGGGAAGCATATTATTTCCTTAATGTTTGTGATAACATATTCTCCTGGCTTTCTGCCT